>NC_000012.12:107157097-107460128 GCF_000001405.40 Homo sapiens | reverse complement strand
TAACAGAAAACAGGTGGCTTGGTACCCTGTTAAGGGTTTGGGGAGAAGTTGCCCCTTGAGAAAATAGCCATTCCCAGAACACTGATGTAGCAGGGCACCAGGAGGGTACAGGGAGCCAGCCTGTTTTCCCAGGTTCCTGCTTCAGGCTCCTTTTCTTACGGCCCCCCAACCCCACCCCTGCCCCCCTGGCTGCTTTAGAGTCACTGAGAGATGAATGCCAGGGGTTCTGTCTGCAGGGCGGGAGGGCCATGCTCAGTCGGGCTGTAGGGGGCACTCTGGAGGGCCGGGCCACGGCCCCTGCCACCCACAGCACACAGGGCTGCCCCACAGAGGGCCTGTGCATGGCTGTGTGTGCCACCAGGCAAGCCCTGGCTTCACTCAGAAGAAACGCAGCCACAATGCAGGTCACTTAATAAATGGCTGAGGAGCTAGGGTCTGATAACTGGCCTCTTTGCCTGCACCCCGCTGGGCTGTTGCATCTGCTGCTCCCTCTGCCCGTAATATTCTTCCCCCAGAAGGGCACTAGGCACTTCCTTACTTGCATCAGGGCTCTCCTCAAAATCACCTCCCCTTCAAGGCCATCTCTGATCAGCCTTCTTAAAACTGTGTCTGCAGCACTCCCTGCTTCATTTTTTTCCATCTAACCTCCTATAGGTTTGAATTTTGTTTATGGCCTGTCTCTGTAGATGGTAAGGTCCGCAAGAGCAGGGAGTTTTGTCTGTTTTGCTCACTGTTGGATCCCTAGTGTCTACCATAGTAGCTGGCACTCAGTAAATACTTGTTGAATCAATCAATCAATCACAAATGAATGAATTTACCATGGGGTTCAGTGCGGCAATGTGAGAAGGCTCTGAATTCAGATTTTCTGGGATGGATTCTGATCCCTCACTGACTAGCATGTGGCTTTGAGCAAATTATGTAATGTCTCTGGGCCTCAGTTTCCTCATCTGTAAAATGGGCATAATAACAGTGCCTACTCCATAGGGTTGTGGGGGGCAGGGATCAACTGAGATGAGTCTGAGGTGCCGGATACACTGCCAACCCTACATGTCTATGTCAGCTATTATTATTGGATTGTTTTTTATTATTTGCAGCTTGAGAATAGACTAATACAGAACACTGCAAAGTTCTGCAGGGGAGTAGGTGAAGGAGGCAGGCCCCCCTGTTCTCAAAGGCCTTAGAGTTTCAAGGCATCCGCCAAGCTCCCAACACCTATTCCCATGCCTGGCATAGAGGGGGCCTGCAGGGGGTGGCAGATGAATAAAGGAGAAGGGCCTCATTCCCCAGAGTCCCTGACACAGGAAGGTTCAGTGTTTCATGGCCTCATCTGTGGGAAGTAGCAGGTAAGCTGGTGGTGAGGAGAGCTGGGGACAGGGTATCTAGAGGAACTCAGCCTGTTGGATTTCCCTTGCCCTATGAGGCCTTCCTGCCCACAGGTACTCCCCAGGCTTCTAGGGTTCAAGTCCTGGCTCTCCCCTACCTGTATGTGTATCTCCCAGCAAGACACTTGGCCATTCTGGATCTCATTTTCCCATCAGTAATGTGAGGGGTGGATCTGCCTTCCAGGTGTAATACTCTAGGGTCCTTGGTGGTCCCCATTGGCCCCACCATGCCAAGTCTCCACCTTGAAGACTTTCCAAAGGAGGCCTATCCCCCTAGATTCTGTCTTGTCCCATGTAACAAGGATCGATGGGGCTGCTGTTCTGGCTCCAGTCCTCTTGGCAACTACCCAGAGGCATGGACCTTGGCATTGGTCCTGACTGGGCTCCAATCCCAGGTCTGCCTTTGCTTACTGAGTGACCTTATGCAAGTCACTTAACTTCTGACCCCATTCTGTTCACCTGTCAAATCACAATAAAACTGCTTTATTCCCCTGGGAGTGGGGACGATGAAATAACAAAGGCCATTTAAGATACCTAGCACACAGTAGGCACTCAGTACACACTATTTCCCTTTGCACTGGGCTGGGAAAAAGGGGGACATTAGACAGGGCTTGACATAGTCTCAGCAATGATGATGAGGATGAGGAGAAAGAACAAAGATAGCAGAGGTGAACATTTACTGGGTACTCACACCCAACTTTGTGCAAAGTTAAATGAATCACCCATTTAAGATTTAATTTAAATCTTCACAATGTTATTATTCCTATTTTACAAAGGAAGAAACTGAGGCTCAGCAAGGTCAAAGGTCAAGCAAGCTACCCGAGGTCACACGGCTAGTAAGGGACAGAGCAGGGACTTGAACCCATTTCTTTCTGTTGCCAAAGTCTCCATTCTTACTGTAATGTCCTGATTGCCTCCTGCAGCGTGAACATTTGCGCCACACTGGCTCTCTTTGCCCGTTCTGCCAAGTGGGAAGGTACAGATGGAAGAACAGGACATAAGCCTTGGCATGCAACAGGCAGCTGAGGCCATGCCTCCAGGGCCCTGGGTGACAGTGCTGCTTTTTATCAAGCTGAGGAGAGCCATGTTATTGCTGTCTGCCCAGAAGGACTCTGTCCCTGTGTTGGGAATTGGGACAGCTCTGAGCTCGCAGCATTTTTTTCTGCTCTAACAAGATTGAACACTGTGAATCTGTACCCAGAGACCCCATCCATTAGTTGATTAAAAGCCATAGATCAGCCTGCCTGGGACCCGCCAGCACCATTATAAATAAGAAGTGTCAGGAAATCTTTCGGCATAACCAATGTCTTCGAAATTGCCATGGTGACAGTTAATAAAACTTCGGAGTCTATCTTTCGGCAAGCCAGCTCTGCTGCCAGGCAATAAAATTTGGGATAGCCTTTGAAGCAGTTTGTATTTAAATGAGCCGTGGGTGCCATATCTCAAAGTTCCACACCCTTGGATTAAAAACAACCATTACCATCAAAGATGAGCTTGTCAGACCATTATTCCAGGCTAACACAGGCAGCTGTGAACAATGTTCAGGTTTGCCCAGGATTATCAAGGGAAAGAAAGACTACTGTAGGGCCGAGCACGGTGGCTTACGCCTGTAATCCTAGCACTTTGGTAGGCCAAGGCGGGGGGATCAACTGAGGTCAGGAGTTCGAGACCAGCCTGACCAACACAGTGAAACCCTGTCTCTACTTAAAAAATGCAAAAATTAGCTGGGCGTGGTGGCGGGTGCCTGCAGTCCCAGCTACTTGGGAGGCTGAGGCAGGAGAATCACTTGAACCCAAGAGGTGGAGGCTGCAGTGAACTGAGATCACACCACTGCACTCCAGCCTGGGCAATGAGCGAAACTCTGTCTCAAAAAGAAAAAAAAAAAAGAAAAGAAAGACTACTGAAGTGGCCACATGCACCGTCACTAGAACCAAACTGTTCAAGTTCAAATCCAGGTTCTGTCACCTCCTAGCTGTGTGACCTTGAGCAAGTTACATCAGCGGTCCCTGATCTTTTTGGTACCAGGGACTGGTTTCATGAAAGATAATTCTTCCATGGACCTGGGGGTAGGGGGATGGTTTTGGGATAATTCAAGTGCATTACATTTATTGCATATTTTATTTCTATTATTATTACATTATAATATATAATGAAATAATTATACAACTCATCATCGTGTAGAATCAGTGGGAGCCCAGAGTTTGTTTTCCTGCAACTTGATGGTACCATCTGGGGGTGATGGGAGACAGTGACAGATCACCAGGCATTAGATTCTCATAAGGAGCGCACGACTTAGGTCTGTCACATGCATAGTTCACAATACGGTTCGTGCCACTCTGAGAATCTAATGCTGCCGCTTAGGCGGTAATGCGAGCAACGGGAAACGACTATAAATACAGATGAAGCTTCGCTTGCTTGCCTGCCACTCACTTCCTGCTATGCGGCCCAGTTCCTAACAGGCCATGGACCAGTACAAGCCCATAGCTCAGGGGTTGGGGACCCCTGAGTTACATAACCTTTCTGTGCTTCTGTTTCCTTATCTGTGAAATGGGGATAAAACAGTAACTCCTTCAGCGGGTAAGCTGTCAGGATTAAACGTGTTAATATGGAAAAAGCTTACGGTAGTTATTGGCACATGTTAAATGTACATTTATTTAGTTAATAAACATTTATGATACATTTGTATTCCATTTCTCATGCTTCTGTTGTCCACATTCTTTGCAAGCGCCCTTGCACCTTGACTCTGAGCTGGACTTTGTGGCTTCATTTGGCCAAGACAGTGCAGTGGATGTGATGGTGCTATAACAAGATTGAATGCTATGCCCAGACCTAAAGAAAACTTGTTCAATTCTGCTCCCTCTCTGGGTGCCCTAGCATGGCCATGCGAATAGGCCTGGGTTAGCCTGCTATAGGATTAGAGACAGTGGAGGAAAGCCCAGCTGTACCATCAGAGGCCGTCCTAGACCAGCCTGCAGCCAGCTGACCCTAACCTGTGAGAGAGCCCAGTCCAGAAAGCAGAGCTGACTCCCCGTCCTACAGCTGACCTAGAAGATACATGCAAAAGCCCAGCTGAGAACAGAAGAACCATAGAGCTATCCCCTGGACTTGTGAATACTACTAATAAATGCTTATTGTTTAAGTCATTTTGAGTTTTGGGGTGGTTTGCTATGCAGCAACAGCTAACTGACACAGGACCTACTCTCTACTGAGAACTGGAATAGGCATGGAGGAAGCAGTGGTGAGTGAGACACTGCTCACAACCTTCAGGAGCTCACTATCTGTAGGGGAAACAACACCAAAAAAAAAAAAATCCCATCACAACCAGATCTTGTAAGATCCCCCACTGAGAGACAGAAAGAACACACCAGGCAGAAAGACCAGCATGGGCGACAGCACAGAGATATGAAAGAACCATGGACCTGAACCCCCTTTGGGCTTGGAGACAAATGCAGATGTTAAAGTATTTCTTTAGAAAACTTGCCTAAGATCATACAGTTAAGTGGTGCAGATTTATCCCCACCAATGTGGCACCATGCCACAGCTCTAGAATCAGAGAGACGGGATTCAAATCCTCTGCCTCTCTCTAGCTGTGTGACCTCAGGCCACATGCTTGGGCTCTCTGACCCCACTGTCCTCTTCCATAAACTGAAAGTACTAATCTAGAATTTGAGATAATGTGTAGCAGGTGCTAACTCCATAATAGCAATGTCTCTTCTCTTTGGACAAGTGACTTGATTGATCTTGCTAAGCCTCAGTTTCCTTCTCTCTTAAATGGGAATGGAGAATACTGCTTAATTTCAAGGGTTGTTGTGAAGGTTAAATATGACTGTAACAATAAGGTGTTCAGCACAGTCCTTGACACATACCAAAGACTGAGTAATTAGCACCATTTGTTATTATTATTTTCTATAATATAAAGTAACCAGATTTAACAGAGGTACAAATATGAGAGGAAAAGGGTGAGTAAAAGAGAGGAATGAAATGCACCATGCAGCTCCCCCAGCATGCAGCCCTGGGGTCTGCAGTTTAGAGCAGAGACCTCCTGCTGCTGCCCAGGAAGGACCCCACCCACTCGAGGGCCTGCCTTCCCACCTCCAATCTGGCCAATGCCCACTGCACCTGGGCCTGCCTGAAAAGGTGGCAAGGATGCATCATCAAGGAGAGATGCACAGCTGAATTGCTCCCCAAGACACACAAGCTGCACACAGCCTGTCCCTGCTGAGCTCCTGGAACATCTGGACCCCTTCTGCTATTCTATGGAAAGTTCTGCATCAGCCTCTATCTCAGAGATCCTGGATGAACCCCCCTAACCCTTAATAGGTCAGCTTCCTACTTAGGAGCAAAACCAGCTTCATGGCCATGCAAGCTGTGCAGTGCAGAGCACCCGTGGTTGGTTTAATGATTTGCTGTCACCACCTTACATTCCTTAATGATTTTTAACAAGGGGCCTCACCTTCTCATTTCGCACTGGGCCCTGTGAATAATGGACACTGCCCTGCTTGGGGCCTATTCACGTGTGGATCTTCTGGGCATGCCCAGATAAGATCTGCATTAGCAGGGACTAATGCTGCATCCCCATTGATCAGGTAGATGTGGGTATGTACTCATTCAACAAGCACTTATTGAGCACCTACTATGTGCCAGGCACAGGGTAAGTGCTGGGAGTATATGTAATGAATAAGACAAGGTCTCCACCTTCAAGACTTTTGCAGACCCCAGCTGCATTCTTGATTTCCCCTTAAACCAGTTCTCTCCTTCTCATTCCTGGATTTCCACCCCTCAGTAAACAGTGCCCCCATCCTCCCAATCTCTCTAGCAGGAAACTCAGGAGTCATCCAATTCCTCCCCCTCCTCACCCCTACTTGCAGAATAGTACCAAATTCCCAGGGTTTTACTTTCAAAATTTTGCTCCAATCTGTACATTTTTCTCATCTCCTCGTTGGTACCCTTGCCCTTCCAGGCCACCATCCCTTCTTGTCTGGGGGCTCCAACAGCCTCTTCACTGCTCTTCCCACATCCATTCTTGCCCTATCCCATTTTCTGGTTTACCAGAGGAATTAAAATGTAAATGTGATCACATTACTCCCTTGTTTAAAGCCCTCTTAGTCCATTCGGGCTGATATAACAAAATACTATAGACTGGGTGGCTTATAAACAGCAGACATTTATTTCTTACAGTTCTGGAGGCTGGGAAGTCCAAAACCAAGGCACCAGCAGATTTGTTGTCTGGCAAGGGCCCGATTCCTGGCCCATAGTTGGCACTTTCTTTCTGTGTTCTCACATGGTGGAAGGGGCTAGCTAGGTCTCTGGGGTCTCTTTTATAGGGGAACGAATCCCAATTATGAGGTCTCCACCCTCATGACCTCATCACCCCCAAAGGCCCCACCTTTTAATACCATCACCTTGGGGGTTAGAATTTCAACATTCAAATTTAGGGGTTGGGGAAGACAAACATTCAATCTATAGCAACCTCCCATCATCTCCTGTTGCTCTTAGGATAAAATCCCAGCTCCTCACCTTGGCCTCCAACCTCAGGACTGGTCCCTGGCCTCATCTTATGCTGCTCTCCCCCAACTCCTGATTATCCAGCCAGCCTGGCCTCCCCTTGGTTCCTTAAGTACCGTAAGCTCGTTCCTGCCTGACAGTCCTTACACATGCGATTCCCTAGACCTTTCCCTCTGCTGTTCCATAGCTGACCCTTTCTCTACCTTTTGTCCTCACCAGAAATGTCACAACTTCAGGGAGGCCTTCCCTGACCACCCTGTCAAAAGGCGTCTCAGCCCCACCCCATTATTCTGTATCACATCTTGTTTTGATTTTGCCCATCACTTGTTACAACTTGTAATTGTTTTAGTGATGTGGTTTTCTAAATTTTTGTTGTTGTTGTTTACTTGTTTTTGTTTTTGAGATGGAGTTTCACTCTTGTTGCCCAGGCTGGAGTGCAGTGGCACGATCTTGGCTCACTGCAACCTCCACCTCCCGGGTTCGAATGATTCTCCTGCCTCAGCCTCCCGAGTAGCTGGGATTACAAGTGCCTGCCACCACGCTGACTAATTTTTTTGTATTTTTACTACAGACAGGGTTTCATCATGTTGGCCAGGCTGATCACGAACTCCTGACCTCAGGTGATCCACCCCCCTTGGCCCGGGATTACAGGTGTGAGCCACTGCGCCTGGCCTGATTTTCTAAATTTTTAAGACTCTCCCCTCCGTGGCTTACCCCTAGACACTGTAAGTTTCATGGCCGGGCGCGGTGGCTCAAGCCTGTAATCCCAGCACTTTGGGAGGCCGAGGCAGGCGGATCACGAAGTCAGGAGATCGAGACCATCCTGGCTAACACAGTGAAACCCCGTCTCTACTAAAAATACAAAAAATTAGCCGGGCGTGGTGGTGGGCGCCTGTGTCCCAGCTACTCAGGACGCTGAGGCAGGAGAATGGCGTGAACCCAGGAGGCAGAGCTTGCAGTGAGCGGAGACCGCGCCACTCACTCCAGCCTGGGCGACAGAGTGAGACTCCGTCTCAAAAAAAAAAAAAAAAAAAAAAAATTCATATGGGCAGAGATCTTTTCATCTGTCTGGGTCACTCTTATGCCTATCTTATCCCTAGCATTGAACACAGTGTCTGGCACATAGTCAGTGCTCAATAATTGCTGACCGAATGAATGAATGAACAAGCTCACAGTTTAGTGCAAGAGGCAGAGAAGTAAATCAACAATCATGGTCCAGTCTATACCTGCTCCAGAAGCTCAAAAGAGGCACATCTTTAGCAAAATGGGGGATGAAGGATGGGATTAATAATAACAGTGCTTCCCACTCAGCTTGGCTGTGACTATTGCACAGGTGTGAGTGTACATAACAGACTTAGCTCACTGGTTGGTATGCAGTAAACAACACTCAACACCTGTTAGCGATTGTTATAGTATTATTACTGTTATATTCTCCAATGTGTCTCAAAGGGCAAACGGGAGTTAAACAGAAAGGGGAGAAGCATCCTAGCAGAGAGACTATGTAAAACTGGGAGGTAGGGAAGAGCTTGTGAGTTCAGCTGCCTGTTCAGGAAAACTGGGGGGAAGGAAAGGTGGGGGTGGAGAAAGCAGTGAGGGACACAGGTGGGGAACCAGGCAGGGGTAAGATTCCAATGGCCTTGCCTGCCATGCTAAGGAGCTCAGACTTTACCGCGAGGTCAGTGGGAAACCTCCAGAGAATTTTAAGTGAGACATGGTCTGTTTTTGATGGCGTGTTCTGGCGCTTGTGCACAGGATGAATTAGAGGGGACCAGGTGAAGATAGTTATTTATTAACTCCAGGGAGCACATCCATCCATTACATGCACCTCTCTGGAGGGCTCAGTACTGCGTAACGCAGCAGAGGGTTGCAGGGTGTCTCAGAAAACACTGCCTTCAACATTCTCCATACAGATTCACCTTTGGAGTTGCAGCATCTAGCCAAGAGAGAAATGAGGTTTCCACCTCGCCTTTTGCAAAGAAGAGGTTGAAAAGAGCTATCAAAGTGAACCAATCTCATCTCAGATTAAGTCATGAGTGAGAGAGAGTAAGAAAATCCATCCTCTATGGTGCCATATTCTTCTCTCTTTAATGTCACTTCTTTCAAACCTATCAAAGCAAAACGTGCTGTACATGGCAGTTGCATAATATCACAGGGGCCACCGTACGGAATTCGTATGTGCTGCAAAAGGGCACCGTTTCTAATGCTGAATTCCTTGACTTGAGAATCTTTAGAAATACTTCACATGCATTTAAAAAAAAAAACACATATTGAAGGAGCACAGAGAACTTCATCCCAAAATATGGCTTCCTACTATAATGAGTATGTTGAATTAAAGGCTCTTAGAGATCAACACATGCCAGAAGAGACTTCCCCCATCTACATAAAGACCCAGAGAGACCCGCAAAGGAGAACAAGTGTTTTTCCTCCCCTCCCCCTCCTGCCTCTCAGTCCTCCACCTCTCCCAAAGCAGGGGCTGAAGTTGCCTTATTTGCCTAAAGACCAGACTAACCAGAGAAACCAGTGACCTCTAGTTCCCTCCCTGGGCTTTCATGAACTGAACGCATATCACAGGAAGGAGGATTAGAGTTTGTCGACAAACCTGGACAGACTTTTGTCACAAACCACTGTCCACTTTATGGGCAACAGACAGACCTTGTCCTAGACCACTGAATGCCCCTCAAGCCCACTGAATCCTCCCTAATAATCGTGTATTTCCCTCAATCGAATTTCTCTTCTCCCTCCTCCCATAACCTGTGTTGCCAGGACCCAAGCCCCCATTCTTTCTGCAACCCCAAGGTGGTATAGAAGCTTCTGCACTCCATCGAGGGATGGAGTCTTCATTCTGAAGGCTCCCGTGTCATCTAAAACTATGATCAAATATATTTGTACTTCTCTTCTCCATTTAGTTTGCCTTTTTGAGCTGATGTTTAGCAGAACTTCCAAGTTTGAAGGGGAAGCTTTCCCTTGCCCCTACAATATCAACCCAGAGGCATAGTTAGAACTTCCCTCCATCCTGTTAAGGGAAGAGAAGAAAATGATTTTTTTAAAAAAGGGAGAAAAAAGTCATAAGAAAGAACAAGACAAGTAACCACCAAGAAATGCCTCAAATCATTTCCTACCAGTCTCTGTGAGCTGTTCATTACTCAGAGTTCCAGCTACCACACATTAATCGTTGGGACAGCAAAGTTTTATTAAAAGAAGAGCACTGGCATTCCTTGAGCACCTACTGCATACCAGGCACTGTGCTAAACTCATTATCTCAGTTAAGCCTCATGTCTTTCCATCAGAAGTGGGTACATCAGCCAGGCACAATGGCTCATGCCTGTAATTCCAGCACTTTGGGAGGCAGAGGCAGGAGGATTGCTTGAAGCCAGGAGTTCAAGACGAGTGATGAAACAAAGTGAGACTCTGTCTCTATGAAAAAAAAAATTAGCCAGTGTGGTGGTGTAGGCCTGTGGTCCAAGCTACTTGGGAGGCTGAGGTGGGAGGTTTGAGCCCAGGAATTCAAGGTTACAGTAAGCTATGACCACACCACTGCACTTCAGCCTGAACCAAACAGTGAGACCCCATCTCTTAAAAAAAAAGTGGGTACTTCATTACCCATTTCTAAATGCAAGAACAGAGGTCTGAAAAATTAAGTAATATGGCTAAGGGTACTCAGACAGTCTGTAACTGTTGATGCTATTTTGCTCGGTGGCCAACACAGTATGATTCTTGGAGGGATTCCAAAACAGCTGAAGATGGGGGCAGGGGAACCTTCCTCCTGAAGCTCAGAGCCTCCTGAGCCAGGAAGAAAAATTTAGGCAGTGAAAGGAGAAGCAAGAGCTTAGAGTTCTACATTTTGGGACATCCATTGGTTACTTGTCCCATGTGCTATCTGAGTGTATGATGTTGACACAGCCAGTTTAGATGCTGGGAGGTCTGCTTCATCTGAGCATGCCCAGCCTGTTCACGAACATAAGAAATAGACCAGCATGAAGAAGAGCCATCCCATCTGCAGAGAAGAGAAGTCCCAATAGCACCTTCTGATGTTACCTGGGCTTCCTGGAGCCCAGCTGGCTATAGGCTCTGCAGTGTACCCTGCCCCAGTGCTGCAATTTTACAAGTGGGAAACCCAAGGGCCCAGGCACATGGCTGCCTCACCTAAGGCCACACGATTAACAAGTGGCCACATAAGCATGGCCCCAGGCACCTGGCTCCAGCCAAGCCTCTCTTTTATGCTTCCTCCTGCCCCTTACTTGTCAGAACTGCACCTGCATTCATGCTTTTCCAGATGCTGCTTCGGTTCATTCATTCATTCAGTCATTAAAGAACTCATCACCAAGCACTACTCTGTACAGTCCTGAGCCCCACAATGAGTAGAGGCTCTGGGGCCAGGTGTGGTGGCTCACGCCCATAATCCCAGCACTTTGGGAGGACGAGGCGGGCGGACCACCTGAGGCCAGGTGTGGTGGGTGCCTGTAGTCCCAGCTACTTGGGAGGCTGAGGCAGGAGAATTGCTTGAACCTGGGTGGTGGAGTTTGCAGTGAGCCAAGATTGTGCCACTGCACTCCAGCCTGGGTGACAGAGCTGAGACTGCACCTCAAAAAAAAAAAAGAAAGAAAGAAAGAAAGAAAGAACATACAGGTTCTGTCCTGGCTTAGATGCTCTTCCTGGATGTAGCTGATGCTGGGTGCTTTGCACACCATGCCTTGGGCTTGGTTTAGAGTTTTACTTTAAGTTTAAATTATTTTTATTCTTGTCTCTTCTCATTTATTTGGGAACTGCCTTCCATTCTTTCTGGGCATCATTTTCAGTGGCTGGAGTCAGTGTCAGAGCTCAGGCTCTGAATGGGGCCCCCTGTGGGCAGAGCATGGAATTAGTGGTCAAAGACAAAGGCTTCCAACCCTGGATGTGAGACTCAAGCAACTCAATCAACACAACTCAACACAGCTACCGCTCTGGGAGTACCCACCATAATTACACACCTTAACTTACTCCTCCCAACATCCTTTAAAGTCCTTGAAAGATCCTCATTTTTGCAGGTGAATAAACCAAAGCAATCCTATCTTAAATGATGGAGCCTGGTTTGGGAGATGATCAATTGATCATCTGATCAACTCAGATCAGTCTAATTCCCGCTTCCATCTGGGCCTCATTCTTCTAATCTCTAAAATGGGGATTACAGAACTTACTTTCACAAGGTTGCTCTGACATTCACTTAAGACAATTATGGAAAAGTCTTTAGCCCATGCTTGGCCCAGCTTAGCATCTCAGCCCATGCAACTCCTTCGTAAACATTTGGAAGGAGAGTAAAACACCCTGAGCCGCAAGGGCTCCTGGGACCCCTCGGGCCTAATACTGCAGGGCTGACCCGGAGGGAGCTCAGAGGTTGAAGCTCAAGTTCTTTCTAAGCAATTTCAAAATTATGTATTTAGCTTGCAGGAGGTCTTCATGAAGAGGCTGTTCTTGGCACCTCTGATTTCTCTCTTAGCAAAGCAGGGAAGGGTGGGCTCCATAATTCACATGGAGAAAACCATTACATGGGTTGACCTGTGAGCTCTGTCGTAGGTTTTTCTACCTGGTAATTGCAAAAACTAATACAGCGCTGGGAAGCACTGCAGCTATTTGAATTTCAAATTTGGCAAAGCTGCTTGAAACATCCCAGTTGCAGGCAAGAACACGTTTCACTTTCTCACTGCCTGCATCTCCCAACCACCAGCTTGGGGTGTGGGTTTGGCGGATCTGGATTCTCAGGTAACCATCAACATGAAAAACCAGGCAGGGCTGGAAGGGGGACAGGAGGTTTAAAAAGTCAATCAGCCAGGCAAGGTAGCTCAAGCCTGTAATCCTAGCATTTTGGGAGGCCGAGGTGGGTGGATCACCTGAGGTCAGGAGTTTGAGACTAGCCTGACCAACATGTTGAAACCCCGTCTCTACTAAATATAAAAAATTAGCCTGGCATGGTGGCACATGCCTGTAATCCCAGCTACTTGGGAGGCTGAGGCAAGAAAATCGCTTGAACCTGGGAGGTGGAGGTTGCATTGAGCCAAGATTGCTCCATTGCACTCCAGCCTGGGCAACAAGAGTGAAAACTCCATCTCAAAAAAAGAAAAAAAAAGTCAACCTCATGGCCTCCGCCTGTTTTATTTTGTCAGTGAGCAGATGCCTGGAACTGCACTCTCTGGTCCCCCACAGTGTTCTGGAACCGACTGCTCTGGAAAAGTGTCCTGGTTAATTGAGAGGGGCTATGAGATCCTGAGTGGGTGATAACCTTTCAAAGAATGAGAATATCCTTTTTAAAATCCCACCCTTTTAAAATTATAACATTCTTATCTGGAAAGCATCATTCAATCTTTCTACTAGCCCTCTAGAGCAGAAATTATTATCCACACTTTCCAGATGAGAAAACTGAAGCTCAGAGACATTAAGTGACTTGCCCAGAGCCACACAGCATGCCAGCAAGACAGCTGGGATCTGGGTACAGTCTTCAGAATTTGAGTCCCGCCTCTTTGTGTCAACCTGTGTCTACCAGATAATCCACTGTAATGATTCTTTTCTCCAGGATTAAGGACTTTGCTGGCATTAGTCACTCTGGGGATGGATGCAGATGCGGCTAGACCCTGGGCTGAAGCTCTGCTGACCCCAGGACATATCCAAGAGCTGCTCCGAGCTCCTTTTGGTCACATAGGGCTTGCTTCCTTGCTCTACATGAGGGACACAGGGGAGAAAGTGACCCTGGTCCTTAAGTGTGTTGCTGTTTGACTTCCCAACACTGCAGGGCACACTGAATTTTCAATCTCTGTAATTTATAAAACCTGACCAAAAATGTGCCTGGTCCCCCTCCCCATCAGCATGGAGTTAGGCCCTCCCAGTCTCTAAACCATCACCCCCTTCAACAAGCCACCACAAATAAACATGCCATTCGAGTAAAGACAGCATGACTGGTACCTGACATGGTAGCTTTGGAACAAGCTGCTGGCCTTGTTCTACCCAGACTAACTCCCAGCCACTCCTCTCTAGAAGCCCACATCATCTAGGAGATCTGGAAGGCTCCTGCTCTTTCCCATGCACTCAGCGCCGTGTTTACTATACCTTCACTGAAGCAGTTTCCCCTGCCTCAGTGCCTTCCCACTGTAGTAGACAGAATAAGGGCCCCCTAAAGATGCTACACTCGAATTCCCAGAGCCTGTGAATGTGTGACCTTACAGGGCAAAAGGGGGTTGCAGATGTGATTAGGTTGAGAACGTTGAGATGGGGAGATTATTCTGGATTATCTAGATGGGCCAATGTAATTACAAGGGTCTCTATAAAAGGGAGACAAGAGGGTCAGAGACAGAGGAGATGGGAAGACAGGGAGAGGGGAGAGGGGAGAGGGGAGAGGGGAGAGGGGAGAGGGAGATTTGGAGATGTTTGCTACTGGCCTTAAAGATGGAGGAAGAGGCCATAAGCCAAGGAATCTAAGTGGCCTTTATACGTTCAAAAAGACAAGGAGGTGGATTCTCCTGTAAGCCTCCAGAAGAAGTGCAGCTGACTTTCTACTGACACCTCGATTTTAGGGCTTCTGACCTCCAGAACTGTAAAATAATAAACTTGTGATCATTTGTTACAGCAGCAACAAAAAGCCTATAAACCATCCATCTCTCTTTGCTGAAACTTTCAGTGTTCTCTTCTCTGAGATGCCCTGAGCTCTCCTTCTTCTGTCAGTGCTGTTTGTATTAATACATTAGAGGTGTCTCTGGGCACCCACTCCCTGGGCACCACTCCTCAGCATGGCTCACAGGAGTGCTCAATAGCTGTTTAAAAAGTGAATAAACCAGTGAATAAATGCTAATTTATGAGTTTCTTGTGGGCGCTATTTCCGCATTACTCATTTTCATACCTTCAGTGGCTCATGTGGTGTGCCTGGCATATGGTAGGTGTGCAATAAATGCCTATTCAGTGAATGAATTTAGACTGTAAACTGCTTGAGGCCAAGGAACTGTCTTATTTATATCCTTGAATTCTCAGGGCCTAGCTTAGTGCCTTGGGATGGAGGTTTTGCTAAGTGCTTGTGGGTTGACAGCCAGAGCTAGTAGGATTAGACTTGACACATGATGACAATCAATACCTGTCCACTGAAAGATCTGCATAGAGACCTGAGCTTCAGCTGTGCAATTATCAGCAGCAGCGGAGCTAATTTAAGGAAGATGGGGCCCCAGGCTGGGGGGAGAGCCACGATCAGAGGCAAAGCGGTCAGCGATGCTGATTTCTAGGTCTGCAGCCCTGCCTCAGCCAGCTCCACGTGGACCTCTCCTGACTGGCCCCGCCGCATATCACAGGCCTGTCAGTCTTCCTTCTCTCTGGAGCACTCTGTGGTCCCCCTACCCTCCCAGCCTCTGAGGAGGCTTTGCTCCCTCTCATTCACACTTCAGCACCTCCCTAGGCCTCACGGGGGGCCTGACCTTAACTGCCCCGTTAGAAACAAATCCCATTTCCACACTGCCGATAAAATCTCCCTTTTATCCAAAAGGTTGAGTGCGTATTTTTGAAGTTTATTCATTTGCCAAACATCTTGGGGCACATCAATAAGTATGGATTTTGAAGACATGGTTAATTTCATCTCGAGCAGACCTGGGTTTGGGACTCCACCTCCCTTATGACTGCTCATGTGTGGTTTCTACAGCAAGTTACCAACTTCCCTTGATCTCAGTTTTCTCATACATAAAACAGGACTAATAACAGATCTACCTTGGAGAGCATTCTCTTCATTTGTTTATTTATTTATTCATAAATTTGACGATCTTTTTTCAGCATCTAGTCTATGCTAATAGCCACTGGGCTGGCCACTGAGCACAGTTAGGTGCTGGTCATAGGGTTAAAACAGGCCAGTGTCCCTAACAGGCCTAGCCAGGCCTGCCATACAGTGGGTGGTCAATGGACTGTGGCTTGTTTCATTGCCCCTTCTCTGTGTAGCCTGGGTTCTAACTTATATGCCAATGTACAGTTTAGAAAGCTAAGCCCCTCGGCTATGCTGTAGAAAGTGAAGAGTGAAGAGAAACCCTGGGTGGGGGACTGGCAGCACACCTCATCGCCATGCTCTGCTGTCCCAGCTTCTCTCTGCAGGACCCTGACCTTCCGCCAGCCTTCTTATCTCAAATTCCAGGGTTCCTGAGCCAATCAGGCTGTGGCTGGCCATTCTACCCACTCTCTAGTGGCCAGAACTGCAAGGTGGGGGAGGTTCCGTTCCTTTCCAGGTCTGGAGACTCGAAGCTGAGGCTCTGTGTTCATCTCTGGGTTTCTACCTGCTCCCCATCCTCATCTAGGTGACCCTGTCTGTAAGGCAAGGGTTCACAGGGCCTTTGGTCTTGAGTCTGTCTCAACACCTGGTGGAGCACCCACATTTCACAGTGACATCAAGAGTCAGTCCTTTCCGAGGGCAGGAGACTGGATGCAGCCATCCAGTGTCCCGACCAGGCTCCCCACGCTGTGCTCTCTGCCCTGTTGGGGTCTCCACCACCTCCTCTCAGACCTATTGGCACAGACTATAGCTTAGATTATGAACGTGGGCCTTAGATGCTGAGCATCTATTCCCAACACGACGCTCAGAGAGAAAAGCCAAAGTTCTTTCCAAGGCACTACAGACTCTTTGCAATCCAGACTTTAACACTTCTCTGACTGCATCTCCTATTCCCCTCCCCACATTTACTCTGCCATACTGCTGTCCCTGCTGTTCTTTAAACTCCTGCCACATGCCTACCTCAGGGCCTTTGCACTTGCTGTTCTCTCTGCTTGGAACACTCTTCCTTCACAAGTCCACCTGGCTTGCTCTCCTCCCCTCTTTCAGGTCTGGTGGACAAAGTCATGTGCTACCAAGGTCGCCTTCAAAACAAAGGAGGTACCTATCCAGCAGCAGGCTGTGCTGCCTCAGCTGTCAGCCTCCCTTAGGGACCGCCCCAAAGTGCTGGGATTACAGCCGTGAGCAACTGGTCCTGGCCCCTTTGCTTTTAAAAAAGCTAAAAAAAAAAAGGCCGCGCCATTTCATTCTCTTCAATTCCTTCTGAGCAAATGCATCCCACTCCCTTATAGATTTTTAATAGAACATGGCTGCTGCTATGCTATAAATGTCATGTCCTCCCCAAATTCCTATGTTGAAATCCTAACTCCAAAATGATGGTGTTAGGAGATGGGGCCCTTTGGGAGGTAATTAGGTCATGAGGATGGAGCCCTCATGAAGGGGATTAGTGCTGTTATAAAATAGGACTGAAAGAGACCCCTTGCCCCTTGCACCATAGGGGACACAGCAAGAAGGTGCGCTCTATGGACCAGGAAGCCGGCCTTCACCAGACACTGAATCTGCTGGTGCCTTGATCCTGGACTTCAGAATTGTGAGAAATAAACATTGTTTCTAAGCCACCCAGTTTATGCTATTTTGTTACAGCAGTCTGAGTGGACTAAGACAGCTGCCCTGGGAATGGAGCACACCAAGTCTGGGAAAGAAGATTCCAGGAGGCAAGCAGGCCAAGTCTCCCCACAACCCCCTTTCCTCCTCGAAGCTCCTTACTTAAGAGTCCCCCTGGGCCTCCAGGAAGCACAATTATCTAACAGGATTTTCATGCTTTAAGCTTTTCAGAAGTCCCTTACCACTAATCCTGGAACCATTACTAACTGGAAGGGAAAGAAAGGAAAAATGGAGGAAAGGAAAGAGCCCCACAAGCCTCTTTACTTACATCTCTGTTTCCTAACATTTTGGAGCCTGGTGAGGAAAAGCCATCCGATGTCAAGATATTCTGCCAAATAAATGTTATCCAGAGACATCAATCTTCCACATTTTGTGGTACACAATTAAACAAACGAAAAAATGTTCGGTTTCCAACAGGCAAAAAAGGAAACGAAATCTACAATCTTCTCTACTTGTCAGACACAAATTAGGTTATATCCTTGAAAGGAGGAAAGTTATTTGAGCCTATACTCTATTAAAATTCTAATAGGACCCGAATTACTCTGAAAACTTCTTGCTTAATTGAAAAAAAGATCCAAAGTAAAAACATTCATCCACTCACTCACTCATCTATACATTTAGCTAACGTTTACTGAGTGCCAGCCATGCACCCTGTGCTAGGCCCCGGAAATGCAGAGACTCGTCGCTGCCCTGAAGAATAAGAAAATGAAAGTGTTTCTCACAGTGTAGACCTAGGGTGTTTAAAAAACATTGATTCCAGGGCTGCGTGCCAGACTTACTAAAATCGCGTCTCTGGGAATGAAATCAGAATTCTGCATTCTAAGCACATACCCCAGATACCAGATGACACTTTTTTTTTCCTTTTTCCTTTTTCTTTTCTCTGAGACAGGGTCTAACTCTGTCACCTAGGCTGAAGTATAGTGGTGTGATCATGGCTCACTGCAGCCTCAACCTCCAGGGCTCAAGCAATCTTCCCACTTCAGCCTCCCAAGTAGCTGAGACTGTAGATGCACACCACCACACCCTGCTATTTTTTTTTTTTTTTTTGTAGAGACAAGTTCTCACTATATTGCCCAGGCTGGTCTTGAACTGCTGGGCTCAAGTGATCCTCCTACCTTGGTATCCCAAAGTGCTAGGATTTTAGGTGTGAGCCACTGTGTCTGGACCCCCCAGGTAACTTTTTTTTTTAAGTTTTAATTTTTATTTTAAGTTCTGGGGTACATATGCAGAATGTGCAGGTTTGTTCCACAGGTAAACGTGTGCCACGGTGGTTTGCTACACCTATCAACCCATCACCTAGGTATTAAGCCCAGCATGCATTAGCTATTTTTCCTGATGCTCTCCTCCCCACACCACATCTCCCAATAGGCCCCAGTATGTGTTGATCCCCTCCTTGTGTCGATGTGTTCTCATTCTTCAGCTCCCACTTATAAGTGAGGACATGCAGTGTTTGGTTTTCTGTTCCTGTGTTAGTTTGCTAAGGATAATGGCTTCCAGCTCCTTCCATGTCCCTGCAAAGCACATGATCTCATTCCTTTTTGTGGCTGCATAGTATTCCATGGTGTATATGTACCTCATTTTCTTTATCCAGTCTATCATTGATGGGCATTTGGGTTGATTCCATGTCTTTGCTAGTGTGAATAGTGCTGCAATGAATATGTGCGTGCGTGTGGCCACGTGACCCCCAGGTAATTCTTAGGCACTCTAAGATTTCGAGAATCACAGGCCCACCAACCCCACTGAAGCTGAGGCTGGGTCTGCCTCCTCCAGCACCAGGCTCGGGCATTTCAACTAGTCGGCTGACGTTGAGGACTGAACCCTAACCTCAACTCTGCCTACCTGTGTGATCTGAGCAAGTCACTTCCAGCTGGAGCCTCATATTCCTCATCTATAAAATGGGAGAAACGCTACAAACTTGCTAAGATTATTGTGAGAATGTAAAGATTATATATTTCATGCCCTTGGCCCAGGCAGTCATTCATGCAGCTGTTATCTTTATTGTCACATGGGTGGGCCTCGCCCCTTCCACTCACTTTCACTTTTTCTTCTTCTCTTTCATTTCCCTGCCTCCCTTCCATTTCCCTGCCTCCCTTCTTTCCTTCTTCCATCCCAGAATAATTACCATGTGACACGTAGGTTCCTGGTGCTGTATTAGGCAGCTGGGGAGTTGAAATGGGACCATCACAGGCTCGGTTCCAGGTCTGGGGAAGCATGCATTCTCAGGGGGAACAGTGCATCAAAACGCGTGAACAAACAAACAACTAATCAAGGCTGGGCTCACTTCTATGAATGAAATAAAGAAAGAGCCGAGAGAGAGAATAAGGGAGGGGCCCTAGCAAAGAGGCAGGGTAAGAAAGGCTTCTCTGAGGAGGCAGGTGCCCTTCTGAAGCAGGAAGGACGAGAAGGGTCAGCCCTGAGAAGGGCTTGGAGGTTAGAACCTTCCAGGCAGAAGCAGAAGCACGGGCAGATGCCCTGGGAAGTCGGCGTGAGCTTGGGGTGTCTGGGAAACTGAAAGAAGGTCCCTGTGGCTGTGTGGAGGACACCAAGGTGTGAACCTGGAGAGGGAAGCAGATGACACAGAACCCACAGAACCTTGTAAGCCTTACAAGCCAGGCAGTCTATGTCACGGACCCACACAGGCTCAGGGTGGATGCTGACCGCAGTGATGAAGTGGGCTTCAGGCCCACATGTGTCAGGGGTGAACCCTTCCCTGCTGGATTGTAAGGAGCGGCGGGGGGAGGTGTTCCCAGGTAATGAACCAGACAAGACTTCTAATAACCAGTATAGCCTTGCTAATGAATACCAGCTAAATATCAAGCCATCAAACAAGTCACATGTAGATATTTATATTTTATTCTAGGCACAATGGGAAGCCACTGATGAGTAAAGCAGCAGGGAATTAATACCAGCAGGTTGACATTTAAAAAGCTCACTCTTTTAGCAAATTTTAAGGATGCAACAAAACAAAACAAAACCCAATAGAAACAATAATGAAGGAAGTGGGAGGAAACTTTGAGAGGGGATGGGTATGTTTGTGGCCTTGATGGTGGTAATGATTTCACAGGTACATCCTTATCCCCAAACTCATTGAGATGTATATGTTACATACATACAGCTTTTCATATGTCAATCACTAAAAGAAAAAGCCCGTTCTGGTTACTGTGTGCAGATGAACCATAGAGGTCAGAGTGAAAGGAGGGACAGGGAGGAGGTCTCTGTGCTGGGCCGGGAGAAAAGAGGGAAGCTGAGAAGGGCAGGGGGAAGGAGAGGTGGGGTCATTAGGTGGAGCCTCAGCCCTACCTGTGTGGTTCCCAAGATACACTGGAGCCCCACCCCACAGATGGGCTCGGCATCCACACAGGCTCACTATAAGGGAATGGGTGGCCTGTGAATTCCAGGCAGCAACCAAGCCAGGTAGAGGTGAGATTTCTGACCTGTAGATGCCTGCCCTGGAGCAAGAGGACTGAGTCAAGAAGTGAGGAGCTGATTGGTCTGAGTGCTTCCTTCCTATTCCAAACACACCCACAGCTAAAGTTCAGACCCAGGTCCAGTCAAACCGAATGGCCAACCTTATCGTTAAGCCAGGCATGTCTGGCTAAGGTTAAATTCTAGAAGAAGAAAAAAAAAGCAGACAACTGAAGTGCTGTTATCTGCAAATTACAGCACCATTAAAGACGCGTGATTATTAGCACTTCATGTGTGTGGGTGACTGTCTTTACGTTCAAGCAACAGACAAACTGTTTGTTCTTCAAGAGACAAATGGTAGCCACACTTCCATGGCTGTTAACAACCAGAATAATAAAATAAAAGGGGTGAAGCCTTATGTTTGCAGAACACATTACCATTTGCTAATTGCCTAATATTGGCACAAGCAGGAGTGTTTTCTTCAGCTAAAGAGATATTAAATAATAATTTTTTGAATGGTCATGTAATTGCTTGGCATTAAAATTTATTGCACCTGGAGCAACTTCCCCCCAAGAGACAAGCAGCTGTAGCCTTCTGAAACTAGAATTTTTTTTTCCATCAGCATAATTGCTAAGAAGGATTTGGTGCTAACGCGTCCTTGCATCGCATCTTCAGCGCAAACTTTGGGGACGTTAAATTGAATGGCTCCAAGAACCTGAGAGGGGGAGTGAGGGCAACAACAGCAATTTATTGGTTAAGAAGAGAAAGGGAGAAGTTTTCAGATGGCTGATGTCTTTTATCTGCCGGAAGATGCGTTTCCAGAAAGCACAGATACTTGCATTTCCTGAGGATAAGGTATGGAACATGTAAAGAATATTCTAACGCCTCCTGAGGCTGCAGCACACAGGTTTCTGGTAGGCTCAGAGAGCAGCAAAGCAGGCAACGGGCTGTATTCACACACAGCTCCACCAGAATTAAACACCACATGCCACCTAAAAGAATCCATCCCGCAAGCTTCTGCAAGTGGATGGAAGACCATTTTTGAAAGGCAAACTTGTTTCTGTGGCCTGAAAACGCATGACTTGCAAACTATCCATTCTCAGTAGAATGGCTTATAGGTGATCTCTCCCACTATCTGTCAATGCATGAAAAAAGGGTGCAGTGTGAAACCCCCTCCCCACTCAGTCCTTCTCATTTCCAGAAAAGAACATCACATAGAGAGTTCACAGTGACTGTAACCCAGGGCAGGATCAGAGACACAGGGGTGACTCGATGCCTCGGCGCCTGGTTGTATCATCTTAGAGCTGATCTGGGCCCCGCTCAGGGTCTCTGGATCACCTTCAGATGGTCTCCCCATTAGAGAATATCCTCAGGAGAGACCGACTGAGGCCAGAGAAAAACAGGCAAAATGCAAATCAGTCTCTCTTGTTGAGACTTAGCAGCTCTGATCAAGAGCTGTTTGAAGGTGAGTCAAGGTCAAGAAAAGGCAAACCACCCCCACCCCCCAATACCCACTATAATAGGTTGAAGGGTGGCCTCGAAAAACAATATGTCCACATCCTAATCCCCAGAATGTGTGAATGTGACCTTATTCTGGGAGAGGGTCTTTGTGGATATAATTAATTAAATTAAAGATTTTGAGATTACCCAGGTGGGGCCCAAATCCAATGGCAATTATCTTTGTAAAAGAAAAGCAGGCTGGGCATGATGGCTCCGGCCGGGTGTGGTGGCTCACACCCGTGATTCCAGCACTTTGGGAGGCTAAGGCAGGTGGAGCACCCGAGGTCAAGAGTTTGAGACCAGCCTGGCCAACATGGTGAAACCCCGTCTTTACTAAAAAACAAATACAAAAATTAGCTAGATGTGGTGGCATACACCTGTAATCCCAGCTACTAGGGAGGCTGAAGTAGGAGAATCTCTTGAACCCAGGAGGCGGAGGTTGCAGTGAGCCAAGATCACGCCACTGTACTCCAGCCTGGGTGACAGAGTGAGACTCCATCTCAAAAAAAAAAAAAGAAAAAAGAAAAAGAAAAGCAGAGGGAGATTTGAGAGACAAGAGAGGAGGCAGTGTGACCATGGAGGCAGAAACTGGAGCAATGCCAGTGGCCCCAGAAGCTGAAAGAGGCAAAGAACTGGATGCTCTCCTGGAACCTCTGGAATGGGTGCTGCCTTGCTGACACCTTGACTTTGAGCTTCTGACCTCTGGAACTGTGTATGTTGGAATACATTTCTGTTGTTTTAAGCCACTGAGTTTGTGGTCATGTGTTACAACAGCCACGGGAAATGGACCCACATCATCAGAGGACATTAAGCTATGGAACACACCCATCCACAGCCCAGGCTTTCTCAAGAAGAACCCATGGGCCCCTAGGAGTTCAAGGATGACTCTTCTACTCCTGAAATCAGAGGTAAAATTCTGCATGACTGGGCACTCAAGCATTTTGGGGCAGGTGCGGCGGGGGGGGATGCAGAAGCGGGGAGAAAGTGTCCATAGCTTTCATCAGGCTCTCAAATGAGACCAGGACCCCCACAAAATATCAAACACCATAGAACTTCTCCACATTTTTTTTCTTACTGATCTATAATAGTTGCACATACTTTGGGGGTATGTGTTCCACAAAGATTTATAAAGCACCTATGACATGCTAGGTGCTCGGCTGTGCGCTAATAAGCAGAGCTGGCAGAAGTCCCACCATGCGCTGGGAAAATATACACAGAGAAACTCGCTCACCCTCTGGATACTGTGCCCACAAGGGCCACATTCCTTTAAGTCCTGAATGTGTTGGATCTGGCAGGTTATAGCAAGCAGGATAACCATTCTGGATGCTGAGTCACTCGCAGGCTTGCATATGTTGCCATGTGAAATCCTCACATCCTTAGAACATTCCAGAAATTCCAAAATGGCAGCCATACCCCTGACTGCCTGCCTCCCACAGAAGTGGCTCCAAATCCTCCTTTGACCACATGACTACATTAGTGGTATAGAAAACACAGCCCCAGAGTTCACTGCACTCACATGCATATCCCCAAGCCCAGCTTGTCACTCCCAGCATGGGTTGATTAGGCCTCTTAGGCATCTGTCACCTGATTCCCAGAAGGAACACAGAGACCGGTCAATAAGCTGCATGCGACCGGGATGGCGGGTCATTCCTGAATTCTCCCTCCTAGCACATCTGACCCCTTGGAGAGTCTTCAGTAGGTGCCTCCAGAATGCAGGAACATGACAATGTCCCCAACCCTTCTGCCATGGCTTAGGAAGAATCATAAAAACTCCTTGTTGGCAGATGTAGGGAACTGGGTACACGTGGGCTGTGCTGGTGGCACAGCCAGTGGGTTCTATTTTTGAGGAGGGTGCCCTGGAAATGCAGAGCAAGGGTTTAAAATGGTGTATAGCTGCAGTGTGCAATATGGCACCCACTAGTCAGGCATGGCTACTTAAATTATTCAAAATTTTAAAAAATTAAAAATTCAATTTCTCAGGCACACTTGCCCCATTTCAAGTATTAACAGCCACACGTGGCTAATAGCTGCTGTGTTGGACAGCACAGATACAGAACATTACCATCAGTGCAGAAAGTTCTACTGGATAAAACAGGGATAGGCCCTCTGGTCCTGTAATTCCACTTCAGGAATTACATCCCAAGGAAGTAATAAGGAAGAACAAAATATCCTGTATAGAGAGCACCATTTAAAGCAAGGGAAAGTTGGAAACATGCCAAATGCTTCTACATAGGAGACTAGCTAAGCAAGGGGTATCAGCTCAGGGAAAAAATAATGACCCTCTTATATCGTATATGTGTACTCATTCATTCATTCAACAAATAGTTACCTAGCACCTACTGTGTGCCAGGCCCTGCACCAACTGCATGAGACAGATGCCAAACAAGGCAGAGAAGTCCTCTGTCCTTACAGTACCTTCATCCCAGAGCAGAGAAGCAAGATTGTCAACAAGTAGATGAATGAATAAAGATCATTTCAAAATATGTTAAGTATGGTCAAAGCAACAAAAACCTTGAAGCCACAGAGAGTGACAGGTGGGAGAGAGTGCTGAGTAAAAGGTGTTCTCAGTGCACTGCTTCCCTAACCCTCTGAATGCCTCTGAAGGGCTCCTCCTACAGTGTGTGGATTAAAGTCAGGGCTGGGAATGTGCGTACTCAGTGTCAGCGTAAGCTGCAAGAGAAATGGTGGGTACGCACTGATTCTATTTCCATAAACACATGTGCCCACAGAGCAGCAACAATTGGAGGAGAACTCAGAGGCATGTATGTTTAATTAATGTTCTGCAAGGCTGGTTTTGGTTTGTTTTTGTAGCACTGATGCAGTTCAGTTTCAAAAAAGAAACCTCAGCTAAGCATAAACTGCTCCAAAATTAAAGCCAGGACAATGAGTGCATGAGGGACAAGGTGACTGCCTAGGGATGATGCTGTTAATACCCAAGAGGCAACTGGCCACCTCCTACGCTACCCTCCCTTGGAAGAATTAATTATTGTCTCCTCCATGTGCCTATCGGCCTTTAATCTGTTTTGTTGTTGTTGTTTTTTTTTTTTCCCAAGACAACAGGGTCTTGCTCTGTCACCCAGGCTGGAGTACAGTGGTGCAATCTTGGCTCATTGCAACCTCCACTTCCTGAGCTCAAGCGATCCTCCCACCTCAGCCTCTCAAGTAGCTGGGACCACAGGTGAACACCACCATGACCTGCTAATTTTTTAATTTTTTTGTAGAGACGGGGTCTCACTTCATTGCCCAGACTGGTCTCAAAGTCTTGGACTCAAGCAATCCTCCCGCCTCAGCCTCCCAAAGTGCTGGGATTACAGGCTGTCAGCCACTGCGCTCAGCCCAGCCTTTATTCTTAATGCAGATATAGTTCTCAGACATTGAATTATAGTTAGCTTGTAGCTCCTAGGTTTGCTTTCACTATTTCGATGGAGCATCTGAGTATGTGATGATTGCTATGAATGTAAAGAACAAGACAAAAGTCCTCCCTCAAGGGCTCACAGAGAAAGGCTGTAGCAGACGCTGTGGGTGTCTCGCCCACATGCCCTTGACTTACCACTTCAGTGCATGCCAGCTGACCTCCTACTGCCAGCACCTGCATTTCTTTACCTATCAGCCTTCTTGTGCCACCAGAGCCCACTTTGTGTGCCTGCTAGGGGCAGCTCCCAACCATAGACTGATGGAAGCTGGTGTATACATATCCCAGCTGTCTTGCCCTACAGGTGGGATAACTCTGAGACATGTGTTCTACACTGGCTACCAGTTTCCCTCGTGAGAATAAGCTTCAGTCACCCATGGTGGTCAGTGTTCAAATATGCCTGTGTCCTGCAAATTCCACAGGTTGAAATTCTAACCCACAATGTGATGGTGTGAGGAGATGGAGCCTTTAGCAGATGATCAGGTCATGAGGATGGAGCCCTCATGAATGAGATGAGTGTCCCCATAAAATGGACCCCAGAGAGCTCTTTAGCTCTTCCACCATGTGAGGGCAGGACAAGAAGTTGGCAGGCTGAAACCTAGAAGAGGGCCCTGGCTAGAACCCGACTGATCCCTGATCTTGGACTTCCAGCCTCCATTACTGTGTAACACAGGTTTCTGTTGTTTATAAGCCACCTAGTCAATGGTACTTTGTTATAGCGGCCAGAACAGAGTAAGACAGCTGGCTTGCTAGCACCCCTTTATTGGCTATCTTAGTTTTCTTGACTCACTTCCCCACTCCTCTACCATCACCTCCCACATAATTCTAGAGCTTACATCTTTGCTTAGATTCTGCTTCTGGGGCAAAACCAACCTAAGACAATGGCCTACCCTGCTGAAGGCTGTTGTGAGGATGCAGAGAGGAGAACATACCTGACACACGCAGAGTGGCACTCAGCAAATCCACTTCCCTTCCCATGGGGGCTGCTCCTTCCTCAGTGGTTCTTCTGTTCCCAGGGCCACCTTGCTTGTCAAGCTCTGCAAGCTCTGGAACGCCCATGTCATGCTCTACTCTTTTCCCAATAGCTGCTTGGGTAATTACAATTCCAAATTATAACTCATCTTTATGGTTTGAATAAATCCAACAAACCCCCTTGCCTCCTCCCTCTGCTCTTCTTGTCTTTTTTTTTTTTTTTTTTTTTTTTTTTTGAGACGGAGTCTCGCTCTGTCGCCCAGGCCGGACTGCGGACTGCAGTGGCGCAATCTCGGCTCACTGCAAGCTCCGCTTCCCGGGTTCACGCCATTCTCCTGCCTCAGCCTCCCGAGTAGCTGGGACTACAGGCGCCCGCCACCGCGCCCGGCTAATTTTTTTTTTTGTATTTTTAGTAGAGACGGGGTTTCACCTTGTTAGCCAGGATGGTCTCGATCTCCTGACCTCAAGATCCACCCGCCTCGGCCTCCCAAAGTGCTGGGATTACAGGCGTGAGCCACCGCGCCCGGCCACTCTTCTTGTCTTGAATGTGTTAACCCTGCCCTGCCGTGAAGAAGAAGCAGGCAAATAGGTGTGTGCTTGTTAATGAGTGGGCTGTGGAGAAGGAAGCTTTTCACAACACAATCTCGTTAAGAATGATCAACCAGAGCATAGGTCTCAAATTGAAACGTGCCTTAGAACCTCGGGGGGAGCTTGTTATAAAATGTCTATAACTGAGCCTCTCCTATACAGATTCTGACACTGGAAGTCTGTACGGAGACCAGGAATTTGCATTTTTAGCAACTTCCCCATAGTACACACTTAGAGAAACACATTCTTCTTGTTCTTCTTGACCTGCACTGTTGTTCACTTGCCCATGGCCTGAATCAGAGTAAACTCCCATCCATTCATCCTCTCAACATCTCTTATTAGACACCTCCTCTGTCCCAAGCCATGAAGCTAGGCACTGGCACCACCATAAATATTTGTCAAATGAAAAAATGGCCCATATCTGCTACTTTCAGTGCACTGGGAACCAGCTCTAAACACTTAGTAGGTCCTCAAAGAAGACTTCAGGAAAGCCAGGGCATCCCTAAGGTAGAGAAGGGAGGTTGGTTTCTTCGAAGGAGCTGACAGGCCTGTCTCACTGAGGACTCAATAACTTTATGGTGACCTGGAGAGGTAAAAATGTACCACAGTGTCTTTACACAAAATCAGCTCATAATCCATTTCCCTCTTTCCTTCTCTCCCAATTCCATCAGTGTCCTCAGGCCTCAGAGTAACCTTTGACCTTTAGGGCTTTCCACTGTCAGTATCACCTGGCTACACCAGGAAGGAAGAAGTGGGTGGAGGGAGGTCATACACGCTCTGTGTTGTGCCAAACCCATATTAACCTCAATAGGGTTAGACAGGAAAACCTCCTTATACACAGAAATGGCCCTGTGGCTGTGGGCTGGACAACATAACCACATAGCCAAGCAGCAGTCTGCTGGGCAGAAAAACTGCAACCTCTTGCAAACAGCATGCAGTAAATAAAGCATTTTTACTTAACACCCTCCCCTTAATGACCTCCACCTGCAAACTTCATTTAACCCCCTCCAAACTCAGGGCCTCAATTCCCTGGACGGCCCATGTTCCATGGGCCAGGCCGGGGCCTCAGATGTTCCTTACAGACAAGGAAGAAATCTCCGAGTTAGCCACTCCCGGATTCCCTAGCTGGGAACACACATTCAGGTGCATCTGCCATACAGGGTCATCCTCAGGGTATGCTAAAGTTACTGCTATTAGGTACATTTACCCTATGCTAGGGATGTATTTGGCCACATGGCCCTGATTAACATACATGCTGCCCCCACCCCACAAAAGTCACAGTTTGCAGTTCTTTGGATTAACTTTTTTTGGGGGCGGGTGCGGGGGCGGGTAGTGGGGACAGAGTCTTGCTCTTGTTGGCCAGGCTGGAGTGCAATGGTGCAATCTCGGCTCACTGCAACCTCCGCCGCCCAGGTTTAAGCAATTCTCCTGCCTCAGCCTCCTGAGTAGCTGGGATTACAGACATGCGCCACCACGCCCGGCTAATTTTTGTATTTTTGGTAGAGACAGGGTTTCACCATGTTGGCCAGGCTGGTCTCGAACTCCTGACCTCATGATCTGCCTGCCTTGGCCTCCCAAAGTGCTGGGATTACAGGTGTGAGGCACCATGCCTGGCCTGGATTGACTTTTTAAAGTACCTACTATGTATCAGACCTCCTGGGAGTGCAGAGGTGGCTAGGCCAAGCCTGCTCATGGAATGGAATTAGTGTTTTCATTTGTATTTTGCCACTGACTAGTAAGCATTTAACAAGAACAGAAATCAAATTGAATGAGACCTTTTCTCAGCACAGAATCATAACCCCCACCTGGGTCTAACAGGCTTCACCTTAGATTCATCCAGGTCACACAAGACCCTGATGCATTTACTAGAAATACTTGGAAAAAGCACAAACATGTGCCTGTTCTCATGTTTCTGATGAGTATTTCTGTGAATAGAGAGCCAGAAAGATTTCCATTTATTTTATAAAGTAAACATAATCTTTAAATCATATGCAGTGGTGTGTTTTAAAAATTGTAAGTGTTGACTAAGAAGAGTTTGTTCTAATAATAAAAAGTGGTTAATATTAGGAAATTAATACTATAGTTCAATCATACTGATCAAAGGAGATGAGCAATTATCTTTGAATATGACAGAAGGTATTTCATAATCTGCTTTAATATTTAAAAAATGAAGAGCACAACACATTAATATTATGGGAACATCTCTCTAATAATCAACATCATACTTACTGGTGAAACACTAGAGATATTTCCACTAAAGTCAGGCACAAGAAATAGGGACGTATCGCCATTATTTTTTAACACTATTCTGGAAGGTACAGCCAATACATTGAGAAAGGGATGGACGGACGGATGGATAGACAGATGGATAAATGAAAGACAACTATTAGAAAGAAGGGGCCCAAATCATGATTATATGTAGGTGTGGTGATAGTCAACCTTGAAAGCCAAGAGTGTGGGAAAATGAGTATTCTTAAACACTGATTATTAGAGTATAAATTGTACAGAATTTTCAAGAGTAAGACTGAAACAACAAACATCAAAAGCAAAGGTGTTTTTCACACATTTTAATCCAGTAGTTGCACACCTAGAAATGTCTTCAGAAAGTAATCTGCGATGCCTGGGCAAATGTCATGTTCAAAAATATTCAACATGATGCTATTTATAAAAGCACAAAAGCAGTAACAATCTAAATGTCCAACAAAAGGGGACTGGGTAAATACATTATGATTTTTCTAGGAGAGAGATGGAATATAAGACAGTATTTTAAAATCATATTTTAGGTGAATAATACTTATTGCAAGAAAGAGGTCATGATATACTACCAACTGAAAAAAGAACAATACAAACAGTATGCATAGCATAATATGAATTTGTAAATTATAGCTTTAAGCATAGAAAACAGACCAGAAAGGTTCACACACAAATACCAAAGGTGATTATCTTGGTGTTTGTGGTATCTGTTCTTCATGCTTATTAGTAAATAATTAGAACATAAAACATGCTATTTAAAAATAAGTTGATGCAATGTTTACAAGAGGTAAGGCTGCAAAGTCTGTCTCAAGTGCTGCCTGCTATGCTTGTTACAGCCACTCTTGTATCTCAAAAGGTCACATCCGCAATGGATACCAATGTCAGACATTGCAAAGCCTATCCACAGAACACTGACAGGTTAACATTGTTTTTTCTGTATTATGGCTCATTTGGACCATGCATATCTGTGAATTAAAACCAGAGCTACGCATTCATAAAGCAGACTATCTTGTGTGCAGAGCCCTGGAGAAAACGAATCCATTGAGTCAAACCTCTCAGAACCCACCATTCACCCACTGGCAGCTAGTAGACTTTCAAGAATCAGCAGCTTCTGTGCAGCTGACCTTGCAATTCGAACCTGGCAGGTGAGGACAAATGCCCAAGAGCCCAGCCCATAGTGGGAGGAACCATTTGGCTCAGGTGAGCAAATGTGACAGCTGTGACTCACTGCACACTCGATTTCCCTACATCCCAGTGAAGAGAGCTGAGCAGGAAAGAAAATGAAAATTTTAAATTGACAGGGGTGGAGAAGTGTGGTCGACCAGTTTTCCAGGCTGATGGCAGTGTGGCTTTTCATCTCAAGCTCAGAGGCAAAAGATATAGTGGGCTACCTATATGCAAGCCCTGGGACAGCTATAGCCAAGGGTCAGCTTGGCAGTTGGTCCTACCCATTTCGCAGGCTCTGCCCAAGCTGGAACAGAACTGACTCAACTCAGAAGCAGAGCAGACAAGGAGAGAATGGATGCCTGCCAGCTGCTGCTAACAGAAGCCCAGCACTTTCTGTGCGTTAAGCCAGAGAAACAAGCCCCAACCTTCACACTCACCTCACAGAACAAGTCCTCCTAATTTAAGGATGCTTCCTTTCCTCTCTCCCTCTCTTTCCCCTGGACCTTCCTCCCCTACCTGCCCTAGATGCTTAGACTGGCAGCTTGGTGAAGCAATATGGCAGCTACGTGCCTTTGAACAAACCTCATCGCCTCTCTCGGCCTCCATTTTTTCATCTGTAGAAGAGGAATGATAGCAGCACCCACCTCACTGGGATGCTGTGAGGATTAAGTGACATGACGAGTGCTGCTGGCCTATCACGGTGCCTGGCACCGAGCAGACGCTCAATAAATGTTAGACTTTACTATTTTAATTGGATTTTGCCTCTTCACAGTGTGTGGAATTTTAGTTTGGACTTTCCCCAATAGCAAACCCTGGGGCAGGGATTTGGTTGTAAGTTTTTGATCTGGAAGGCACAGCAAGGGAGTGGGGAGTGCAAGAGAAAGAGCAGAGAGCTAATCAAGGATGCTTTAATGAGAAGGTTACCACTATCAGTATTGGGGCTCAGTCTTGCTGGGACCCTCTGAGAGGCTGTGGAGCACCCCTCAGAACTGTCCCACCAAGGAGGTGAGGGTGCGGATGCTGGGATGTTTATTCCTTAACTCGCATCCTTCATTGGTGGAGGGGTGCTCCTGGGGTGTTAACTTCCCAATACTTTGAGCCTTCCCAGGTGAGGCTGAACATGCTCCAGGGGCCCGAGGACATCCAGGGCAGGACATCCAAGGCAGAAAGATACAGGGGATGGCCAAGGACATGCTGGGGAACTGGCAGCATATGTTATGGTGCATGAGATGGTGTCAGACAATGTGATCCTGGATGCTGACCATGTACAAATCTAGGAGCCCTTTCAGGGCTTAGCCAGGTAAGCTGGTCCTCCTTACTCCTTTTATTCATTTGTCCATTTCTTCTGTCTTTCAACCAGCCATTCAACAAGCATCTATTGAGCACCTACTGACTGCTGTGTGCCAGACACTGCGAGAGATGCTGCGAGAGTCAAAGAGCAAGGATCTGGGTTTTGGGAGGCGGCAAGTGGCTTGGCAGGGCTGGACCTGGGATGCATGAGGAGATGAGGTGGAAACAAGGAGGGCAAGGCGTTTAAGGCTGTTCTGGGGGATTCTGACTTGTGTGCAAAGGTGCTAACATGCTGGGAATACACCAGGCTAAGCCCTGAAATGGCTCCCAGATTTTGACGTGGTCAGCATCCAGGGAACACATGAGCTCATACCACCTCACCCACTGTCACAGATGCATGTGGCAAATGCTCAATCCATTTTGACGGTCAGCATTAAACTTTGATCATAAGCCACTGAGAACCATCATAGATTTCTAATGAGAGAAGTAGCGAGTATTTTGGAAAATGGCTGTGACAGGCTGAGTAATGGCACCCCAATGATGAACTAATCTCCGGAACTCGTGTCACCTTACATGGCAGAAGAGACTCTGCAGATGTGATCAATTCAGGATCTTGAGATGGGAAGATTATCCTGTATTATCTGAGTAGGCCCAAGGTAATCACAAGCGTGCTTATAAGAGGGACACAGAGCCAGGCACCGTGGCTCACACCCATGATCTCAGTACTTTGGGAGGTGGTAGAATCGCTTCAGAATAGCAAGACCCCATGTCTACAAAAAATAAAAAATTAGCCAGGCATGTTGCACACATCTGTTGTCCCAACTACTCGGGAGGTTGAGGCGGGAGGGTGGTTTGTGCCCAGGAATTCAGGACTGCAGTGAGCCGTGATTGTGCCACTACACTCCAGCCTGGGCAACAGAGCAAGATCCTGTTTCTTTAAAAAAAAAAAAATAGGGACACAGGAGGGTCAGAAGTCAGAGAGAAGGCAACGTGATGATGGAAGAAGAGAATGGAGTGGTGCACCCACAAGCCAAGGAATGCCAGCAGCCTCTAGAAGCTGGAAGAGGCAAGGAAGGGTTTCCCCTGGAGCCTCCAAAAGGAGCCAGCTCTGCTGCCACTTTGACTTTAGCCCCAGAAGCCTCATTTTGGGCTTCTGACCTCCATGACCATAGGAGAAGACATCTGTGTTGCTTTGAGCCACAAAGTTTATGGTAATTTGCTATAGCAGCAACAGGACAACTAATACAATGGCTCTTGGGGCAGTGGGGGGTGAAAATGGATGAAATTGAAAAAAGCAGGAGAATAAGGGGGCTACTGCCAGGTCACAGGTGATGGTGACTCAAGGGAAGGCAGTAGCAGTGGGCGTGGGGAAGGTGGATGAAATAGAGAGGACTTAAGAGGACAGAATCCCCAGGACTTGGCAGAGGTGGGAGAGGAGGGGAGGGGAGAGGCAGAGATGTGGCTTGGGTGGCCGGGCAGATGGCAGCAGAGGGGAGGCCAGGCTGAGGTGCAGGACATTTGCTGGCTGGTGTCAAGGCAGTGCCGACCTTCACCCTCCATAAAGGCTGCCTTTCTTCACAGCCTGACTCTCAGCAAGGCCAGTGCATGCCAATGAGCTAATCAGTAAACCCAAACGTGGTCAAGATGTGCAAGAGACCCAGGTGGGGCGCTGCAGAGGACATCTGGATGTTGCTGGGGTGACTCCAGAAAGGAAGGGGAGAGGAGTCGGGTTGAGTGAGCAGGAAGAGAGGCCAGCAGCACCCTCGATCGTGACCCTGCCACAGCAGCCAGGGAGCCCACTCCAGGCCTCGGGCTAGAACCATCCATGCACAGATTCCTGGGCTGTGTCCCATCGGGGATGCAGAGGGCAGCCCAATGGGCTGGGCTCTGCACTGACTCACAGCAGGCTCACAGCCACTGTTGCAGGCTTGCCGTCCGTCCACCCCTCCCCTCCTTGTCCGCATCGATCTACCTTGGGCCTGCCTAGACACAATGGGGCCAGCGGGCCACTACTTGTCCTTAATCATTCTAAACTGCTCCAAAAAGAGGGACACGGCACCGCTGTGAAGTGCTGATGGCACAAAATTGGAGAGAATAGTAAATAAAAAGGAAACACCCAGGAGAGGAGTCGAAAAGGAGATGCCAGCATTTATGCAACTAGGCCAGAGCTCTGTGAGTCCCCCTTGCTGGGGGTGGGAGGGAGGGAGGCCAGGAAGCCCGTGCTAGAAATGCAAATGCCTTCTGTAGCCGCAGAACAGATCCAGATCTGCAGAAGGCTGAACTCCAAACGACTCAGAAGGCTGTGATGGATGGTCGAACCCAACTGGGTGGAGGCTTTCCCCCTTCTCCAGAATGTGGGACTTGAAAGGTTACAACCTCCCAGAAAGACAAGGGTAGGGGAGGATTGGCACCAACTGAGCATCACCACGTGCCTGGCCGTGTGCTAGCTGCAGAAGATGGAGCTTAAGGAGCTCATAGGCCGCTGGGTTCACAGGCATGGAAATAAATGAGTGTAGTGAAGTTCTGGGAGTGATCTGATAAGATCTGAATGAAATATGGTAGGCATGGGGCCACCATTAAAAAAGCGGTCTGGTTTTCACCCGGGAGGTCCATGAAAGTCTTTACAAAAGGAGCAATTCTTTGAGTTTGTTTAATCGAGGCAAAATTCATATAATACAAAATTAACCCTTTTAAGGTGCAATTCTTTGAGTTTGTTTAATCTAGGCAAAATCATATAATACAAAAATTAACCCTTTTAAGGTGAACAGTCTAGTTTAGTACATTTAGTACATTCACAGTTTTGTGCAATCCTCACCCTATCTAATTCCAAAACATTTTCCTCACCCCACAAGGAAATCTGTTCCAATTAAGTCGTTGCTTAATTCATCCATATGGTAGGTATCAGGACTTCATTCCTTTTAATGTTTAGATAATAGAGGAGGTGATTCTTGAGCTAATTTTGAAAAATAAGGAAGTATTACGTGTGCAATCCAGGAGACAAAGGGAAAATGGCACTCCGGTGGAGGGGCTGGCATTGGCAAACGCATGGAAGCACGAACCATGAGGTCAGCATGGCAGGGCCGTGGACTGTCGAGAGATAAAGCCGGGAAGGCAGACAGGGCCTGGTCTGCTAAGGAGTTTGGGGCACTATGCTTAGGTAATGGGAGCCATGGCAGGCAATCGAGGGTGTGAGATGACCGGGTCTGGATTTTAGAAAAGATGTTGTGTCCGCAGCATGGACCACTGGAGTGGGGAGACCAGTTAGACAGCTACTAGGAGGGACAGGGCCAAGGCAGGAGCAGAGGAACACAGAGGGAGGACTGGCCATAAATACGTTAATCAGGCAAACCTAACAGGCGTGGCCCATTCACCCTGCATGTGAAAGTGGCAGATATGCAGGAGTTCAGGTGAGGAGCTGGGAGGAGCTAGCTTGGTGTGTGGCAATGTGGGGAGATGAGTGCTAGGTTTTAGGGTTCTGAGGGTCATCTAGGTGGACCCTTCCAGCAACAGCTGGGTGGTATACAGGTCTGGGTCAGGAGAGGAGTCTGGGCTGAAAAGAGTTTTGACTCTTCCTTCCTTTTTTCCTTACAGCACCTCATAAAGTGCATGTCATTCCCAGTCTACAGCTGAGAAAATGGAAACTCAGAAAGATGGAGCCACGCATTCAAAGCCACACCTCTAATAAGTAGCAGAGCTGGGGCTCAAACCCATCCTTGGCTGATTCCAAAGCCTCAGGGCTTTTCATTAAACCAAGCAGCCTTTTAAATTCTTTCACTGCATCTTCCTCTCTACTCTCGATCCTGAATCCACTCCGCATCTCCAAGGGAGAAGGAATATGGGCCTGAATGGACCACAGAGCAGCAATTCTGCCACCTTGATGTTTACCTGCAGTGGGTGAGGGGTAGAGAAAGGAGAAAAAGGCAGGGGACACTGTTTTCCTAGTAAACACTTCGAATTTCCAAGGATGCACTGGAGAAGCGCTGAACCTGAATTAGACCCCAGGGTCTCCAGGATGAAGCCGCCACTGATAAGGTAACCAGGGAGACGACCCCAGGGTGGAGAATCTGAACTGGTTTTTTATTTGTTTTTTGTTGTTGTTATTGTTGTTTTTCACACCACTTAAGTGCCCGCTCTGGCTTCTCAAGGTAATGGCATTAGCTGAGTCCTCCCACGTCACGTGGCACAGCTTATGGTGCCATGGTGGGTAGGAAGATGCAAGTTAACAATTTCATGGGCAAATTTGGGGCTTTGGGAATCTTCTTAACTGACAAGACTAAATCAGCCCCAGAGGCAAACAAAACTCAGGCAAGTACAAAACTATCCAAAGAAAACAACTCAGGGAAGTGAGCAGATGTCACTGAAAGCAAGAGAGGTAGTGGAGGAACTGTTACTTCAATGAAGCAAAACCAGCGTCTTCTCAGTGTTTCTTTAAATGAGTCTGGCTTGCATTCTCAAGGCCAAACAGCCCACACTGCTGAGGGACAGGCCTGGAGTGGTATCAGCTTGTCACCAAACTTTTGTCTGAATAATTCAGTGTGACTCAGCTATCCTTTTTTAGCAGAAAGCCTGATGTCCAGGGTCATTTGGCATCACGGGCTCCAAATCGGGACCTCTGTGCAACGTCCCCTGCTTTTTCTCATCACCAACCTCTCTCCTCCCGGCCCCACACACCACACCACCCTGCACCATCAATGTCCCACTTCTCCATCCTCCTTACACAATAGCTGGATACAGTGTGCTCTCCTGTCTGAATGGGAGAAATACTGTACGACTTTCCGCTCTCTCAGTGCTCTTCAGGTGGTTAGAGAACATGTGACTGTCAGCTTTTCAGGTTCACCTTCCTTTTCTTGGCATGGAGATACTGTGTTCTGCAGCTAGATAATGTGTGGCGAAGCACTCTGAAAATGGGTATCAAGCACATTGTAGTTCTCTTTGCTACAATTACATTTTATGTCTATGTGAAAGCATACTTTGTGACAAGAAAAAATGAGAAGGCAGAATTCTCACTTATTGAAAAAATTCTTATTATCCTCAGGTAGTATACATTGATTATTTTTGCCTACATAGTATTCGTTTTTCTCCCTCCTAGTAATGCACAACTTTAGGGGGGAAGGGACACTTCTCTGCCACCACTCCCGATTCCAGATTGAGCACACAAGAAGGCTTGGTCAAGCTGTGTATTCTATTTTCTTGGACAGAGTGATTGTGTCAGAAAAGGGCAGGTAACATAAGGTAGATGAACCATCAGTTCTGTTGAAACTATAGAGGAAGAAATATTCTTTCCCCATGGCAATTGATATCCATAAGCTTTGTGTCAGCTTAGAGCTGCTGGGGGCTACATGTGAGAAATGGAACCAAGATAAGAGAGAAGGCTAAATTCTGAAGATATAATTTGCAATCCTGGAACCAACTATGCCTGAAACTCATCTATGGCTTGACTGTTCAGTTACAGGAGCCAGTGTGAGTTGGGTTTCTGCTCTTATAAGCAAGAGTCCTAATTAATACAACCTAGTATAGTGCTTTGCACAAAAGAGGCATAAGAAGTTATCTCCTCATTCAATCTGTTAGCAAATCTTGGCAGATCTGCCTGCAAAATAGATCCCAAATCTTGCCAACTTCTCATCACCTCCACTGCTGCCATCAAGGTCCAAGCCATCAAGATCTCTCACCTAAACAACTGTGAAAGTCTCCTCTTGGTCTCACTGTTTCCCTCTTATCTTTCTACAGCCTATTCTCCACTTAGCAGACTGGCAGAATTATTCCTTTAAAGCCTAATGCAGACCATGTCACTCTTCTGCTTGGAACCATGCATTCAAAGTGGGCTCCCATTCCATTTTGGATAAAATCCAAAGACTTTCTGCAACCTGTAGGGCCTCATCATGGCCTGTAAGGCCTTGCAGATCTGGCCCATCTCCCTCTCTGACCCATCTCCCTCTCTGACCCATCTTCCATCACTCTTGTCCTCGCTCACTCAGCCCTGGCCATGCTGGCCTTGCTTATATCATGTCCATTCTCATGTTAGGAACTTCACGCTTGTTCCTTCCTCCATCTAGATTCCTCTCCCCCAGTATCTTCCTGGATCCCTCTCTTTGCTCAAATTTTACCTCCTCGAGACCCCTCCTTGACTATCCCATTGAAAGTAGCTCCCCAAACCTATCTACCTCCCAGCCTTTCTTTTCTCTATAGCATTTTCTATTACCTGACATTACATTATATATTTTTTTCTTTGTACTTTGTCTTCCCCACTAGAGTATAAGTTCCCTCAGGCCAAGGACTCTGTCTCTTGTTCACTGCTGTAGCTCAGTGTCCAGAAGAGTGCCGGGCACACCATAGGTGCTCAGTAAGTATTTGTCGAGAGCCTGAGTAAATGCTAAATATGTAATTACCGGCCTTGGGCAAATGGAGGCCTTTCTGGTCCATCAGTTTCTCCATCTGCACAATGAAGAGATTGGATGAGATCCATGGTCTTCAAAGATCAGCTCACCTCTAGGCCGAAGTGGAAGGCGCAGGGGGTACTTTGAGCCTACTTCCCTGCTTTGACTGAGCAGCCCAACTTTTATTTCTGTATAGTGGGGTTCCAGAGAAGAAATAAAGTGGACCCCTGTCAAAGGTGGCTTATATCGTTTACCGAACAATTCAGTGCTAGGCCTAGAAATGCATGATTTCCTTTTCTCTGAAGCATTTCAGCACTTTTTATATTTTCTCTTAGCAGAAGAGCTTTGCAGGCTTTTTCTCTTTGCCTTAAATTCTAAGAAAGTCTAAGCAGATTCTCTTTCTCGTCATTAAAGAGGCACAGAGCGGGTGCTCCCTTCTGGCACCAATATATTATCTGGTCAGTACTTGCCATCCCTCTCAGCTGTGGAAGGTCCCAGCAGAGAAGTCCACGTGCTGTGGGTATTTAAAGGAAATCCCTTCTGTCTACTTCACTTAGTAACAGATCTCTCCTTTTTCTTTACCTCATGCAATTTGGAGAAAGTGGCAACTCGCTCTAAAACTACAGAGATGTTCAATTTAAACAGGAAGAGAAAAATCAATCCATGTATGAGGCTAATTAAAAAGCCTCTCAGTAGGACTGTGTTTCTTGCCTATTCTTGCACCTTCTCTTGGAGACAAAATTTTTCTCGATAGACTCAGCACATTGAGAAATGTATGTGGAAAAAGAAAAGCCTCAAACAATAATCCTTCAGTAGACTTCCTCTCTACTGAAACCTCTCTACTCTTTTATAACAGCTTAGAAAGTTGGTAGAAGAGATATGAAAATTTGGAACCAAGGCTTGTGTCAGCTGAATAGTAATGATTCGGGCAGCTCCCTTGGAAAATACCTACATTTAGGGGCAGGAAGAAAAATAGAAAGCAGGAGACAGAAGGAAGCAGTGGGATGGGGTAGTGTCCTCTACATACTTAAAGTCAATACTCAGCTGGGTCTTTTAATCCCCAGGGTGCAGAAAAGCTTCTGAAGGTGAGAGTCGAGTAAACTGCCTGAGTCCCACAACTAAGGCAGTGATGAGCTTGTGATTCTAATCCAGGCCTAAAGTCAGGGCTGTTTCCAGCACAATGTGCTGCCTCTCAGAAGATCTAGTAACATATCAAAGAAGCCAAATGATGTGGTTTGGCTGTGTCCCCACCCAAATCTCATCTTGAATTGTAGCTCCCATAATCCCTACATGTCATGGGAGGGACCTGATGGGAGGTAATTGAATCATGGGGGTGGGTTTTACCCGTGCTGTTCTCATGATAGTGAATAAGTCTGATATGATTAATGGTTTTATAAAGGCAGTTCTCCTGCACATGCTCTCTTGCCTGCTGCCATGTAAGACATGCCTTTGCTCTTCCTTTGCCTTACGCCATGATTGTGAGGCCTCCCCCGCCATGTGAAACCGTTAGTCCATTAAACCTCGATTTCTTTATAAATTACCCAGTCTCAGGTATTTCTTCATAGCAGTATGAAAATGGACTAATACACCAAGAATGCAGAAGGGTTTAGGAGAGATGGTGTGGTCAACTCTCAAGTGGATCAGAAAGATCAAGAAGGACATCATCGGAAATCCCCCCACTGGATGTATAAACTGAGGTCCCTGAGAGAGCAGTTTCAGAGGAGTAACGAGGACCCTTGCTTTGGGTTTGACTCTCATGTGGGGAAAAAAGGTGCAGGGCCATCTTTCCAACGTGCACATCTGCTGAAAACCCTTCACTGGTTCCCCACTGCCAACCTCTCAACTTGGCCTACAAGGTCTTCTAGTGACTCCTCCACCACCATTTCCTTTTTCATTCCTCAAACATCACACTTGATCCATACCACTCCGCCTGGGCTTTCCCAGGTCACAGTGCTGTGTCTGGCATTGGTTCATGCTGCTCCCTCTGCTAGGCATGCTCTTCACCTAACTCTGGTTCCTGTGGCATGTGTGTAAGAAAGCTGTCTGAAACTTCGAATCAAGGTTAGCAAGTCTGGGCTGAAATTAACGATGAGGACGATCATGTAAATAACTAACATTCATTGAGTACTTCCTATGCCAGGTCTAAGTATTCTTCCTGTATTAACTCATTCCATCCTAATAACCATCCTATGTGGTACAGTGCCATTATTTTATAGGTGAGAAGCCAAGGCACAGAGGGGTTAAGCAGCTGGGGGTAACAGGAGACAGAGAGCGGCTGTAGACAAAGTGCTCCAAACAGTTGTCTCAGAGGAGGTAGCATTTACCCTGAAGACCTGAATGAGGAGAGTGAAGTGGTCATGGGAATATTAGGGGTTGGAGAGAATGATCCAAGCAGATCAAACAGCAACTGCAAACATCCAGAGGCAGGAATCAATTGACTGGTCCTGGGAGGGTCTGGAGAGGCAGGCAGGCAGAGGCCAGATCATGGAAGGATTCTCAGGCCATGAAAAGGAGTCTGGGCTTATTCTAAGTGCTCCACTTGCATAGACCCAGCAGGTCAGTGCCTGGAGGGATAGAATGCAAGAGGAGAAGGTCACAGAACAAACATGTCTCCCTCATAGGCCACAGGCCACTGCACACAGCCATGTGGGCCTCATTCCACCCAGCTGGTTCCCCTGGTCTCTGCTGTGAATGGGCCCCCTGGCCCATCATGTGATCATGTGAGTTGATACTACTTAATAAACTCCCCTGGGGGTATGCAACCTCATGACCCTGATCACCAGCCCTCAAGTCTGTCTCCAAGAGCAAGCATTCTCAAAGTGTTTGTTTCTTAATTAAATTCCAGCAACCTGCTCCTTTGAACTGCATTAAATTATCAGGCCATCTGCTACCTGGGCAAGTAGGGATACTTGAAAAAAATCCTAGGGAAGCCACTGGACTTTCATGGGGGTAGGACTGAGGACAGGGAGCCCTCAGCAGATATTTGAGTTACATAAAATGGGATTTGGGGAAAGATTTTAAAGCAAGTCTTACTGTTTTGTTTTTTAGGTTGGAAAACTGCTCTAAATCAACCCCATCAAACTCTAACTGAATATCTGAGTCTTAGAGAAGCGTGGGGTCCTGCTCAAGGTCACCCAAGAGAACTGCAAAGAAGGGACAGGCACTCCTGCCAGCTCTCTATCAGACCAACTCCCTTCTCGGATGCCCAGTTTCTGGGCTGCAACATGCTGCTGTTCTCACGATGCTCACAGCCCTGTCCTCTGTGGAACACCTACTGTGTGGTGGATAAGAAGTGTCCTTGTCAATTCCAAATACTGAGAAAAGACCACAGTGGCTAGGCCGGGTGGGCTGGGGCTGGAGTGAGGACAGGATGCAGGTCTAGCTTGACTTCTAAGAACCAGCTTGTATTAGTCAAGGTTCTCTAGAGGGACAGAACTAATAGGATAGATGTATATATAAAGGGGAGTTTATTAAGTAGTATCAACTCACACAATCACAAGGTTCCACAATAAGCCATCTGCAAGCTGTGGAGCAAGGAAGCCAGTCCGAGTCCCAAAGCTGAAGAACTTGGAGTCTGATATTCAAGGGCAGGAAGCATCCAGCATGGGAGGAAGATATAGGCTGGGAGGCTAAGCCAGTCTAGCCTTTTCAAGGTTTTTCTGCCTGCTTTATATTCTGGCCACAATGGCAGCTGATTAGATGGTGCTCACCCAGATTAAGAGTGGGTCTGCCTTTCCCAGCCCACTGACTCAAATGTTAATCTTTGGCAACACCCTCACAGACACACTCAGGATCATTACTTTGCATCCTTTAATCCAATCAAATTGACACTCAGTATTAACCATCACACAGCTGCTAGTTTCCTCTGTCCCAAAAATTGCCAGAAAGATATCTTGGAATAAGCTGAGAAACTTTCTAGAATTGCCTCCAAACTTCTCCCTACTGGTGGGGCCATGGGTCATTCTCTATCTGTAGGAAAACTGGGCTTTGCAGAGTTGCTGGGCACTCCCATCACTGGGTAGACCTCAGATGCACACAGGAATTAAACACAGGTTCTGCAGACTATATCAGAGGGGGCGTGGGACTCAGCTCATCAGGGTATGCAGTGTGAGCCGAGCACAATGTCTGAGCACAGGGCGGATACTCAGTAAACGAGAGTATCTGCTGTTGATGGTACACACGCTATGCGCGGACACTGAAAGAGCCTTCTACTTATTCTCCCTACGGGATACATAGTACGGGCATCTCCATTTTACAGCTAAAACCACCAAAGCACAGAGAGGTTGAATAACTTGCCTGAGGTTGTTTAGTGGGCTAAATGGTGGTCAAAGTCCCATTTAAGGGACTTGGGAGATGTAGTCAAGGATCTTGAGATGAGATCACCCTGGATTACTCAGGAGAATTACAAAGATACTGTCCAAAGACAAGTGTCCTTCAAAGAGACAGAAGAGGAGAAGGCAGATGAGAAACAGAGAGAGAGACTGGGGTGATGAGGCCGTAAGTCAAGCTGGAAGAGGTGAGGAAGGATCCACAGCCTTCAGAGAAGTTTCTGCTATGCTGAGCCACCCAGTTTGTGGTATTTTGTTATGGCAGCTCTAGGATACTAACACAGGTCCCAAGGCCAGCCGGTGGCAGACGTGGTTCTGTTTGACTCCAAAGGTTGTGCTTTTAACCAATCAATGAGTGTACCTACGCTTGGATGAATGAATGAGGAAACCTCCTTTCAACACAACACCATCAATATTGTTTTGATAACAGGATATGAAAGAAGAAGATCCAGGCAGGGAAAATTCAGTTGCTAATTTCCTCGCCTTCAGTTGTCAAATTTGATCCTCTTTATTCTGCCTGTTTATTCATCACTAGGGATCCTGTTCTCAACAGAAAGGGAAGAAGGGAGAAACCCACCTTGCATTAAGAGGACATGGGGTGGCTGGGCACGGTGGCTCAGGCCTATAATCCTATTGCTTTGGGAGGCCGAAGTAGGAGGATTACTTGAGGCCAGGAGTTTGAGACCAGCCTGGACAACATAGTGAGACCCCCATGTCTACAAAACATTTTTTACAAATTAGGCAGGCAGGGTGGCACTCGTCTGTAGTCACAGCTATTTGGGAGGCTGAGGCAGTAGGACCACTTGATTGTGCCACTGCACTCTAGCCTGGGTGACAGAGTGAGAACCTGTCTCTTAAAAACAAAACAAAACAAAACATAGAGGACATGGTGTGAAAATAGGATGGAAACACCGACAGGGCCAGACAACCAACTGCTTTCTAGTTCAACTGTAAGTGAGTTACTCCTGGAAAGAGAAGAAGTAAGACAGGGAGGTGATGGGGGTTCTTAACAAACATACCTAACTAGGCATCCAAATAGTTGAACCATTTATTCTTCAAAGATCACAGGGCCTCAGGGGTTCATCCTCCTTTCTGCTTTCCCCCCACCCCCTCAGCATAAACGAGTGGGTACAGGACCTTCTGGGCAGAGGAAGGACCAGCTAGCTGGATTTCCAGAAACTGCTAACAGAAATAATTCGAGTTCAGTTCCTGGCAGGTGCTCAATAAAAGGAAGGAAGAGCATACGTGTTCAATACCTCTCTCTCTAGGTGCCAGGTCTTGATGCTTCAAAATTGCACAAGGAATGGAAGGAAATATGGAAGAGCCTCCTTTCTCCTTCAACAAACACATCTGGCACCTTTCCTTGGATTCTGGGCTCCGTCATGACACGTGGGCAAGCATTTCTCCAGGCTGTGTTCACCTTCTGCGGTTCCTGACCACAGACTTTTCTCATTTGCAGCTGCGCCTGCCCGAATTATTTCAGACTCCAGAATTTTTCCAACCTCCCATTACTGGCTGGCTGTGAAACAGAGCGTAAAATGCCAGTCACTTTTTTTTTTCTTTCAAATTCCATAGTCATCTGACATCATAACAGATTTCAGACTCAGACTGTCAGAGTGTGGGCTCAAACCACTCTCACCAGCCCCTGAAGAACGAGGCAGCATGGCATGAAGCAAAGAACCTTGAACTCGGGGTCATATAGGTTGGGGGTTCAAATTCTAGCTCTACCATTAACTGACAGCCAGGCCTAGACAAGTGTTCTAATCCCTCTGAGTCTCAGTATGTGTTTTTGTTTTTTTGTTTTTTTGTTTTGTTTTTTTTGGTTGAGACAGAGTCTCGCTCTGTCACCCAGGCTGGAGTGCAGTGGCGTGATCTCGGATGACTGCAAACTCTGCCTCCTGGGTTCACGCCATTCTCCTGCCTCAGCCTCCCAAGTAGCTGGGACTACAGGCACCTGCCACCATGCCTGGCTAATTTTTTGGTTTTTTAGTAGAGACGGGGTTTCACCATGTTAGCCAGGATGGTCTCGATCTCCTGACCTTGTGATCCGCCCACCTCGGCCTCCCAAAGTGCTCGGATTACAGGTGTGAGCCACCACGCCCAGCCCAGTTTGTGTTTTTATCCAAAAAGTAGTTAACGCAGCTCTTCCTCTGTAGTGGGCACTGTTCTTCTCTGCTGGAGGAGGCAGACGATGAACAAACCAATAAGAAAAACATCAGACAGTGGGAAGCGCTACTCAAATAATTAAAATGGGTGATGTCTGAGTCAGTGGGTCTGAGTCAGTGGTGATGTCTGATCTCAGTTTTATGTGGAGTGGCCATGGAAGGTCCTTCTGAAGAGGCAACAGTGAAAATAAGACCAGTGTGACCAGGAGAAGCCAGCAATGTGAAAACAGGAGGATGAGCATGATAAGTGGAGGAAACAGATCGTGCGTGTCCCAAAGTCTGGGCTGCACTTGGAAGTTCAGACGGAAGCTGTGAGGTGGGAGTGTAGTCTGCGTGGGATAAGATGGTGATCGGGCCGGGCACACTGGCTTCATGCCTATAATCCTAGCACTTTGGGAAGCCAAGGCAGGTGGATCACTTGAGGTCAGGAGTTTGAGATCAGCCTGGCCAACATGGTGAAATCCTGTGTCTACTAAAAATACAAAAATCAGGCATGGTGGTGTGCACCTATAATCCCAGCTACTCGGGAGGCTGAGGCATGAGAACTGCTTGAACCTGGGAGCTGAAGGTTGCAGTGAGCTGAGATTGCGCCACTGCACTCCAGACTGGGTGATAAAGTGAGACTCTGCCTCAAAAAAAAAAAAAGAAAAAGAAAAGAAAAGAAAGGGGGGGATGGTGAAAAAAAGATGATGCTGGAGAAAGGCAGAGACCAGACGAGGTGTGGCCTCAAAACGGGGTGCAAATGATGATCAATTGTGCAGGAAAAAAATAGCCGAATGTCTCGCCACCTTTATTTCTGCCTCTAAACGTTTAAGAAGGAAATTAAAGTCAATTAATGTTACTATATTATTGCCAATACTATGTCTTTAATTTCCAAATGATTGTGCTTATCATGAGGGTGCATGCTCGGGTTTTTTGGGTGGGGGTAAAAATTTAGACATCAGTAATGCAAGGCTTTGTAAGAAAGTGAGGAATGGGAGGGGAATCCTTCAGACAGTTTTAAGTAGGGGAATGACAGGAGCTGATTGATATTTTTAAAGCATCACGTTCTGTAGAATGGCACTAACATCTCCAGTCCATATGATCCACACAGTGTATTCGGAGCCCCCACTAGGATAATACAATTGATGCTGTTTTTATTGCATATAGAAATGCTGTGTGGCTGAAAAAGTATTGGAACCATTACCAATTAGCAAATTATCCCTGAGATTCTAATCAGTCTAAAAATAAATTCATGTTCATTTGCATTAAAAAAATTAGACGAGTCTCTAAATTTCACATTGCCTGTCCTCACCACCTCTTACTAATACATACTCTTTCCATACTTCGTATGACCTTCCTTTCCTAGCTATGCCTTCTTTTCTCTTGTGTGCCCCAGATGCCCAGGCTGAGAAAATAAACTATCTATTTCTCCTTTTAGGGATCCACAATGTGCATTTCACTGTGTATTGAAAGCCCTGAGAAGTTCTGCAATTTAAAAAGCCAATTTAGCTTTGTCTAACCTAGTGCCTTTCAACCTGGCCACACATTAGAATTACCTGGGGAGTTTTACAAATGATTTATTCCTGAGTCCTGCCCCTAAGAGGGACTCAGCATTGCCTGGGCAGGAGCTGTCAAAAGTTTCCCAGGTGATGCTAATGTGAAGCCACCGTAGGAATCACTCCTTTAACTCAACAGTTCCCAAACTTATAAAATAATCTTCAACAATCGCTGTTAAAAATCTTCCAGACAATTTTTTTTCTTTTTTTTTACATAACACCTCCTCATGCCCCCATGGAACTGAGCTGGTGTTCTACAGAACAATGTTAATCACTTTTTTCATAAACAGCATTGCCATTTGGTGGACATTACACACAAATGCTCCCCTTCGCTGTCTCTTTCAATCTGGCAGGACTAGAGTGTCCTGCTTGGATGAATAATATCCAACAGTAAGCGTGAAGGTGCAGGCGTCTGAACTTAGCTCAGGCTGTGAGCTGTGTGGCCTTAGGCAAGCTACTTGAACTTGCCAAACTTCAGCTTCCTCATCTGCATCTTAGTCGTCATGGATTAAGGTGGCAGTTCCCAAATTTCAATGCGCTTTTTTTTTTATTTTTTGAGACGGAGTCTCGCTCTGTCGCCCAGGCTGGAGTGCAGTGGCGCGATCTCGGCTCACTGCAAGCTCCGCCTCCCGGGTTCACGCCATTCTCCTGCCTCAGCCTCCTGAGTAGCTGGGATTACAGGCGCCCACCACCACGCCCGGCTAATTTTTTGTATTTTTAGTAGAGACAGGGTTTCACGGTGTTAGCCAGGATGGTCTCGATCTCCTGACCTTGTGATCCGCCCACTTCGGCCTCCCAAAGTGCTGGGATTACAGGCGTGAGCCACCGCGCCCGGCCTCAATGCATATTAAAATCAGTTGGAGATTTTAAGGAAGTGCCATTTCCCAGTTGCAACCCCGGACACGCTGCATCTGGAGCTCCAGGGTTGTGGCCTGGGAAATCTGAAGTTTTAGCAGGTCCTTCACATGATCCTGATGATCCTATGAGTTTGGGGGCTATCAAATGAGGTAATCCAGACACTAGATGGGTAGGGTGGAGGGGGAGGGGCAACAAATTGGAAGTGAGATCCTTCAATTCAGAGTTCCTTTAATTCAGTGGTTTCTTACCTTCCTCCCACCTCACCCCACTGCCCACAGCAAGAGCACCCTAATTAGGCAGGGTACACTAGGCAGGCACTAGGCTTCGAGTTGACTGGGTGGTCAGGGAAGGGCGTGTCTTCATTGATCTGCATGTCACCTGGCACAGCCCTTATCTCTTGGGGCCCCAGTTTTCGGACCTGTGAAATAATAAAATGATCTCTTAAGGCCCACGCTCCAACCTCCTACGTTTCCGTGTTCCTCGGTTAGTGCAATTTCATGAACAGCATTGCCATTTGGTGGACGTTACGCACAAATGGCTCCCCTTCGCTGCCTCTTTCAATCTTGCAGGACTAATGTGTCCTGCTTGGATGAATAATATCCGACAGTCAGCGTGAAGGCACAGGCGTCTGAGCTTGGCTCAGGCTGTGAGCTGTGGGGCCTTGGGCAAGCTACTTGAACTTGCCAAACTTCAGAATCCTCATCTGCAAGATGGGAAGCATTGTATTATGTTTGCCACATGGGCTGTTGCAGGAATAAAATGAAGGGTTATATAGACAGTATTAGCACAGTCTCCGGTACTCATTAAGAGCTCAATAAATGTCTGTTGTTGATAGCAGCATTAAAGCAGAGTAATAGAGGGCCACCCTATAAACACTGTCAATTGCTGTAATAAGATCCACCATTCCTAAACAGCACTGCGGTTGCTCATCCTTCAGGTTGAGTCAGGGTTTGCTGGGGGCCCTGGCATCCTTGTAGCAGGAATAAACACTCTTGGCTCAAAATGAGTCACTGTTCTATGGCTCTGGTGCCACAGGCCATAAAAGGACTTGCTCTCAGTCCCCAGAACCACCGGTCTGAGTATGGCTAGATGTGGCTCAGCAGATCATAAACCATGACATCCACTAATCAGAGACATAGATCAAGCCGCAGCTGGAATTTGGAGAGCTCACAGGGTATAGACGGAGAGCTCAAGGTAAAACTCACCCCACTGGCCACAGCTAGTCAGTCCTGCAAGACGAGGGAAGTGATGAGGAGAAGACACTTGGCATAAATCTGTATAGCTCATGAGGCCCTTGGGCTCACAGGCCGCAGAATCAGACATGGCAGCGCAGAGGGCTCATAGTCCTCCTGCTCTGAGGCAACGGAGAGCCAGAGAAATAGTGAGGGACCTCACCAAGTTGCCACACCCTGCCAGAAAAAAGAGGGGGACACTAATATTTATTGAGAACTATAGAATATCCCACATTAATTCTGGCAATGTTTAAGAATGCCAGACACCGCACTTATTGGTGCCTTACATAAATTTCAGCATTTGATTCACATAATACCCCAGCGAGGTAAGTATGAATGTCTACACATAGGAGACAATCAAGTCTCGAGTAGGCAGCCAAGCAATTGAATTTGAAATTGTATTTCATTTCAATTAATTAATTAAATTTTTTTTGGAGGGGGGAGACGGAGTCTCGCTCTGTTGCCAGGCTGGAGTGCAATGGCACAATTTCAGCTCACTGCAACCTCTGCCTCCTGGGTTCAAGTGATTCTCGTGCCTCAGCCTCTCAAGTAGCTGGGATTACAGGTACATGCCACCACGCCCAGATTTTTTTTGTATTTTTAGTAGAGACGGGGTTTTGCCATGTTGGCCAGGGTGGTCTCAAAATCCTGACCTCAAGTGATCCGCCCACCTTAGGCTCCCAAAGTGTTGGGATTACGGGCATGAGCCACCAAGCCTGACCTCAATTAATGTAAACATTAGTAACTACACGTGGCTAGTGGCTGTTGTACTGGATAGCACAGCTCTAGATGTTGTCTGCAGGTAATTTCATCCATGCTCAGAGCTTCATTCTCTGTCTATACCCTGAAAGCTCCCCAAATTCCACCTGCAGCTTGATCTATCCAACTATTTGATTAGCATCTCTTTTAGCAAAAGCACCTTCAATTCAGCTAGCCTAGGATGAAACCCATGACAAGCTTGCTTAAACCCCATTCTCCTCCACTCTCTCCCTTTCCCAGCAAGGACACTTCCATTCACCTAGGGGCTCAGTAACCCTTGTCCCTTCTCTTTCTCCTTCCAGTCCTTCACTATGTCTTATTGAATTCCATCTTCAAAATCTGTCCAAGTCCTCCCCATCTCCACTGCTACTGCCTTGGTCCAGTCCATGGCTATTCCCTCCCCTTGCACAGCCTCTTAACTGGGCCTACCCATTTCACTGCAGGAACTCTATTCCCTTCACCAAGTCAGAATCCCGCAGCCTAAGGAGGTCTTTACAAGTGCAAACCATGGTAGGTCCTTCCCTTCCTGTATCCCCCAGCATCTTCTGCTCTCAGGACAAGCCTGGAATTCTTGGATTCTTCTCTCCCTCTCTACCCACTCTCCCCTCAACTCTGCTCCCTCCTACCACAACCCACTTCAGCTCCTAAACACACCACACAGCCATCTGACCCAGCACCTTGTACTTTTTCCTCTGCCTAGAACCCACTCTGCCCCCGTTCCTTAGCGTAGCTGACTTTTTTTTTTTTTTTTTTTAACAATTCTGATCATTTATTTACTTGCTTACAAAGTTTGCGTGCTGGGCATGTCTGGAGGTGCCCTGAGTGGCTCTCATTCAGGATCTCTTATACAGTTGCAATCACACAGTGGCTGGGCCGATGTGCTCTGGAAGGCTTCCTCACTCTTACTGCTGGCAGGGGATGCTGGAACCTCAGCTGGGCCAGGGCTTCATGGGTATGCAACGTGTTCAGTTGCTCAAGGCACTACATTGAGAAGGGCTCTATGGTTGATTTAATGCTCTGTTGTCACCATTTTGGGAATCTTAATAATTATTTTTAAACAAGAGGCCCTGTATTTTCTTTTCTTTTTTTGATATAGTGTGCTTCCTGTCTTTTTAAAATATTTTATTAAGTTCTGGGATACATGTACAGAACGTGCAGGTTTGTTACATAGGTAAACAAGTGCCATGGTGCTTTGCTGCACACATCAACCCATCACCTAGGTATTAAGTCCTGAGTGCATCAGCTATTTATCCTGATACTCTCACTCCCTGCAAACCCCTGACAAGCCCCAGTGTGTGTTGTTCCTCTCCCTGTGTCCATGTGTTCTCATTGTTCAGCTCCCACTTATAAGTGAGAACATACGGTGTTTGGTTTTCTGTTCCTGTGTTAGTTTGCTGAGGATGGCTTCCAGCTCTATCCATGTCGCTGCAAAGGACATGATCTCATTCCTTTTTATGGTTGCATAGTATTCCATGGTGTATATATTCACTAGTGTAAACAGTACTGCAATGCACATACAGGTGCATGTATCTTTATATTCCTTTGGGTATATACCCAGTAATGGGGCTGCTGGTATTTCTCGTTCTAGATCTTTGAGAAATAGCCACATTGTTTTCCACAATGGTTGAACTAATTTACATTCCTGCCAACAGTGTAAAAGCGTTCCTATTTCTCCACAGGAGAGGCCCTATATTTTCACTGTGCACTGGAGCCTGCAAACTACATAGCTGGTTCTGACTGGGGCTGTTGGCCACAACATCTTCACATGGCCCTTCCATGGGGCCTGGGCTCTCTCACAGCATGACAGCTGGGTCCAGGTGTAAGAGTTTCCAGAAAGAGAGACGGAGAGAAACAGAGACACAGAGAGACAGAAGAGAGGGAAGGTGAGGGGGACGGAGAGGGAGAAATATAGCTTAGCTGACTCTTCCTTTAAAGATCCACTCAGAAGTCCCTTTCTGGGGGAAGCCTTCCCAAGACCCACAGTTTCCCTAGTCATATGCCCTTAGGGCATTATGTTCCTTTCTGGCAGCTCTGTACTTTTTGGAGGGGTGGGCTAAAAGCCCATGAGAACAGGATCCTGGGTCTTGCTCACCACTGTGCCCCTGGCACCCAGCACAGCATCTGGTGCAAGGTTCAATCTCAGTTAACACTTGCTGAACAGATGGATGAATAAAAAGTCACCGAGGCCAGAGTAACTGACAGAGCTAGGATTTGAACCCCAGACTGCCTGACTCTGAGCCTCACGCTCTTTCCCCGAGGCAGGGAAGCCAGGGGTGGTCTCAAGATACCGAAGTCCAGTGCCGGGTTCCAAGGCTAGCTTTGCTGCTTAGGAGCTTCCAGACCCTCATTACACTCATCTGTACAATGGAAATCACAGATTTATGTAAGACAAAATAAAATATATGTGTAAAACACTTAGAAGAGTATCTGATACTAAGTGCTTAATAAATGTTAGCTATTCCTAACTCTCCCTAAATCTAGCCCAGCTCTCCTCCCCTGCCCCTACTGTCTTCCCAGAGGTGAGCCCACTCTTGTCACCCACAGTCAAAAAGCTCCCCAATCATACTGGGTGTTTAAACCATTTCCTGACAATCTTTAAATTTGCAAATTAGAAATGTCAATGCTGGTCTTGAATGAGCCCGATAAGGATGGGACAGCAGCCCACAGGGCTGTGGATTTTAATAAAAGAAAAATAACCAACAATATCAACTTTTTAAAAAGCACTTGATGTACACTTTCCAAATTACTTCTCTGCCTTTCTCTCCTTTATGTGCATTGCAGTTAAATTACCTTTCTCAGAAAATCTCGGCCACACAGAGCACGCCTATCTCCTCACAAAGCCGCACACATTTTTAGCATCTGCTTGGGGTTTTATTGTAGAGAATACAATACACGGCAAGAGACCGTTTATCATATTTGGTCTGCTTGCCCCTCATTTTTCCAGCTGTCAGTTTTATTTATTTCGTTGCAACGACAGGTTTGACGTGGAGGTTGGGGGTTGGGGGGAAGCATTCCAGGACTTTGCAGTCCAGCCTTCCTGCACCCATCCTCCATCACTGTACAACGTTCCTGGGAGGAAAATCCCATACGATATCCCCAGGCATAGATGGGAGAAATCTGGAACAGCAATCCTAGGAGAGCTGGTAGAGCTGAAAATACGCAGGACCTCCCTGAGTCGCCGCCATCACCAGCTGCTTACAATGATCTTCTGGGGGTTCTCAGGAGGCCCAATAGATCCTATTAATGTTCCCAACTCTTCAGCCCTGGCTTCACTCATGCCTCTTGCCATATGACTTTGCAGTTCTTTCCACTAAAGGGGAACTATTTCTCTATCCTTTGACTTGGAGTTTGACCATTTGATTGCTTTTCTGATTACCAACAGAATGAGGCAGAAATGAAGGCACCTGCCCCAGCTCAAGGCTGACGAGGCCTTGCCTGTTCACCGTCTTGCACTTCTGCAGCGCCATGAGAAGCGTGTCCCCTGGTAGCTGCTGGACACACGTGGAGCAGATCTGAGCCCAAACCTCAGCAAGGGGCCAAGCCTTCTTGGATCTGTAGCTTGAAATACAGTGGCCCAGCTGAGCCTGGAATATTTCAGCTGCCTCACCTGACCCACAGATATGTAAGCAATTATAAATAGTTGTTGCTTTTAGTCACTGAGTTTCAGAGTGATTTGTCGTGCAGCAAAAATACAGGAGAGGAGAAACAGCATCCACTGTGTGCTAAGCACTGTGCCAGGTATTTTACATGCATTATTACATTGAAGCCTGCCAAACCCTGGTGAGCTGGGGACTATTTTATGCCCATTTTACAGATGAGCAAACTGAGGCTCAGAGTGACTTGCCCGAGGTCATACAGGGGCAAGCACTGTTGTAAGTGCTTTATGTGTATTAACTCACTGAATCCTCATGACAGTCCTGGGATGGGGGCAATGGTATTTTAAAGATGAGGAAATAGGAAGGGAAAGATTAAGTGGCTTCCCCAAGGTCAAAAGCAGCCAAATTGCAGGGGTAGAGTCGGGACTCAAAGCGCAGGCTTCTCTGGCTCCGGAGCCCAAGCTCAGGGGACACCTAGAGGAACACAGTGTGAGCTGAGGCTGGGGGAGTTTAGGCTTTATACACCAGTGAGTCACAACCAGGGATAAGGATGGTAAGAATCAGAAAATCTCCTTTGTTTTTTTTCAAAGCAACATCTGGAGATCCATGTTTATATTTTGCGTTTTATTTATTTAATGTCTGGCTTCTCCCTGCTAGATTGTAAGCTCCATAAAGACAGGGATTTCTGCCTGTTTTGGTCACTGTCTTATCCCCAGAGCCTACAACAGTACCTGAGCAGGTGCTCTTTAAATAGACTGAAAGAGTAAATGAAGAAATGCTCCGTGAATATTGGCTATGGGTTAGTTGAGACCATCTCATGCTCTGAGCTCACTTGAGGAGCATGCATGGTGAGGTTCCTGGGCTCAACAGCAACCAGACTCCGAGTCCTGGGATGGTGGGACTAACTCTTTAAGCAGAAAAAGTAGAGCATCATTGGTTTTTATTTGTTTTAAGAGAGACAGGGTTTCACTCTGTGGCTCAGGCTGGAATATAGTGGTGTGATCATAGCTCACTACAGTCTCAAACTCCTAGGCTCAAGCGATCCTCCCATCTCAGCCTCCCAAATAGCTGGGACTACAGGCGCATGCTTTCATACCTGGCTGACTGGGACATCTTTAAGGAGCAGGCTAGGAAGTAGCCAGCTCCATTTATGGGGTGCTTCTGGTGCCAGGCACTGTTCTAAGCACTTCGTATGTGAAGCCATAATCTTTGCAACAACCCCATGGGACAGGTACTATCACAACCGTGTGCCCAGCCTGTTTTACAGATGAGGAAAGTGATACCCAGGCAGGTTAAGTGACTTATGCCCCAGCTAAGAGAAGTGGCAAAGCCAGAACTAGAACCCAGGAGTACAACTCAGCTCCCACGTAACCACAACCCTAAGCTGCCCCTCAAACAAACTAGAGGGGAGAAAGTACAGGCTTTCCAAGGTAATCTGGTCCAATGCCTTCGTTTACAGATGGGAAAACTGAGGACACAGAGTAGAAGCATGATACCCAAGATGGAGCTGGTGAGGAGCAGAGTGGGGACCTCCACTCAGGTCTCCAATCGCCTGGCTCAATCCCTCTTTCATGCAGACGATGGGCCCTAGGAGGACAGGAAAGAGAAGAGGCCAATTGCACCAATCCTGGGCAGGAAGACTTCTTTGGCTGGTGGCCATGCCAGGCCATGTGTCTGTTTTCAGCACAGCCCCCCCAGGGACCGGCTTCTCTTCCCAGCATAAGCTGGCAGATCAGATGCCTGCTGCCAGGGCTCCAGCCCAGACTTGAGGATTTCCAAGTGTCTGCCATTCGCAGCTCTCCTGCCATTGCTTGGCAGACAGGACAACCCCGGACAGCCGTGCCAGCTCTGATCCCTTGCCTGCCCCACTGCTCGGAGAGTGGTGCCTTCAGTAAGGATGAAGCTATAGAAAGGAGATGTGGGTATTGATCTAAAGTAGAATATAAGTCAGTAAAAACAGTGACCATTTGACCATTTAATGACAGACTCTTGGATCCTTACCATGACCCTGATAGGTTGCTATTTAATGGATATGGGAACTCAATTGAAGAGCCAAGGTAACACTGCTCTAAGTGATAAACATAACCATTAACAGCACTCACAGTGGCCCGGCCACCGTTTTGGTTGTGCAGTTTATGCCCTGCTTAATTCTAGAGGGCGCCATTCACATAGCCTTCACAGTGACTAGTGCCCTCTAGAGCTGAGCAGTGTACAACCTGGCCTACTGTATGCCATGGTCCAGACAGGGGTGCCTCCCAAGGCTGGTGAATCAAACCAGTGCCTTGTCTACTTCACCCTAAGATCTACTCACCAAAGCAGAATGTTGCAGAAAAACAGCAGGGCCTTGGATCTGCACCAACCTGGGTTTGTATCCTGGATCTGCCACCTCACACCGATGTGAGGCCTCTGGGGAGTCCTTAAACCATGTCTCACTATGTTCATCTGCAAAATGGACAATATTAATAGTGCCTTCCCTGTAGGAGGCTATGAGGTTTCCACAAGCCAAGACATATGAACAGTGTCTCAACACAGCTGGCATTTGGGACACAGTAGCTACTATGATGAGTAAGGCCTGGAGTGAGGAGAGAGAGCTCTGATTGGGGCCGCCTCAGCCAGGGAAGAGGCTGTGCCATCCATCAGGGCAGGCTGTGGCAGTGAAAAAGCACCTGCCTCGAACAAGCAGCAGAGCACCATTAATAAATGCTCCCCAAACCGGTAGAAAACCCGGGTATACATCACTCCTGGAAGCCAGAGGAAGTCCCGGGAGAGCCAAATCCAGCAAGTCATTCGCAGATACTCCATCTTTTGGGGTGCTACATTTTTCGGAGTCGCTTTCAAAGGCAGTCTTGGGCACACCCATCTCTAGTATGCATTTTAGAGACAGGCTGCAGTGCCAAGGAGGGGGTCCCGAGAGGTAATGCAGAGATGGCCCAGCCACCACATTCTCTTGAGCAGAGATCGAGTATTTGTGGGGCCAGTTCCCCAAACTACAAGTTTTTCTGGACCCTCTCCCCTTGCTCAAGAGAATATGCAGAGATTTTGCTGTGGAAGCAAGTTCTTTCCAGCAGATGGGACATGGATCATTAGAATAGAATCTGGTTGCTATCAACTCTGTTTTCTTCATAAGTTCTAAAGACTTCCAGGCATTTCACTGGGTCTCCTTTGTTTGTGTCATTTACTTCTTCTTCTTCTTTTCCTTTTTTTTTTTTTTTTTTTTTTTTTGAGTTAGAGTCTCTCTCTGTTATCCAGGCTAGCATGCAGTGGCGTGATCTCAGCTCACTAGAACCTCTGCCTCCCGGGTTCAAGCAATTCTCCTGCCTCAGCCTCCCAAGTAGCTGGGGTCACAGGGGCCTGCCACTACGTCCAGCTAATTTTTGTATTTTTAGTAGAGACGGGGTTTCACCATATTGACCAGGCTGGTCTCGAACTCCTGACCTCAGGTGATCCACCTGCCTTGGCCTCCCAAAGTGCTGGGATTACAGGCGTGAGCCACCGCGCCCGGCCATATGCTGTTTACTTCTGATTTGGGTAGGGGGGCAGGAAAGGAGGGTCTCTCCCTGGCATTTTTAGAGTTCCCTAGGAAATATGTGGCCCTTTGGAGAGGTGGACCCTCCAAACTTCATTGTCTGAAGTTTTCCTCTGCCCTCTGGGATCTGCGACTTTCAGCTAAGCCTGACTGCAAAGTGTTCCCTGACCATTTGGTCTGTGCTCCCAGATAGCTGTAAGTTTTTAAAAACAAGAATAATGTATCGGTGGAAGCTTTTGTCAAGGATAAGGTGAATAACATTTATGAAGTGTACTGTTGACACACAGTTTACAGACATGATCTCATTTTATTCTCCCTATAGCCCTAGGAAGTATCACTAGGTATCTGTAGGCCCATTGTGGGAAGAGTAAACTGAGGCTCACAGGAGTGGTGAAGGCACTCCCTGGGCTGAGGTAGCTGATAGGGAGATGTAGTAGCTGGTAGGAAGCTTTAGCACCCATCTGCCAAGCTTCCTATGGATTCTGGAAATAGAGCCCGGTGAAACAACCCATTACATTTTCGGTCTGTGTCATTCCAGGCACAGGGATATTATAATGAAGAAGGCCTTATGCAAGTTCAGGTCTGTCACTAATGGGCCATGGGCGATATGAACATTTCTCTGCCCTTACCAGGCCTTGGTTTCCTCATCTGTCAAACGGAAGTAAATGGGGCCCACTTCACAGGGAGCCAGGAGGATTCACTGATATACGTGATCTCTAGACCATGCCTGGGATATTACAGGTCCCTCATTAAAGGGTATTCACACAATCGGAATGAATGACTTGGGTCCGAGGCCTGTGGGAGCCCTCTCCACAACCTGGAGCAGATGGAGGAGAAGAAGGAGCAGGATCCATGTCTAAGACATGTTGTGGCTGGTGACTACTGTACTCCTGTCCCACCTCCCAATAGCACAGCCTGGGGGTGGGTGGGGGGACAAGCCAGCAGCAGGACAGACTCAAAAGCCACTGTCACTATCCTGGAAATAGTTGGTCCACAGGTATTCAATTGACTGGGCCAGTCATAGAGCTGCAAATCTAGAAAGAGGAGGAATTTAGGAGGTAGCAGAAGGGGCAAGGATGTCATTAGTTAGGAATTCTGTCTGCAAGGCCTGGCTTCAGGTGAGGAGAGCTGGCAGGCCCACAACCTCCCACCAGTCAGAATCCTGGCGGCGGAGGCAGTGGCTTGAGAGAGGTAATAAAGCAATGTTTAGGGAGCCAGGGGAGCTGCAGCTTGGTTTTGGCACTAGGGGGAGCAAGGTGCAAGACTGAATAAGAGCAAAAAGCCCCAGGAAGCCATTTGCAGGCCAGTAGCCGTGGCTGGAACATGGCTTTCCATCCAGGTGAGGAAGGAGATGGGGTACCATATCCCAAGGGCCCTCCATTACTTCACTTTATCCTCAAAACAACCCTAGGAGGCAGCTGTCAGGAGGACCACTTTACAGATGAAACAGCAAAGGCTCAGAGAGGTTAAGACTCAGCCTCTTAGGCGGTCAAGCCAGATTTGGAATCTGGGCCTGCCTTTCTCCTGGGCCATCCTTTGCCCACATGAGAGGCAGTATCGTTAAGCACATAAGCTGCAGGGTCAGACTGCCTGGATTCACATTCCAGCTCTGCCACTCAAAATTGTGTGGCTTTGTGTAAGTGATTTAACCTCTCTGAGCCTCAGTTTTCCCATCTGTAAAATAGGGTTGGTACTACTACTAAGAGTCCACTTTCCATTGTTGCTGCACTTTATTCACTTTATTGAATAAAGTAACTAGCACATAGCAAAGATGAAGCAAAGCAGCAAATGGTGGCTGTTATCATAATTACTTTTTTACACCGATCTCCATCAAGACCAGCTTAGGAGTCGAGATAGAACTGGGCTAACAGGCAGGGAGGCTTCTGAGGAGGGCAGAGGGTAGGGAAGCAAGGCAGGAGAAGGCAGCAAAAAAAAAAAAAAAAACCCTAAGCGGTTGTTACCTACTATATAAAGAGAAGAAGCTGAGGGTAAAAAACTCTACACACATAGGATTTTAAAATGAAAAAGATTCCTTTTATTTCTTATTATTTTGCTTATTATGTTATTTTCTTATGTATAAAGCAGTGATGCTCAGACTCTAGAATTTCGTCAGTCAGGAATTTCTCCCCCACATGGAGATTAACATTAGGGGCCAAATTTGTGTTATGTCAAAATGCCAGAGGCAACCACTGATAATCATCTTCATCATTTTGGATTTTTTAAAGGACATTTTAACCCCAGGGCATCCGCTCAAGATCAAGCACCAGCCTTTAAATTTAATACATTTTGCATCATGGGAGCACTCACTACTGTGCCATTATTTCTGTCTCTTTTTGCCAGACTACTGAAACCTTGGGCAGTGACTGACCCCCTGTGATGGGGTGTTCCTGGTATTGAATATCCCCCATCCCGCCACTTGGGAATGCTGGTGACTGGAGAGGTGTCCATTTCCTATAATTACTGAGTGTTAATATAATCACCAAAGCGGAGAGCCAGCTGGAAAGGATGGAGTCTGACATCCGAAAAGACAGACAGCTAAATAAGTCATACGGCTTGCAGACAGCCTGGCTGCTGGGGTTACGTAATCACCTCCCCTTGGCTTCCTTTGGTTGGTCTAGTTCTTGGTTTGGCCTTTTTGTGCTTTTGCTTTCTGAGGCTGAGCCTCTACAATAGGCAGAGAAAATATTGCACATGAAAAGGAACCCATTGGGAAACATGGTACAGACAGCCACCTCATTTGTCTCCAGGCTCAGAACCAAACCCCAGGTTTCCATGAGAGCTGAGATGCGGCCAGGAGACAAGTCTTGGTACTACGTGGTCCTGCATGTGAATGTGGACATGGTCATCAGCCTGGCACATGTGGGTAGGAGGTAGGGACCGGCCCTTCTCAGATGGCTGATCGCTCCTCGACAAACTCAGTTAATGCATTTTAATTTGACCAGGGCCTTTCGAAACCAGGCTGCTTAGGGAGGCAGGAAGTAATCAATTCACTGCCAGTCCATTTTCCTCTGGGCACCGGATCTGCTTGTACAAACCAGCGAAGGGAGATTAGCTTGAGCATAGCTCAGCAGTGAACTGGGTAAAGGTCACTTCACTCAGGTAGCACTCTTGCGGGGGGGTGTAAGTCTCTCTTTGTATACTTTGCGTGTCCCTAAATAACAGCCATAACCAATAACAATGGTAACACTGACCACTTACCACATCCCAGACACCATGCTCTGAGTACTTCATCTCACTGAATGTTCACACATGGCAGGAAGTAGATCCTATTACAATTCCCATTGTACAGGTAAGGAGACTCGGGCTAGAAAAGGCGAAATTCAAGCGAATGGCCACATGCATGCAAACAGACACAAATGTCACTGTACCTGCTCAGCAAACATAAACAAGAACAGAGAAATCATGACTCAGTGTTTCTCAAACCCACCTGTATATAAGGGTTACCTGAGTACTTGTGAAAAACACAGATTCCTGGGTCCCCACCTAGAGCTACTCAATCAGAAATCCCAGTGGAGAGGCCTGGCAACCTGAGTTGGTCATGAATGCCCCCTAAGCATCTCATCATGGGCCCATTTGAGTGTTGATCATATACATATCATCGAGTAAGTTAAAATATGTAAAGCAGAAATACCATTTGACCCAGCAATCCCATTACTTGGTATATACCCAAAGGATTATAAATCATTCTACTATAAGGACACATGCACACGAATGTTTATTGCAGCACTATTCATAATAGCAAAGACTTGGAACCAACCCAAATGCCCATCAATGATAGATTGGATAAAGAAAATCTGGCACATATACATCATAGAATACTATGCAGTCATAAAAAAGAATGAGTTTGTATCCTTTGCAGGGACATGGATGAAGCTGGAAACCATCATCATCAGCATACTAACACAGGAACAGAAAACCAATCACCACATGTTCTTACTCATAAGTGAGAGTTGAACAATGAGAACACATGGACACAGGGAGGGGAACATCAGACACTGGGGCCTGTCGGGCTGTCGGGGGCAAGGGGAGGGAGAGTATTAGGACAAACACCTAATGCATGTGGGGCTTAAAACCTAGATGACAGGTTGATAGGTGCAGCAAACCATCATAGCACATGTATACCTGTGTAGCAAACCTGCACATTCTGCACATGTAGCCAGAACTTAAAGTAAAATAAAATAAAATTTTAAAAAATATGTAAAGCATGTGGGCCAGTGCTGGACACAGAATCGTAGCTGCTATCATAGTAGTAGTAATTGTTATCATCATTTTTTGTCAGGTGATTCCACTCATTCTTTCAGTCAATGAGCTCATGCCCAAAATGAGGGGGAGATGGGTGCCTGGACTCTTCTGCATCCTTGGGTCCCCCTGTTACCAAGTGTTCTCCACTCCCAGCCCTGAGTATGAGTCTGGTGTTCAAAGACAGAGGCAGAGCCAGGTTTGAACAATGGAGGGAATGGGTTTGGGGGGTGGGGTGCTGTGCCCCTGCTTGGGGAGCTTCTCGAGATCCTGTTTCCACAGTGTTCCCTGACATCCTTTGTTCACGATCCTAGCAACCATTGTGGCACTGTGTTACTTAAATATCTTCAAAAAAGAATCACTCTTGGAGAATGTGCTCAGTGGGTACCGCTGCATTCCTCTTCTCCAGCCAGCTGGGCTTCTGTTTAAAGAAAAGCAGTTTTCAAATGCATCCCTTAAACACACAAGCCACCTACTTCCTCTGGTGTTCAAAGACACGGTGGTCCACTCCAGCGATGGAGGAAAAAAATAGCTGTGGTGGACCTGCTTTTGAGAATGTATGTCTGTATATTATACTTCATAGGCAATGTGAGGGATTTTTCTAGGGTAATTTTCACTCTCAGTGCATTAGTGTGAGACTCAACTCCCCCTATCCCGACCCCATGCAAGATAGGATGCCAGTATAGCTTGTCTAGGATCATACAGAACTCAACCCTGGGTCTGTGGTCTCCACAGTCCAGCACTCTTACTGGTTTACTGATTGTACTGATTCTTAGAAGGTATTGCTAAGCCAAACCGTGTTTTGTAAATGGCACACAGCAATTTACTGCATAAACTTCCTGTTAAATAAGTCTTGTGTAGTGTGAGTTTGGACTCCTGTATAAGATGTAACAGTCATCCACCCCCCTACCTGTCCCCCAGCCCCAGTTTAGCAGGCTCCTAAATTGCTGCTTCATGTGCTGGATTTTAAAGTGAGGTTGAACAGCATGAGAGCCAAGTGCCCATGCAGTGCCCTGGAATTCAAGAGCCACAATGGGAAATAAAGAGACATTTCTGAATGCCCTAGAACACACACAAATGCTGCTCAAGGGATGTAGCAATATGAAAATGCTGCTTCTCAAAGTGGCCCCAGCAACGGGCAAGCCTGCTACTTCTAGCCTCCTCTTTCCGCTGGAAGACACCTGGCCTGCCAATGAGCTTGGATACTTTAAATCTTTCCCTAAAACTTGCACTGTTGTGTGTCTGTGTTATCTAATCTCTGTGGGGACAGGCCCACGGCCATGGTTAAATTGCTCTGAAAAATGACTCTATCTCAGTGAGGATAGGCATGCATAAACACCAGGCTTCAGGAAACAAACGTGGGCCTCACGTGCATGCTGCCTCCCAGGGTGGTGTGGCGTCTGGCCCTGCTCGATGCATCAGGCTTTCTGTTCTCGGTGGGAGCCCACCCCAGCCCCAACCCAATGCCAGAGCTGTGCAAGGTGGCCAGGCTGTGTAATGGAAAGGTCTGTAATTCACACAAAAGCTAAGAAAGCAACAAAACAGAGCAGAGGAATGAAGGGCCTTCTAAATCCCCCTGCTGTGTGTTCTCATAGCAGCCTGGGCTTTTCTTCAATAGCATTTCCCACAATTATGATTAAGGAATTATTCCTATCCAGGCGAAGAGAAAAAAACAGCTTGGAAAAGACCCACATAAATACCATATGTCAACGCAGCACAGAACGGAGGTGCCGTTACAAGACACCGTGGAAACGATGGGCTACTCAAACAAAGGTATTGGGACCAATGACTTTCCTTAGAGAAGAAAAAAATTAGATTAGACCCCCATCTCACGCTACACACAAGAAGAAGTTCCAAATGGATGAATGACCTAAACATGAAACTGAAACACAAACTTCAACATTATTAGAAGAAAAGAGAGGAGAGTATCTTTACATTATCAGGTCTTAATCAAGGCAAGAAAATCGTAATCATAAAAGAAAAGATCAATTTGACCATAACAAAATTTTAAACTGTACAACAAAAAGCCCAAGAAATATACCCCATGATAAGCAATACACCCAGAAGAGGCATTTGCAACTTATACAACAGGTAAAGAATCAGTCCAAAAATCTATCAGGAACACACACAGACACACACACACACACAGACAAGCAATCCAATAGAAAAAAATAATAGGTAAAGAATTTGAACAGGTCTTTTACTGAATAGGAGACCCAAATATTCAGAAAACATGGTGTAATGTTCAATGCCCTCATGATCAGAGATATGCAGACAAAGACAGGTCTGAGCTCCATTCCACACCCAATCTGTTTGGCAAAAACTGAAAAGTCTAATAATACCAAGGACCGGTGGGAATGTGGAGAAACAAGAACTCTCAGATGTTGCTAATATAAATCAGTGCAAACGGCCTGTTTGGAAAACAGGCCAACACTAGCCAGTCAAGCTGCAAACGTTCACGCCCTGTGATTCAGCAATTCTACTTCTAGGAATACCTCCCACTGGGGTTCCAAGGGGAGGCACAGAAGACGATCCCCACACCTTGCCTGTGAGAGCAAAGGTTGGGGGTTGATACAAGCGCACGTAGTGATCAAAATGAATGAGCCAACTCAATGCTCTCACATGGATGGATTTGAAAAACAATACTGGGTGAAAAAATTGAGTTGCAGAATATCACCCATAGTTTGCTCTTTTATAGGTAAATGAAACACACAAGAAATCATCTATGATTTATGAACACATAGAGACAGCACAACGTAAAGACAGACTGGAAGACTATGACCCAAATTCAAGATCAAGGGCTGCCTGGAGGGAAGGAGGAAGGTCCACAGTGAGTGGCTACCAAGAGGGATTTTGGCTGCAGCTAAAATGTTTTACTTCTTTTATGTGAGAGAATCATGCAAATATGAGAAATTATCAACCTCTGTTAATTCTGGTGGATGGTTTTATATTCTCTGCATTTTTAATTATTGAAAAGGGCATGAGTCCCAAAGCAAATACAATTAAAATTCACCATGCTAAAAAAAAAAAAAAAAAATTCATCTTTGTCACTATTTTGGACCCACCTTCCCTGAGGGCACAGATTGGGTTTACCTTGTCTTTTGCTACAAATCCAGAGATCAGCACAGGCTGCTGGATGAATGGATCTTTTTAATGCATTGCCTCATTCAGTCTTCACAACTCCAAGAAGTGTCTCCATTGTACAGATGAGAAAACTGGCTGGGCAAGATTAAACCACTTGCCAGAGCTTTCAAGGCTAGCAGATCTTGAACTTGGGCCTAACTCTACAGACATGGGTAGCTAAAGTTCAGTGCAGGCAGGGAAGAAGGTGGGGGCAGAAGCTGTGAGTGGCAGGCATTGTTCTCAAGGCTTTGTATGCATTCACTTACAGTACAACCACCATGGGAGTAAAGTATTATTAACACGCAGAGGACAATGTGGAGAGGCAGAGGAAGGCTGGGCTGGGTTCTAAAGGGTTTGAAATACAAGGGCTAGGCAAGACACGTTCTCTATTTCCTGTGGGTCCTGCACTTGGCCAAAGGACTTCCCAGGCTTAGGCCAGGAGGGGGCCAGGAGCTAGTCCTGCTGGAGTCAAGACTAACAGGAAATGTGTACTTGGCTCAGCCAGGTCTGTACCTTCAGCACTCCCTCCCTGCTGTGGACAAGGCCACACAGGGTTCCCATCCAGCCTCCTGTGCTCACCACACGATACTATGAGTATCTCTGGTCACCACCTCTTTGCCCCATACAGGGTTGCTGTGTTGCCTTCTGCCAATTACTCATTTTCTCTGTGCCTTGGCTCCCTCCTGTGCAAAAATGGGAACTTTAGGGACAGAGCGTGGCAGAAGGGAGGCAGCTGAGAATGGACAAGACTAGATGGAGATAAGTGACCAGAGCTGGCCCCCACTGGGGGTGGATGGCACTCTTACAGCACCTGGGGAGCGTGGCCAAGTTGGGAGTCCATGGACACCACAGAAAGACCCTCTCACTGGGTGAGTAGGAGCACTCACCTGAGCAGGGGGTGCATGTGATTGGGAAAATGCTTGGACACGGTTGGAACAGATGGTGCACCTCAAACCCTGCATAGAGTAGATGCTCAATAAACATGTTTAACAAAACTAGTGTGAAGCTACTGGATAGGGGTGCACACAGCACAGGGGAGTGCCCAGGGGGACTCATGGGGGCAGTAAGTTGTGTGTCAGGGCCATAGGCAATTCATCTGCATTCATTTCCTCATCTGAGCCTCCGGTGGTCTTAAAGCAGTGAGGCTGCACCCACTGTTACCAGGGAGGCCAAGATCAGCATGGACAGAGATTTTGGTGCCAGGAGGAAGTACTAATGAAAGTGCCTAGCCTAGACCCTTTGACAATGTTAGCAGAGGACCTAAATACCAAACCAGGAAACCAAGGCAGAAACACCAGTGTAAGAAACAGGTCAACTCAATGGCAGTGGGGCAGAGAATAAAGCTCAGTATACACGCAGGTGGGTGTTTGGGGCTTCAATCAGGTGAGGACAAAAGGAGCACGTCCTGATGCCACTTGCTGATGAGGGTGAGCACCTGACCAGCTGCCTTGGTCAGAGACAGGACTAGGCCAGGTATGCAGGTGGGCCATGCTCAGGGCTCCATGGAGAGACCAGAAGAGAGGGAGAAAAACACAAGTGAGAACAAGGACCCTGGGGAAACCCAAGACGTCTGTACAGTGCAGCCACTGCAGGGCTGCCGTTGGCTCTCCTGGGAGTCACAGGCCACCCTGAGGGAATCCCCTGGCCTGCTTGTATTTGCAGAGAGAACAATGTTTTTTGGTGGTGATGATCATAATGATGATGAGGAGGAGGAAAACAGCTATCATTTACTGAGAGCTTGCTCTGTGCCAGGCATTGTTCTAAATGCTTTATGGTATCGACTTATTTAAATAGCAAAACAACCCTTTGAGGAAAATATTATCTTGCCGAGAAAGAAACTGAGGCACAAAGAGGTTAAGTAACACAGCTAGTAACTGTTAGAGCTGGGATATGAACTCTGTCATTTGGCTCTAAAGCCCATACTCCTAAGAGTCAGGCTGTAAAAACAGCTCACATTGGAACAGCACTTTAATATTTACAAAAGCCCATCTGCATTCATTTCCCATTTGAGCTTCAACTGGTCTTAAAGCAGGGATGCCATACCCACTGTTACCAGAGAAGCCAAGATCAGAATGGACAGAGATTTTGGTGCCAGGAGGAAGTACTAATGACAGTACCTTTCACTAGGAAGGTTTGCTAAAGGGAAACAAACCTTCCTAATGAAAAAGCCATGTCTCTATAGTTCTTAGTTTGACTCAGGAACTCTCTCATCTATTACTCTGTGACCCTGGGTAAGCTGGTTATCTTCTTGAAGGCTTTTTTTCCCCTCTGTCAAATGGGCCAACAAGGGCAATCTCGAAGAACTACTGGAAGAATCACGCAAGATGATGTGTGCATGTTACCTGGGGAAACCTGTTTGGGTGATGATTGATGGGGCTTCAGGAAGCATCCATGTGGAAATTCTTTGCAGAAGGGTTTGATGGAGCAGTTGGTTAAGGACCCTGGCTTTGGAGTTAGTGGTCATGGGTGGGAACCCAGGCACTGCTGGCTGTGCCATCTTAAGGAAGTTAACTCACCTCTCTGCACACTGTTTTTATCATTCATTCTTTTTTTTTGTTTTTGTTTTTGAGATGGAGTCTCACTCTGTTGCCCAGGCTGGAGTGCAGTGGTGCGATCTCGGCCCACTGCAAGCTCCGCCTCCCAGGTTCACACCATTCTCCTGCCTCAGCCTCCTGAGTAGCTGGGACTACAGGCGCCTGCCACCATCCCTGGCTAATTTTTTGTGTTTTTTGTAGAGTTGGGGTTTCACCGTGTTAGCCAGGATGGTCTCGATCTCCTGACCTCGTGATCTGCCCGTCTTGGCCTCCCAAAGCGCTGGGATTACAGGCATGACCCACTGCACCCAGCCTTTATCATTCATTCTACAAACATTTACTGAGAGCCTACTATGACATAGGCACCATGGCAGGTGTGCTTCTGTAAAGTGGGGTGGACTGTGGTGAAGATAGAGTGACATCACCCCCATGGAGGCCATCACACAATGCCTGACTGTGGTCAGTGCCACTGGGCAGCTGGCGTCTAAGTTCTAGAGCTCAGTGCCCATCAGTTACCAGGAACTCTTTGTCTCCTGGTTGCTGTGCAGTGCAGTAGTTGAAGTGAGGCTTTGGATTCCTATGGATTTTCATTTCCCTGGCTCTCCCTAGCACACCCCCACCCCCACCCTGCCTGATACAGGAAACCAGATCCAGAGATCACCTTCCTGCCCAGCTCAGCCTTCCTACTAGAAAGCACAGAGTGATTCTTCCCATGACCTCATTAGAAAACTACAAAAGATTTATTTTTAAGACAGGAGGTGATGATTGCAGTTTGCAGAGCAGAGTTCTCGTCCCTGACTGATCACCCCCAAGGCCCCTCAAGGAAGCGTTTCCTGAGTCACCTACGTATAAATCATTGGCTTCTTCAGCGGCGGCTGCAGAAGCACCGACAGAGGCCCTGCACCAGGTGTGGCCTGCACACCTGCCTCCTCCCTTCACCTCACCAGTGATGGTTCTGCTCCAAGACTCACCCTGAAGGAGCAAGCCTGCATCCTTCCCATCCTTCACCTTCTGCAGCCTTCAGCGTGTGCCCACTGTGAGTTTGCAAGGGGAACTTCCACAGGGCGGGAGAGCTTCCCCAGGTCAGAGAAACTCTTTACAAAATCGCCAGAAAAAGATTAATACAGCCTACTGTTTTACTTCATTTTAGTAAACATGTATTAAGTGCCAACTGTGTACACAACACCAGGCTTAGTTCAGCAATGGATGTGATTTCCCACCTCACAGAGCCTACAGTTGTGTAGAGGAGATGGGCTTTCATTGCAAATTAACTGATTGCTATGGAAACATGGAGTCCTATGGAAGGGGAGAACAGAGATGGAATTTGGTCAAAGATAGCCCTTCTGAGGGAGTGAGGCTGACATTGAGAGATTAGTCAAGGCTAGGCTGGCAAAGAGAGGGTCCCACTCTGAAAGACGAGAATGAACAAAGGCTCGGGAATGAGAACGATCTGGGCCCAGACACAGAACAGAACGACCTGCGTGGCTGGAGAAGGTGAATGAGAAGCAGAGGCAGGGAGGGAGAGGCAGGGCTGGATCACATAGTGTCTAGTGGGCCATGGTAAGGAGTCTGGGTTCTAGCTACTTCCTTCTAAGGGGCCTGGGTCAGATCCCCAGGAACAGTTAAGAGAGGGTCCCTGCGAAGGAAGGAGATAAAAACACAAAAGCACTGGGCTCTACTTCCAGGAAAACAGTTTGGCAGGCTGGGAGAGCAGGGAAGCCCAAAGAAGCTAGCTCACGGCAGGGACCCCGGCCTGCCACAACACCCAGGAAGGCAGGGATGCCCAGAGAAAGGGCATCTCCTTGTCATGGTGGGCATTTGTTAAGCACTTACTGTGTGCTCTGCACAGGGCTGGACAGCAACCATTCACTCACAAACAGCCCACAGCGTTGGTATTGCCAGTCTGTTTATAGGTGAGAAAACCGGTGCTCAGAGACAGTAAGTAACTTGCCTTCGACTGCACAGCTAACAAGCAGCAGAACCCAGATCTGAAGTTAGAAGATCCAGTTCCAGAAACTGAGCACCCTTTGTTGGTCCCAAGTGTTCCTGAGAAACTATTGAATGCTATGCACCTTCTCCCTAGAAAATGCACACACCCCATCACACACATACACACGCATACACATACACCATCACACACAGGTGCAGGAGCCTCAGAGGCCTCTATGAAGCAGAGCCCTGAACCTTGGGCTAAGAATGCCTGGCTAAGGAGCCACTACCAACATGCACACTGGGATTCACAAAATTGACACTCAGGACCTCTGCAGTTGAAACCGTCAAACTAGGTTATTTTCTCATTATATGAAAGGAAGACAGTGGCTTAAATAGAGAAGACCTAGGTTAAAGTCTGGGGTCCACATGTGTGCTCTTAGGGAATTCATTTTGCCTCTCTAAGTCTTGAGGTCTCCACCTGTAGAATTCAGGTGATCATTCCCTTACAGTAGGTGGGGAGGTGGAAGGATCAAATGTGTTTAAGTGTTAGTCACTGTTATGCTCATTCCCTCTACAAGTGCTCTGTGTTTTGGCCAAGCTGGTTTACCCACTCTCTCCCCAAAAAGACCCCCCTTCTAAATCAGCCTCCCTTACAAGAGGTGGTCCGGCCTGATGATTAGGATCCCAACTGTGGTGCCAGAATGCACATAATTGGAATTCAAATCCAGCAGCATCACTTTACACACTGTGTGAACTCAAACAACTTACCTAACTCCTCTGTGCCCCAGCTTCCTCATCTATAAAGCAGCAATATTGATGGCACCCAATTCACTGGATTGCCTGAGGGTTCAATAAAATATTTTATTTTATTTTTATTTTTGAGGCGGAGTCTCGCTCTGTCACCTAGGCTAGAGTGCAGCAGTGTGATCTTGGCTCACTGCAACCTCCATCTCCCAGGTTCAAGCGATTCTCCTGCCTCAGCCTCCCAAGTAGCTGGGATTACAGGCACATGCCACCACACCCAGCTAATTTTTGCCTTTTTAATAGAGACAGGGTTTTGCCATGTTGGCCAGGCTAGTCTCAAACTCCTGACCTCAGGTGATCCACCCACTTTGGCCTCCCAAAGTGCTGAGATTACAGGCATGAGCCACTGCACCTGGCCGAGTTCAATAAATTAATTCATGGAAAGTGCTTATAGCCCTGTGAAGCCCATGGTATGTGTTATGTAAGTTAAACTATCACCACTCCTCACAACTTTTTCCAAATTCCAATCTCTTTCTTTTCAATCATTTTTTAAAATCCCACTTTCTCTGAGGAACAGCCTCCAAGATCATCAGTCTGTGTCCTCTCCCTCCACCCTCAGTAGTACCATGTCAGCACTAACCAGTATTGTTGGTTTTATCTTTTCCTGTTTACCTGTCTTATCCCTGCAGTCAAGTTCTCAGAGGGCAGAAACCAGTACTGACACTGCCTCCTACCTCTTCCTAGAACCTGGTACATCCTAATAATTCAGTGAGTATTTTTTGGCTTGTTTAATAAGAGTTGATTGAAAGTGGCAAGCACACACAAACGTGTACCACCTTCCCCGAAGAGAGGATGTCATAGAGGAAACAGCATAGGCTTTGGAATCAGGCTAACCTGTTAGAATCCAGGCTCCCTCACTCACAGGCTAGGTGGCCTTGGGCAAGTTATTAAGTATCTAAGGCTATTCTCTCATCCATAAAAGGAAGATAATAATATCTACCTCCTAGGATTGGTGGGAGCATTAAATACAATAAGATACACTATAGGTAAACCGCACAGTAGGTACTTTTTAAAAAAGTCACATAGGTTCATTGCCTATGAGCTGTGTGGTAGAAGTCTCACTGTGGTAGCTGATCTCTGAAGAGGGTCCCAAATGGACCACCCCTCTCAGTGCCATGCCCTTGTTTAGTCTCCTCCCACACTGAAATCTAGCCAGAACTTTGGCCAGAGAATCAGGCATGGCAGCTTCTGCTTTTGAGCTTTTGGAAGCCCTGAATACCATTTAAGAAGTCCAATTTTTGTGCTGAAAGACCATGCAGAGAGAACACATGGAAAGACATCATGGAAAGGCTTTGGGAAGAGGAAGTGGTTTTCTGTCAGGGAAGGAGAACAGACAGATACATACACACACACACACACACACACACACACACACACACAAACACACACACATGCCCCAGCATCCCACCTGACCTCACACTTGCAACCATCTTCCACCAAGGCACCAGACATTTTAGGGAGTCATCCTAGATATCCCAGTCCAGTAGAGCCCCCCGGCTATCTGTAGCCCCAGCTGACGTTGTTGGAGCAGAAGAACCATCCAGCTGAGCTCAGTCAACACTCGGAATTTGTGGGATAAGATGGTTGTTGTTTTTTTAAGTTACTATGTTTGGGTTGGTTTGTTTCACAGAAATTAATAACCAAAATAGTCACTCTGGACAGGAGTGTTGGAGGAGGCCAAATCCAGAAATTGAGCTGCCCATGCCAGTTTCAGAACCTCTTGTTGGGGGCAGAATGTCACTGTGGGGAAGTGTGTAGGCTCAGGTGTCAGACTGTCCGGCTCTATCATTTATAAGCTCTATCATTTATGATCCTTGGGGAGTATTGCGGCTTATACCTCAGTTTTCCTACCTGTAAACTAAGATGATAGTGAGCTTAAATGAGATAAAGCATGCAATATGCCTAGTACATAAGCATTAAAAATGTTTAGCTATTATGGGGGAGAGACTAGAGGAAGTAGGTGGTTACAGCTTGAGTCACATTGCTTCTTTAAAGAGTTTTTGTTTAATTTTCTAAAATTTCTTAAACATTGTTGCAAATTTGTTGAGGTGAATCTCATAGCCTCTGGCTCCATTTTCCAACCTCAAGTATTCAAAATAAGCTTGTGATCTTTGAAGTACAGAAGTGCAGTCCCAATTACCACAGGTTAACACTCACCTGCAGCTCATATCTATTTCTTTGAAAAAGGAAATTAAAAAGTTGAACTCTGAGTTTTAATGTTGGTTCACTCCAAAAGGAAAAATGTAAACTTGATGCTTTTCCTCTGAGGAACAGAGAACACAAAATCTAAGCAAACTCATTTGATCTTTGTTAAATTAATGTATCCATGGAAGAGTTGAAGAGGAAACCCTGGCTCCTGATAACCATCATCATCATTAACAACTTGACCATGTTCATTATTCGTCTTTGAGCATTTCCTACGTGTAAGACACTGTGCAAACCCTTTACATCTATTAGCACAGCCCTAGGTCAATTCAGAATACAAAGGGCAGGGAAGCAAGGAACACCCAACGGAGACCTGCTGGTGCTGTGCAGATGCCACTTGCCAGGCCCCTGCATGGGCCTTCAAGGGCTCCAGGATGGCTGGCCCAGACCTCCAGCAGGAGGGGAAGAGGGGAGAGAGAGAGAGAGGAAGAGGGAAGAAGAAAGGGTGGGAGTAGGAGGGGAATGAGGAGGAAAAGGAAGATGAAGAGGAGGAAGGAAAGAAGGAGGAGGAAGAGGGGAGAAGAAGATGAGGAGAAGGGGAGGAAAAGGAGGGGGAAGAGGAGGAGAAAATGGTAGAAAGAGAAAGACAAGGAAGCAGGGAGAAAGAGAGGAGAGGAAAAGAAGAAGGAGGCAGATAATAAAGAATAGAAGGCAGAATTAGGAAGAGGAGGAGGAAAAAGAAAGGGAGGAGAAGGAAGGAGGAGAAGGAGAAGGAAAGAGAAGGCAGAGAAGGGAGAAAGAAAGAAGAAGGGCCGGGTGCGGTGGCTCATGCCTGTAATCCCAGCACTTTGGGAGTCTGAGGTGAGCAGATCACCTGAGATCAGGAGTTCGAGGCTAGCCTGGGCAACATGGTGAAACATCGTCTCTACTAAAAATACAAAAATTAGCAGGTGTGGTGGCGGGAGCCTATAATCCCAGCTACTCGGAAGGCTGAGGCAGGAGAATCACTTGAACCTGAGAGGCAGAGGTTGCAGTGAGCCAAGATTGTGCCACTGCACTCCAGCCTGGGCAACAGAGCGAGACTCTGTCTCAAAAAAAAAAAAAAAAAAGAAGAAGAAGAAGAAGAAGAGGAGAAAAGAGAAGGAGAGGAGTAGGAGGAGGGGAAGCAGGAAGATGAGGGAGGAGGAGTCTTCACTATTTGGTGGAATAAGGACCAATCTCATGAAAAAGTCAACAAAGCTCCTGTATGGGACCTGCATTAATTTGAATTAATTGCACAAGTCAAAAACTACCAAGTCCCAGATGGCAGGGGCAGGTGTCCTGGGCTGTTCTGAGGAAGGAGTCACTGCTATGGCCTGGTGGTCTAGGAAGGTCCCAGGGACGAGATGTACTTAACCTAGCATGCTGCCTGGCACAGAGCAATTGCTTTAAGATACTGTTCAACAAATGAATGAATAAACTCAAAAATGAGACAACTACTCTGCCCCTCTTCTTTGCAGTACCTGGAACACTTGTTACCATATCAATATTACATCTGGTGATTTGTTTAACATCTGTCTTCCCCACTGAACAGTCATCTACAAGCTGGCAAAGACTTTGCCTGGATTGCCACTGCTGAGCCCTCAGCACCTAGCCCAGCACTTGACACATAGCAGTCCCTCAACAAAAATTCACTGACTTAGGTGTAGGCTGATCAAGGACACCTACTGCCTACTACCAAGAGGGGCAAAAGAGACTTACCCGCAGGAGCAGGCTCAAGGGTGGGGGGAGAATGTTTATAGTGGATTTAGAATGCAGCTGACTTGGCCAGGCACAGTGGCTCACGCCTGTAATCCCAGCAATTTGGGAGGCTGAGGCGGGTGGATCACCTGAGGTCAGGAGTTCGAGACCAGCCTGGGCAACATGGTGAAACCCTGTCTCTACTAAAAATACAAAAATTAGCTGGGCGTGGTGGCAGGTGCCTGTAATCCCAGCTACTCAGGAGGCTGAGGCAGGAGAATCACTTGAACCCAGGAGGTGGAGGTTGCAGTGAGCCAAGATCACGCCACTGCACTCCAGCTTGGGCAATAAGAGCGAAACTCTGTCTCAAAAAAAAAAAAAAAAGAATGTAGCTGACTGTCTGATCCACACCATCTTCTTGCAAGCATGCGCACACATACACACACACACACACACACACACACACACACACTTTCCATTTCCTTCGACTTCTCGGCCTCCCACCCAGGAAAGCCCAGGCCACTGTGACCTATCAAGGACATCACCATGACATGACATAATTAGAAAGCTGTGTGTGGCAGCTGCAGGAAAAAGATGTAACACAGAAAGGCTGAACAAGACCAAGCAGCCAGCCGCTCAGGGACACCCACCCTGGTGTGCTCTATAACAAAGGCCAAGGGAATGATCAGTCAGGGCTGTGGGCTCACTAGGCACAGGCTGACTCAGGACAGAATGGGTGGCAGATACTCTTTTTAACTCTAGAAAAGTCACCCAAAATCCCTGCAGATCCTGAAATGCTTCCTCCAGGCCAATGTCATTATCCCACTGGTAATAAAACACCTCCCTTCTGTTGACGGCTTTACAGTTATAAAGGGCTTTTATCTACGTAATCTCATTTGAAGAGTCATTCCGTAACAAAAATTTTTGAGTATATACTATATGCCAAGCTCTGTGCTATGCACTGGGGATACAGCTACAGACAAGACAGCAAGATGCCTGCCCTCACTGAGGCATGTAAGGATGGTTATTTGTCAAGAATCCCACAAGCAAATATCAACTGACAACTGATTCATGACAAGGGAGAGGAATATAATCTTCTGTAGCCCTATCAGATTGGAAACCTTGAACTAGCCTCGTTAGGCAGGTAGGATGATTGATTGAGGCCTGAAGGAGGAATGGAGTCTACTAGGTAAAAGGTAGAGAGGTGAGGAAGAGTATTCCAGCAGAGGTAAGTGCCAGGGCAAAGGCCCTGAGGCAGGAGAGAACAGCTGTGAAGGATGAAAATAAGGTAAGTCTAGTAAGGCCTCATTTTCACAGATGAGGAACTAACCCAGAGAACCCTGGGTCAAGGTCACACAACAGGAGCTGGACCAGAAACCAGACTTCTCACTCAAACCCAGGTTTTGTGAAACTCCACACAATCCTCAAAGTTCCAGGGTTCCCTTTCCCAGGCCTGCTGTGGTCCTGGCTCAGGCTAGGCTGGGCATGTCGGTGAGGATGGCAGGAGGGTGGGGGCAGGGCTGTTCTCACAAGGTCGTCCAGGCCAGCGAGGAGCAGGAAATGCCAGAGAACGCCCATTCTCATAAGACTGCCCAACTTGAGTCAGGGCTTGGGGGGGTGCACGTAGCTGTTGGGCCCCATAAGCCATCATACTGGCAGAGCTGCTGTGATTGGCAGCTCCAGGGGGCCTGGGCAAGGACCTAGGTGGGAGCTTTTCCAAGGAACATCTCAGCCCTGCCAGGCAGAGCACTGCTGAGTCAGCAAGCACCACACCTCGGGAAGGCTTCTCGGAACCTCACCCCAGCCAGCAGGAAGGAAGGACAGGCCACCCCCAACCCTGACGATCCCAGTTAAGTCAGCCTGTCATCAATTACAATCAAATAACTAATATTTGTCATGTAATGGGAGACCACACCAGGCACTGCTCTCAGCAGGCAATGCAAATGTGTGTAAGTCAGCAGTTTGTCACCCTTGGGTGTGTTGACCTACACACCTTTGCATTGCCTGCTTACAGCAGATCCCAACACCTTGCTTTATTTTCATCACAGCACTCATCACTGCTGGAAAGTATTCCAAGTGTTGACTTGTCTATGTCCAGCCCACAAGAAGGCAAACTCCATGAGGACAGAGCCTGTTCGTGTCTGTCTTCTCACTGCTGCATCCCCAGCACCTGTCACTTACTCAATACCTAAATGTGGGATGAGGAGACAATAAAAAGAATGAATGAATGGCTGCCTTCGAGGAAAGAAAAAGCTAGATCGGGCTTATTTTCATTGCTCAGTGAATGGGCATCAGAGTCTAAATCCAGTCCAGGGAGAAGTGCTGAACTAAGCCCTAGTATGAGGACGGGCAGAAGTGCAAGCAATCAACAGATATGCGAAGAAAAAGCTACATGACATGGTGTGACGGGGCTGAGAATGCCAGAAAGTCCAAGCTATCGCCTTGGTTTCTGGTTATAACCCCTGATTCCAGAGTGATCTTTATAAAATTGCTCAGTCAGCAATGCCTCCTGCAGTGGAGGCTGTAGGGCTTCCTTGCAAGCCTTGCCGGCAGGTTCAAGGGCCTCCTGCTGAGTCTCTTCCCAGGAACTGCTCAGCCTAAGGAAGGCCTCTCTCAAGGTCACACCCGCTCCTGGGGCAGCTGTATCCAATGACTAGTTGGTGTGGGGGTACAAAGACCTGACCCCCTTGTCTGGACTGGGGACAACTCTGGAGAGCTATTCCCAGGGGATGTACTGAGGCCTCTGTTGTGAGTATATCACAGCTCAACTTCTCTCTCTGTCCAGTTCTGCATCCCTGAGTTAACCCCAAAGACAATCCCCAATAAGTTTCCTTCGGGCACCTCTTAGAGTCTCTTTTCCAGGAAACTCAACCTACGACACCTGCCAAGATGCACTTAGGGAACAAAGAAACCCAACCAGGGTCTCCATTCTGGGCCAATGCCACTGGCTCTCTCAGCTAACCTATTTTTCCTTCTGCTGATATTTGAGGAGGCTTCTTGCTCCTCGTTAGAAATGGTCACATACTGGTTAACGACATTGTTGGCTGTGGAGCCAGGCTGCTTGAGTTGGAACCCCAACCACACCCCTCCTAGCTACATGGCCCTAAGCAGGTCTTTTCTGCTTCCTTATTTGTAAAATTGGTTTCTACCTCCCTGGATGTTGAGAATCACACACATCAATACATAGGAAATCTTTGGAACATGACTTGGTGCTCAGCAAATGTCCCAGACATGTGAGTTCTCAGTTACTGCCATTTTTGCAAGGAGCACGCTTGTTTCCTCACTCCCATAGAGACTGCAGGTGTGTGGGTCTGGAGCCCAGCATGCTCAGCACACCTGGGCCGGATGCTCATTACTGGGTGGATGGATAGGTGGATGCCTGCACACCTGGGCGCTTGGAGCCATGCTTGGATGGGTGCTGTCTTGCTGTTCTATCTTACACAGCTCCCTGGAAGCTTTCACAATGAAAGGCCCTGAGCAGATGGAAGACCCTGTGATTATCTGAACTGTCTGCAATTTGCTTATCACTAATTCAGTTCACCTGGGGACACACACCATTTCCATAAATCAGCCAACCACAATAGGCCCACCCAAGCAAAGCATAAAGATGACAATAATAATCATGTGTATTTATGCAGTGCCTTTGTTCTGCAAAGCTCCAAACAGTCGACAATCATTATCTCATTAATCCTGCAGCCATCTCTGAAAGGTAGGCAGAGAACAGGCGCCTGTCCCCTTGAATAGGCAGGAAAGCAACACTGATAATAACTGTGAACACTTATTGACCACTTACTATGTGCTGGACTCTATTTAAGGGCTTTATAAATGTTAACTCACTTAGAACTCTGTAAGGTAGTTGCTATGGTTATCCTCATTTTACAGAAGAGAAAACCGGAATCTAGAGAGGTTAAGGAATCTACCCAGGGTCACCTGGCTGGCAAGGAGTGGAAGCAGGATTCCACCCCAGGCAGCCTGTCTCTGGGACCTTCTGGCTTCACCTCTACACCAGGCTGCCTCTCAAAATGCGGCACACACACAGACAACAGAGGCAAATGCTAAACTCAGGGCTGTGGGTGGAAGGCACTGAGTGGTCTCTGGCCAGCCATACCTGCAGGGCAAATGGGTAAGGCCTATAGGCCTGGCTTCTGGAGTGGGTCTGCACCCTAAATTTGGTACTCACTAGCTGGCCAATCTTGCCCCAAAACGAAGAGCTGCAAAGTAAGCTGCTGCAGTCATTTGGCTCTTAAGCTGGAATGATCCTCAGAGTGGGCCTTGACATGGGGTCAGGGAGAATATAAGGGAACTAGAAGCAATGAAGGGCGAAGGTGCCATTGAGGAGGTGAGGGGACACAGCAGGGGCACCGACAAGCCCATTTTCTTCTTCATGTCAAGGACCCTCCTACCCTGCAGTGAGTCCAGGCAGCAGCTACGAGGATTTTTTCTTTTAATTATTATTATACTTTAAGTTCTGGGATACACGTGCAGAACATGCAGGTTTGTTACATAGGTATACACATGCCATGGTGGTTTGTTGCACCCCTCAACCCATCACCTACATTAGGTATTTCTCCTAATGCTATCCCTCCCCTAGCCCTCCACCCCACAACAGGCCCCAGTGTGTGATGTTCCCCTCCCTGTGTCCATGTGTTCTCATTGTTCAACTCCCACTTATGAGTGAGGACATGCAGTGTTTGGTTTTCTGTTCGTTTGTTAGTTTGCTGAGGATGATGGTTTCCAGCTTCATCCGTGTCCCTGCAAAGGACATGAACTCATCCTTTTTTATGGCTGAACCCTATAGTCTCAGCCCAAAATCTCCTTAAGCTGATAAGCAAGTTCAGCAAAGTCTCAGGATACAAAATCAATGTGCAAAAATCACAAGCATTCCTATACACCAATAATAGACAAACAGAGAGCAAAATCAAGAGTAAACTCCCATTCACAATTGCTACAAAGAGGATCTTTTAAAAAGGAGCCAAATCCCACCACACGTAGAAACATCTAGTGGCTTTGCACCCAAACCCCTTCCCTTGACAGACAAGCCCTGTGTGCCAGGTCCTGGCCCATCTCTCCTAAAGCCTCCCTCCCCTGGGCCCACTATATGGCAAACACACTTATCCTTGCAGGCCTTCGAAAGCATCCAAACTCATTCCTAGTAAGTCACCTCCTCCAGGGGGCCCTTATGGAATGCCCAACCTGAGGGAGTCCCATCACCTTTATACATCCCCACTCTAATTCTCTTCTTGGTCTTATTGCTGGCCAATTTGTTCTTGTTAATTTATTTCTTCATTTATTGTTTTTTTCTGCCCTAATTAGAATGCAAGCTCCATGGTTTAGGTATGATTTGGTCACGACTGTATCTCCAGCCTGGAGACCATAGGGGGCTCAATAAACATTTGTTGAATGAGTTATAATAAATTGCACATATAGAGTAGTTATTACATGCCAAGAGCTATCTCTGCGATTTACATAAATTAGCTCATTTAATCCTCCCAATGCCCTGCTGAGGCTGATCCTATTATCATCCCCATTTTACAGCTGAGGGAGCTGAGGCAGGAGAGGTTAAATAACTGCAAAGTCACAGAGCTGACAAATAACAGAGCCAGGATGCAAATCCAGAGGTCTGGCCTCTTAGTCCATGCTCCACACACCACACCATGCTGCAGTCAGAATGGTTCCCCCTGCCCTTAGGATACAGCCCCAACTCCTGAAGACAATGTGGAAGTGTTTGATGAACAGATCTAATCTCCTTTCCAGCCTCATCCATTGCCATTAATTCCCTGACACTGCCCAGCCCTGAGGAAGACGCTGCCCTCTCTAGTCTCTTGTATCTGCCCTTGCTGTTCCTACCCGGAGCTCTCCTCTTTCTTGGCCAACTCCTTCCTCAGCCTTTGGGTGCCAGTGTAGGCAGCCCTTCATTAGGAAGCCCCTTTGCATACCTCAGGCTGGATCAGATGCCCACTTGGCATCCCCAGATTACTCTGCCCTTGCCCTAACCCTGTACACAGCACACTCTTGTGGGGCATGTGTGTTCACCTGTCTGCAGAGGCTCCACATCCATTCATTTGTTTCAGCAAGTATTTAGCACATGCCCCTGAGTGCCCAGCCTGCACTTCTAGGTGCTGGGGAGACAGTAGTGGGCAAACCCAAGTCTCCACCTATGCAGACCTATCTTTCTAATAGAGGAAACAGACCATAAACAAAAATGCAATATAATATCAGGGAGAATGATGAAGACAAAGGCAGAATAGAGGAAAAGAGAGTAATGATGGGGGGTGGGTAGTGTAGACAGAATGGTCAGGAACAGCTATGCATTCATTAAACCAGTGGTCTCCAAACAGTTTTGATCACACATCCCTACCATTCTTATATATACCTCTCTGATATGTGACTATATATTTAATTATAGATTATACCAAACCTATAACTGAATATATAGTATAATATTAGAGACATATACATAGCATATATAACATTGTATATAATATACTGCTGTACTACCATATAATATAGGTCATTATAAAATATACATAAAGTATATAAATACTAAAAGGATGAGAAAAATGTTCTAAAACATTCCTCTTGCCCTTTCGTGCACATTCACGCATGTACCCTGTTTTAGAGACTATTGTGACAGAATGGCAGCTCAGCTCAGGGTTAAAAAGAAAAATGCAGACAAAGAAACAAAGCCACTCCCTGATCCTTGCTAATTACACTCAGCAGGCACCCCAAAATAATTTGTCAAATGACTCGGCATGGGGTTCAGTAGATGCTAGGTAAATCAGCCTTAGACAGGTCATTTCCTAATTCTTGGTGTCAGTTTCCCCATCTGTAAATACAGGGCGTGGTCCTCTTTCAGACCACACAGAAACAAAAACCTAGGTTCAGGTTCACTCAGCCTGTTCCCTGACCAAGAAGGGGCCAACTCAGTCATGTTGGGACACGCAGCCAAGTTCTGGTGTGGGCGGGGCTTTCATCTGCTGGCTTTTTATTGATTTTTACTGGTTTACATGGAAGGAAAAGAATGCAAACAAAGAAACAAAGGCACTCCGTCCCTAATCCCAGCAAATTATACAGAGATTCAGGAGAGTAATGAAAACCATAAAGCATGCTCTGAAATAAGAGCTCCCAATCTTCCATAATCTTCGGTGATAAAACGCAAAGCAGCAGGCCAGTGACACCCATTCGTAAACACTGGTTCTGTTTACCAGCGCTCAGTTCAGAACACGTTTGCTGGTGCTGAGAACCTCTACTGCTGTACTGCACCCCGGGAGTTAAGGGCAGGTCTTTTAAGGGTCACAGACGAATCACAGCATCGCGCAATGCCAGGGCTGCAAGGGGCCTGAGAATCTGTTCCGCTGGAAGGTGGATAGATGGCTGCAGGTCTGCTTTCCTTCTGAACTGCAGCCAGACACAACACTGTGAGGTGTTGGGGTGAATATAAGCCCATCGTTCAGTTAAGGAACTTGAGCCCAGATAAATCAACCTGATCCAAGGACATGGAGCAAGGAGTGGAGCCGAGATTCAAAGCTAAGGCTTCCTGGCAGCTTGTCCAACTGACCCTTGTTCTTCTAGAGGGCTCTGTAAGCTCCTCAAGGCTGAGTCAGTCTTTGTCATCTCTCTGTTTCCAACTGTCCCAGCACTAGGCTTTGCTGGTAGTGGGTAATGATTAATATTGAGGAAGGAAGAAAAGGAATGAGAGAGGATGGGATGTGGGGGATACTCAATTTGTGGCTGGTGTATTGGTCCATTTTCATACTGCTATGAAGAAATACCTGAGACTGGGTAATTTATAAAGAAAAGGAGGTTTAATGGATTCACAGTTCCACATGGCTAGGGAAGCCTCACAATCATGGTGGAAGGTAAAGGAGGAGCAAAGGCACGTCTTACACGGCGGCAGGCAAGAGAGTGTGTGCAGGGAAACTGCCCTTTATAAAACCATCAGATCTCGTGAGACTTCTTCTCTATCACAAGAACAGCACAGGAAAAACCCACCCCCATGATTCAATTACCTCCCACCAGGTCCCTCCCATGACACGTGGGGATTATGGGAGCTACAATTCTAGATAAGATTTAGGTGGGGACACAGACAAACCCTATCAACTGGTCTACTAACACCAAGAGCAATGCCAACAACCAGGACCATTTATGGAGCCCTTACTCTGCACCAGGTGGAGCAATGTGTGCTTTAAATGCAATGTCTCACCTACTTTTCCACCAACCCTATGGGAGTTTACTATTATCCCAATTATATAGAAGGGCAAAGGGAGGCTCAGAGAGGTTCAGTAAATTGCCTAAGGTCATTCAGCAGGTACATGGTAAGTCCAGGATGTCAACTTTGATGGCTCTGGTGCTTAACCACTACACCACACTGCCTGCTGCTGTGAGCAAAAATCAGGCTTCTTAAATTCCTTCTGGCACCATCTGTTACTCTGTGCTACAAAAGCAGGGGTGGCTCTCACATCAGATGCAGGCAGAATCCCAGTGACTCCTATTTTACAGCCTCTTAGGGAACCCCAATGCTTGTCCACAGGGCATGGCATGCAGCCAAAGACCCATCAGGGGACGTTTTCACAAGTGACAGAAGATCCATTCTTAGTCCCAAAGACAGAGGGAGCCAGCACAGTTGTAGGTTTGGGCATGAACAGTCAGGATGCGTTGTGACAAGGGAAACAGGGAAGGCGAGCCAGTGTGTGGAGGCAGAACTAGACAGCTCAAGGGGAATGAGGGCCGTAAGGGGACAAGGTGAGAGCCAAAAACATGAACTGGTGGGCTTCTCCAGGTGGAGGGGACTAAGAGGATGGGGTGCATTGTTGGACAGCCCTAGCTCCCCTACTTACTTGCTATAAGACCTTGGACAAATTACCTATGCTCCCAGAGCCTCAGATCCTCATGTATAAAATAGGACAGTATCTGCCTTATAGAGTTGTTATAAGGATGAAATACCATAGTGTACATAAATTGCTTTAAGCGCAGGTCCTGGCATATGGTGAGTGCTCAATAATTAATAGCAATTTGTGGTGGCAGTGGTGCAGTCATTGCCAAATGATGTGCAAAGTAAGGGGATGAGCAGGGAAGATGCCAGGAGGAAGCAATCCCATCATCCCCCAATATTTAAGTGACTTGAGGTTAAGAGACCATGTCTGCCTATAGCCAAGCCAAAGAAAGTGGTTAAGGGACATGCCCAAGGTTGAGTCACAAGTGTTTTCTGGACAGGGACCACAGCTGAATCATCTAATATTCCAGCCGTTGGCATTGGCTTTGCACAAAGGAAGCACTCCACTGGTGTTTGTGAAATTTACACATGGCTTGGTCTCCCGAAGTCCATAATGAGATTATGTTCCCCACTTTTTCGCTTTGCATGGTTCCCTTTTACTTCCCTACCAGATGATTCACTTATCTTCTTCCCACCCTTCTTGAGCGTCAAGTGTGTGTTGTGGTCCTTCTGGAAACTACGAGGGGATTAAAACAAGTCCAGAATGGGGCTGTCATTGAAGCAACCAGACTTAAACATTATTTGGCCACATCCTACTGCCTTTATTACATTTGGCCACATCCCACTGCCTTCCCAAAACAAGGTCTTCCTCTTGGCTGTGTGAGCTGTGTGCAATGTTAATCCCATTTCTGCCTTTCTCATTCCCAAACCATCCATCTTCAACAGGCATTTGCCAGAAATGACCATGGTGTATGTTTACAGTAGCTCAGCAAAGAGTTATTCGTCTAACCAGAAAACATCACAACTCAGAACCACAATGAGGAGCTAGATTGACAGTCACCTCCAAGCACATGGTCACCTCCAGCACATGGGACCCTCTAAGACCCACAGGGATCCAGGGGAGATGTCCCTGAGGCAAGTTGGGATTCCCAAGAAGCAAATAAGGAGATGGAGATGAGCATAAACGGAGTATACATGGGACACACACACACACACACACACACACACACACACACTCTTGCTCTCTCTCTCTCTCTCTCTCAAGGAAGTGTTCTTGGGCTCAACCCCAGTGGCAGGGAAGGGTGAGAAGCAAAACCGGACAGAGGGAGAAGTTAGACTGTGATGCAGTCTCAACAGAGGCCTCAGGCCATTCTGGTGGGTGTTAGCAAGCTAGGATGATGCTTCAGCGCTGTCCTAAATTGGTGCATGGGGGCTGGGCTTTTATACCCCTACATCAATCAGTCCCTGGACATGGGCTGCCTAGGGAGAGGGGTGAGACTTTGGCCCAGAAGCTCTCTCAAACAAGGTCAACTTCCAAAGCAGACAGAAAGCTGAGAGCTGCGCCAGCAGCACTCCCCTCAGCTGTGGGGGAGGCCCTTCAGTCCTGAAGGGGTATCTGAGCAGTGCATCTCCATGTCCAAGACAGTCCAGGTAGTAGCCACTGACGCTTTTTCTTCATTGAAAAGCAGAAAAACACACAGCAGTGGTGAGATGTTGGACTCTGGACTCAGACGGGCCTGGGCTCAAATGGAGAATCTGCCCCTTATACCTCTGGGCCCCTCACCTGAACAACAGGGCTGCTGAGAGCACCTTGCACATTCAGCGCGAGGGTTGTAGGGTTGAATAAAACAGCATGTGTACCTGGCATATAGTAATCACTCAATAAAAGGCAGCTCTGATCATTATTACATAACTCAGAATGAAGGAGAAAACTGTTTGCTCTGGGCCACAGCAGTAGTACTTGTTTCTCGGTGCTGAGAACCTCTACTGCTGTATTGCACCCCGGGAGTTAAGGGCAGGTCTTTTAAGGGTCACAGACGAATCACAGCATCGCGCAATGCCAGGGCTGCAAGGGGCCTGAGAATCTGTTCCGCTGGAAGGTGGATAGATGGCTGCAGGTCTGCTTTCCTTCTGAACTGCAGCCAGACACAACACTGTGAGGTGTTAGGGTGAATATAAGCCCATTGTTCAGTTAAGGAACTTGAGCCCAGATAAATCAACCTGATCCAGAGACATGGAGCAAGGAGTTTGCAGCATAAATGCAAATTCATTCATTCATCCATTCATCAAATATATACTCAAGGCCTACAATTATGTGCTGGGAACAGTTCTGGGGACCAGAGACGCAGTGGTGACAAAACAGAGAAAGCCTGGCCCTCCTGGAGTTGAGTGAAACAAAAGAACCAAATATGTTTGTAATACATACCCTGTGAAGGAAAATATGGCCAGATGAGATGACAGAAGGGGATGGCTGGAGCGCAGGGTGGTGAGGGAGGGAGAGGAGGGCATCTTCGAGGAGGGGAGCAAATACCAGACAGAAGTGAGGACGGGGGCCATGGGGTTGTCTAGGGGACACCATCCTGGTAGAAGGAACCGCAAGGGCAAAAGCTGAAGCTGAGAGTTGCTGGTCTTATTCAAGGAATAGCAAAAAGGGCCCTGGGCCTGGAGAGTGACAAATAAGAGATGGCGCATGGGGAAGTGGGCTGGAAAAGCAGCCCAGGCTAGGCAGGATGGTACACAGCCTCAGTCGAGGCAGGAACCCTGGATTCGACTCCCAAGGTGATGGGAGGGAAGCCTCTGCAGGTTTGAATAGGAGACACAGGTGAAGGGTATAGGATTCCTAGGGCAGGAAGAGAAGTCCATAAAGAACAATTGTCCAGCTGGGAAGAGGGCAGTGGAGGTGGAAGGGAGGGGATCACAGAAACCAAGTAGTAAGGAACCTCAGAGACCATCTGGCCCAGGTCTGGCCTCCAGCAGGTAAGTAACGAACATCACTGTGCTACAGACCAGGAACCTGAGCCCAGAAACTTCGCGCTACCTGCTAAGGGCTCCACAGCCAGTGAGAGGTAGAACGGCACCGGGCCCCCGGTCTTCTCCCCTGGAGGTGCCCCACTGGCCCACAGGGAGGAGAGGGCTTTGGTTTTGTTGCTGCTGTTTCTGCTGTCATTTTATTTATTTTTATTTATGATGATGATGATGATGATGATGATGATGATGATGATGATGATTTCTGACACCAGGTCTCACTCTGGTCCTTCAAGCTAGAGTGCAGCGGCACAATCTTGGCTCACTGCAGCCTTAATCTCCCGGGCTAAGGTGATCCTTCCACCTCAACCTCCTGGGTAGCCAGGATCACAGGCACATGTCACCACACCTGGCTAATGTTTTGTATTTTTAGTAGAGACAAGGTCTCGCCATGTTGCCCAGGCTGGTCTCAAATTTCTGGGTTCAAGTGATCCTCCCACCTCAGCCTCCCAAAGTGCTGGGATCACAGACGTGAGCCACGGCACCCAGCCACTACTGTTATTTTAAAGGGAACCCCTAACACTTAACACCTTAGTGTTTCCATTTCAGGGAGGTTCCTCAGTCCAGGAATCTGCTTGCTAAATGTTTTCTCTGTGTGTTGCATGACCAGAGGAAGCCAAAAAGACTTAACCTTTCCCCAAAGCCAGCTACTGCCTCCATCCCAAAGCATTCATTCAGGGCCCAAGAGAGAAAACAGTCAAAGATCTCAGGTGAGTGTGGGTACCAGAGCATGAGGAAAGATGAAATTATTCATTGTAGAGGAAAGCTACTCCTAAATGGTTTTTTGATTAGCTTATTTTTTCCATCAGAGCCGTTGGCATTCATCAACACTCTCAGATGTCCCTACAAACACAGGCTTCCTCAAAGGCTGTTCCTAAATGTTTCAGCTGGGTGGTGCCTGTAGGAAAAAATATGAGAAGATTCAGGGCCCATAAACAGAGAAGTCACTAGCTTGAAGCCGTCTTCCTCTGCTCGGGCCCAGAAAGCAAATGCTCCCCTGGGGTTCACTTTATGTATATAAAGCATCACTTTCAGCAGGACAGCCAAGAATCCTGGTCCCAGCTGGTTGGGTGGGGCCACGGAGCTCACTTTGAAAAGGCCAGGAAGGATGAAAGCACTCAGGAAAAGGGCCTCCCCTGGCCCCAAAGTGCAAAGATTTGAAAAGCCAACTTTGAACTTGGTGTGGGAGGGTCCCAGCCTGGGAGGGGGACATGAGGAGAGAGGAGTGAGTCGGCCTCAAACCCAGCCTCGAAGGGCAGGTGAGAGATCCTGCCCAGCAGGAAATGGGAAATGTAGGTTAGACAACTAGGGCAGTTCTGAAGCCGGAACTGTGTCTGTTGCGAAGTCAGGCAGGGGCTGTAAGATGTAGGAAGTAGAAAAAGGAAAGGACCCAGCAGACCTCAAAGCCTCCGATTTGGAAAACGGAGCAGAGGGGAGAACAAAGAAGTGCTCTGACCAGGCAGGAGGGTACAGGGCACCGAGGCAGACGGAGGGGAGGCTGCGGCTGCCCCCAGCCCCCTTCCCTGCCCACTCCCTCTGCAGGTAACGGGGCTGATGATTCCAGAACCCTCCCACCATGGAGACTCAGTGGGCTCACTCTGGGAGGGCTCACCCAGGCCTCTGCCCAGGACACACACTAACAGTTCCACCGGAAAGTCCTCTCCGCCTCCAACGTGTCCCGAGCTGTCTGCGCAGACTCCACTACAGCACTGATCCTGTCTGATTTTATTTGCTGGGCTGTGCATTCAGTTCCCCCACAAGTATTTACTGAGCATGAATGGAAGGCACCGGGCTAGGGAAAGCGCAGGATGCTGAGTTACGGGGCCATCCCTCTCTCCAGGGAAGAGAAAGTGCCGGGTCCCACAGCCCAGACACCTGGGCTCCAGGGTCCCCTCCATCACTTCCTGGCTGTGTGACATTGGGCACATTCCTCCAGCTGACTCAATTTTAGTTGCTTTATCTATAAGATAGAGGAGCTTGGAGATGGGGATGTGGGATGAATATGCTGGAAAGGCAAGCAGGGGTCAGGTTAAGGCCTCTGCATAATATCACAGCTGCCATTTATTAAGCATCTACTACTGTGTGTCTGGAACTGTTTTAGATGCTTTATGGATATCATCTCTAAACCTCACAATCACCCCCACTTCCTCAAAGGAAAGTGATGCTTTATATACATGCAGCGAACCCCAGGGGAGTGTTTGCTTTCTGGGCCCAGGCAGAGGCCCAGGAAGTGGGTTCAAGCTAATGGCTTCTCTGCTTATGGGCCCTGAATCTTCTCATATATTTTCCTACAGGCACCACCCAGCTGAAACATTTAGGAACAGCCTTTGAGGAAGTGTAGATGGGAATTGCTCCATCTACACACACAGATGCAACAGTAAATGGGAGAAAACCGGTGCTCAGCACACAGTAGGAGCACCGCCAGCCAATGCGGAGTTCATTCATTCTTCCAACACATATTTGTGTTTGCTAGGTGCCAATGTTGTTCTAGGCCAGTAGTTCTCAACCAGAGGTGATTTTGCCTCTCCCTCAGGGGACATTTAGCAATGTCTGGAGGCATTCTTTTTGAGGAGAGGGGGTGTTACTGGCAGCTACTGGGTAGAGGCCAGGGATGCTGCTTAACATCCTACCATGCACAGGACAGCCCCTCACAAGAAAGAATTGTCTAGGCCAAAATGCCAATGGTGTTGAGGTTGATAAACCCTGCTCCCGGCACTGGGGAGACAGCAATGTACCAAAGAGGCAATGTCCCTGCAGCTCACTTCCCAGGGCAGGAGACAAATGATGAACAAAGATAATAATAAGTCAATATCTCCAGGTCCACTGGTTAAAGTGCTACAAAAAATAAAGTAAGAAAAGGAGGAAAGAGAATGATGGGGTCATCAGGGACATACGGGACATTTGAGAAAAGCCCGGAGGGAAGCAAGGGGGTGAAGCAGTGGCTGCCAGGTGTGATAGAGGCTCTGGGGTGGGTGTATCTTCAGGTGTGGCAGGAAGTCCACGCAGCTGAGCTCAGTGAGCACAGAGGCGAATGGTTGTAGAGGAGGTCAGGGGTTTATTATGCTGATTTAGTCATGTGGACACCTTATGGCCCCCCTTGGTAATACACTTCTTGAGGACGCAGGCTCTATCCAACCTCTCAGTGCCACACACTTGCTGGAACCAAGCTGAGAAAGACGCCAAGTTGAATTGAATTTTGGCTCAGGGGAGGTGGTTTCCTGTATTATGAAATTTACATGAGATGAACTATCCCTGCTTTGTTCTGGTTTGGGGCAGGAAATGGGCTTAAATGTACTCTCAGCTTGTATTCTGTAATTGTTGCTTGGCTTTCATTCATGTGTCACTGGGGAAGGAGTTGCAAGACCTAACGCTGGTCCTGAGTACAATTTCAACACTGTCCTCTTAGCCTTAATGAGAAGATATATTCATTCATTGATCCAACAAATAGGTATTAAAGATGACAACAGGGCAGAATTGGGATGATGCAAAAGTAAATCAAACACAGATTCTTCTCTCAAGCAACTTACAGAAAATATATCTTCACTTTTTCAGATATAGGTCTTCACTTTTTTATGAAGTGAAGATACTTTGTCATATAAGGTACAAAGTACCAAATAGAATGAACACAGAACTATGAAGAAGACCAGATGAGTACCTACAGGACAGGAGAGCAAACAGTTTACATCTCACATGCCGATTCTCATCAGTAGCAGCTGCCTAGAACTGTGTTGAGAAGGATCCTGAAGTCCCATCTGAGTTCAGTGAGAAAAAGTGCTGTGCTTAATTAGTTATGTCTGCCATGATCACAGAACCCAAGTGGCAGAAGTACCAAGTATCTTTGCCATCCAAGCTGAAATGGAGATCAAATAAGTGGAAATGGATCTTGAAGAGTGAATTATGGCCTTCCTCTTCACATTTAACATAAAAATATAGCAAGTATACTGCACTATTAGGATGGAAATGGAGGAGGAGTAAAAAACTCAATTTCATAATCTATCTTGAGCGTACACTTATTTACCTCCTTAACTCCAGGAGTATTTAAGAAATGAGAGGGAAAAGCAACGAATCCTCTGCTAGTAAAGGAATAACTACAAAAGTCTAGGCCAGACTTTACTGCTTAAAATCAGAGGGCAACTGGCTCTGAAACGAGGCCAGCTCTGGGCATCTGGACTGAGTGCCCCTCCCCAACCCACCTCCATACTTCTCCCCTAAAGCTTCGTAGAAGCCTGGCAGGACAGCAGCTTAGTCTCATCCTAGAACAAGATTTGCCAGTCAAATCCTTCCTTCCCAGGGACTAGACAGACAGTGTGAGGCTGTTTAGCAACAGGTTTGGGGCAGATTTCCTAAATCTCCTTTCTCTCCAATCCGTCAGCCTGGCAGAAGCAACCTAGAGATGGGATTTAGTCTCATTCTGACACAGCACAGTTCCAGAATGATCTCCCTGCTTGCTACTCAAGCCGGAATCAAGCCAGAGCCTACATACAGGTCCCAGGATCCAGAGAGGAATGAAATTGCTTTATTAATATCATAAGGTTGGGGGGAAGGGAAGCATGTTCTGATGGGCTATGCCAGCAGTAAGTAGTTCAAAACACAATCCAAAGGGAGGAGGAGAAGGGGGGTGGGTCAGGACAATGCCCGCTGAGATAAACGCCCTCTGAGGGCTGCCGTATAGTAGGAGGTGGTCACCCTTCTTGGAAGGTGATAGCCTTTCTTGGCCAGTGTGCTGGGTCGAAAACAACTTTTGGATCCTCCTGCCTACCCTGACAGCCCTTCAAGGCTCAGCAAAGGTATCAGCACAGAGCCACAACCAAGGGATCAAAAGCTTAAGTCACAAAACTGTAAAAAAAAAAAAAAAAAAAAAAAAAAAATCCCTTTTTTGATAGGCAGCCAAAGAAGCACCTTCACAGAGCTGGCTTTGCATGGCCTTTCAACCAAACTATTTCCAGCAGCACAGGCTCAGCAGCCCCACCAGGCCACCCAGTCCAGAGCACGGCTGCAACACTTCCCATGCTTCCCTCAAGCCTGTGACCCAGAGACCATGCTTTGTCTTGATTTTTATCTATTTTTTCAGGGGAAAGGGCTGAGAGAGGAAGGGGAGCCAGGCAGAAATACTGTGTTCCTAAAGCCCATGTGAAGAAATGCCCAGGCAAGAGCCACACTCTGAGGACTCGTCCAACATTCCCGGCTAAGCATCTACATCTACCTTTGTCTCCAAGCCTGTGGGGCTGATTGGCTGACTTTGGAAGAAGAGAAAGTGTGTGTCCCTGGAAACCTCTGCAGTGCCAATGGAAGTGTGCTCATTGGTGGGAAGGTCAACGGGAAGCTTCCACGAACCGACATGGGCCACCATGGGGATACACAGAAGGAACGAAAGAACTGAGGAGAAGTCATCCATTAGCAGGCGAGAACAAGAGGCAGTGACATTTGAGGGATCAGGAATAATGTGTTCCCAATTTATACCTACCTTGGTGAGGCCTGGGGAAAACCACTTACTGTTAGAGTTTTTGTCTGGTGACAATGATCAAAGGGAAAATAACGTTTACTGAAAGCTATGCTTTTACATATATTCTAGCATTTAACTCTTACAGAATTCCTAGGCGATACATATCATCATCGCTGTTTAATAGATGTAGAAACGGAGGCTCAGAGAGGTTGAGGGAGTAGTTCAAGTTCACGTGGCTGTAAGTGGTGGAGCCAGGAACAAGCCTGGGTTCCTCTGACCCCAAGTTTAATGTTAGTTTCATTATGCCTCACCACCTCCCAGCATTACAGGAAATCATCAGGGCTCCCCTACTCAGAATACACCAGGCAAATTCTGCCAAACAAAACTCATTCTGTTTTATTTCTTGAACAATAAGGTGCAGAGAGCTCAGAAGAGAACAAAAGCTCAGAAAAAAAAAAAAAAAAAAAAAAAAAAACCATGTTTGGGCTGGGTATGGTGGCTCATGCCTGTAATCCCAGCACTTTGGGAGGCCAAGGAGGGTGGATCGTCTGAGGTCAGGAGTTCGAGACCAGCCTGACCAACATGGTGAAATCCTGTCTCTCTTAAAAATACAAAAAATTAGCTGGGTGTGGTGGTGGGTGCCTGTAATCCCAGCTACCCAGGAGGCTGGGGCAGGAGAATTGCTTGAACGTGGAAGGCAGAGGTTGCAGTGAGCCAAGATCACACCATTCACTCCAGCCGGGGTGACAAGAGCGAGACTCCATCTCAAAAAGAAAAAAAAAAAAAAAAACCCTTGTTTGAACCTGATTTATAATAAAGGTTGCATCTCATCTTGATGGGGAAAGGAATGGTTCTATAATGTCGAGAAAACTGGCTCACTAAATGAATTTGGATCCCTCTCAAACACAATATATGAAAGTAGACTCTAAGTGGATGAAAAACCTAAATGTGAAAGCAAAGTTACAAAGCTAACAGAAGAAAGTGAAACAATACCTTTGTGAACTTAGGGCATGGAAGGTCCTCTTAAATAAAATCCCCAAGGCACGAACCAAAAAGCAAAAAGAAAAAAAAGTTGGTAGATTTGATTACATCAAAATTAGGGCTTCTGTTCAACAAAAGACACTGTGAACAAAGTTAACAGAGAGGTGGCAGAGTGGAAAGTGATATTTACAATGTCTAAACCCAACAAAGAATTAACATCTAACTACATATGTAACTCCTATAAATCAATGAGAAAAGAAAGGAAATGCAATAGAAAAATGGTCTGTAGATATGAATAGGCAGGTCACAGAAGTGGAAACCAGAATAGTCAACAGGCAGATGAAAAGATGCTCAAATTCGTTAGTAATAAGATAAATGAAAATGAAAGTAACAATAGATTCCACATTATACTCAACAGATTTACAAAATTACAATGTTGAGTAATATTGATTGTTAAACAGGATATGGGTAAATGGGAACCCCTCCGCGCCACTGGTGGGGGTCTAGACTGGCATAGCAGTTCCAGAGACTCACCTGGTACTGATTATCGAAACCAAGTTTGTATAAACCCTGTGACCCGACCAACCCACTCCTGAGTATAGATACTTGCATGGGGTCCATATGGGAACAAGTGAAAGGAGATTGTTCCCATAATGACAACATTATTGTTCACGGTACTGGGGAATTGGATGCAACTAGTTGCCCATCATTAAAGAATGGATAGACACAAAATATGATGGGTGCCAACTATGTGATAGTCATTACACAGTTCACCAAATATTTCCAGTGTCTCCGTCTCTTAGATTCATAGTAGGCTTGCAGTTCCCACTGCTTTTAAAGTGGAGAATGGCCATGTGACTTGTTTTGGCCACTTCTGGGCAGGCTTTAAAAATCAGTGTGCTATTTGTCACCTTCTGGACAGAGCCTTTAAGAGCCAGTGTGTGATTTGCTACTTGCTCATCTCTCTGCCGTGTTGAATGGTGGAGGCTCCATCAGCCTACGTCTCCAAAGCAAAACTCTTATTAACGGGATGGATATGTAGTGGAGCCAAGCAGTAAACCTGCATAATTTTAAGCTGCTAAGATTTTTGTGCTATTACCGCTGCATAACTTAGCCTATCTTGATGGAGTTAACTGTGCAGCTGTTAGAAATAATAAGCTAGATGTACAACCAACATGGATAGATATTGAGAACATAGGTGAAAATGGAAAGATCAGGACAAGCTCCTTTGTGCAATATCGTTTCTATAAATCAATAACACACACACAGAAAGCAATTTTACATGTTTTATAAAGACATGTACCTGTTCAAGAGCATATATTAAACGCCTTGGATGAGTACCTACAGGGGAGTGGAGATTATAGACAAAAAAGTGAAGAACTAAAATGAGAGAGAGAGGCCGGGAGTGGTGGCTCACCCCTGTAATCCCAGCACTTTGGAAGGCCAAGGCAGGCAGATTGCCCGAGCTCAGGAGTTCGAGACTGCCCTGGGCAACATGGTAAAATCCCGTCTCTACTAAAATACAAAAAATTAGCCAGGGTGGTGCCGTTCGCCTATAGTCCCAGCTACTCGGAGGCTGAGGCACGAGAATCGCTTGAGCTGGGAGGAGGCAGAGGTTGCAGTGAGCCGAAACTGCGCCACTGCACTCCAGCTTGGGCTACAGAGTGAGACTCTGTCTAAAATAAATAAATACATAAAAATAATAAAAATAAAATATTAATAAAATGAGAGAGAGAGCCCTTGCATAATGATAAAATTTCCGTGAACTTCTGAGTATGAATAATTCAACCCTCTGTTGAATCCAAGATCCAAAACAAAAAGGAAAGAGGAAAAAGTGTAAATCATTTTTCTTGGTTGACTTCAGTATGCATTTTAAACTCTTCATGCCAATCAGTCAAGCACAGAGTTTCCTTTTCCTCACCAAATTTTAATCAACTTGGATGGGTTTTCACTTCACAATCTCTATGGTTACCACCCCCTTGGTATGAAGGTATAGGCTCATACCCATTCACAGCAGCTACTGCCAATCTTCCACCTCACTGTGATCCGGGGAAGGCACCTTCCAATAAAGGACAAAGAAGCAAGCAGTCTGATGAGACAAGAACCGGACTGTACCAACTGTGGCAAAATCTAAGCAAATCACCTGTGTCCCAACTATTTGGGGAGTGGTTGGGGGCTGTGCTCCAGCTGACTGACAGGTTCTCAGCAAAGGACAAATGGCCAACAGGCACAGCCAAGTGGGGAACCCTACAAGTTCTGCTCAGGCCTCACCTGTAGGAAGTGATGCAGGTCTCTCAGTGGAGTGCTTCTGGCACCCTGAGTTTGCAATGTCCTTCCTGCCTGTTCCCAGGATACCATGGGATCCCTTCCAGAAAGAATAATCAGTAACTCAGATGCAAGGAGTCACTTTCCTTCTCATGCATTAAAAAATATATATTTTCTGTTGATAGGGTACCAATATAGACTCAATGTGGATTATAAAATTGTCTATTTTCCACCCCATTTTCACTTTAATAGTAAACCATGTTTGCTAAATCTCCCAATTAGAGGCTGAAGAAAAACCGTGCTTCACTCTTAAAGCTGCATTTTCACTAATTTGGTCGCTAGTTAAGGGTTGAAGAGAGATGGCAGCTCCCAAGCCTACATGCTGCCCTCCTCCTAGCCCACTCCCCAGCAGGCATGACTAATCAATCTCCATATGCTTTTCTCCTAAGCCTGAACCTTTTCTGCAGCCTCAAATGGTATTCTCCAGAGTTGTTTCCTGGTGTTAGGTTTTTTCCTTTTTTACTCTCTTCTTCCTTTTTTCTTCCTTGTAAAGGTTTTAGAAGAGGAGGAACATGTTCAGTCTTCTATTCTCAGGAGAATAATTATATCCAGAGACCTTATGTACGATGCTTTCTCTGGAAAATAGTTGTTTTCAAGGTCCCTGGCTTCCTCTCTTAGTTACTCATTCAACAGTCATCTGTGAACTGCCTACTGTGTGCTGGTGCTTAGGGTGTCAAGCACTGAAAGACATTGATAAAAGGTTCAAAGAGGCACAAAGCAAAAAGGGACCAACCAGCTGGGAAGGCAGGGTGTGGCAGGGTGGGGAAGGCTTCCAAGAGAAGGTGGCACACTCTCAGCAGCCTTCTAGAACAGTGACTATGGCCTGAAAGGTGCTCATGGCAGTGATGCTATCAGGGATGTGTGGTGTGTTCTCAGGATATGTTATCCCTTATCTGGGCTTCATCAGCTCCCAGGGGTGCCCCCCATCGAAGCCAACTGTTGACGGATCTCAGTGTGAGGCGGTTTCTGATGACCAGCATTCCTTTAGAGGCTGTCAAATTCCATGAATGCTACCCAGCTGTGAATAAAGTGTTAACTTTTCACTTTCTGGTGGGTCAGTTGCCTCAGGTGGCATCACTCACTGCAGCAGGTAGGGTCATTCACTGCAGTGCAGTTGTCTGTTAGGATCTGTGCAGTGCCAAGCTGGACCTACCCAATATCACAGCACATCTCCTCCTTGGCCCCTAAAATTCCATCCCATCATGGCAATGGCACTTTAGGGAGGAAAGAACATGGTGGGACAAGTTGGGGGTCATAGCAAATGACATTTACTGCACAGCCCCTACATACCCACATTGGTAGGTGCTTGTATCAGCTCATTCAACCCTCCACAACTTGGGAGGCAGGGAAGAGTTGAAGAAGATACCCAAATAATCTAGTACAGCTGGATTGGGATTAAAATCTGACATCATTATGAAGTTGATAGAGAAAAAAGGAAAACACCTATTTTTTTGTGTGTCTACTCTGTGTATTGTGTCCATATATGTGATTTCCTTCATATCCCCCAAAACTCTGAACAATAACTATTATTATTCCCATTTTACAGATGAGCAAGTTGAGGGTTCAGAAAAGTTTGCTCATCCTCATCATCACAACAAAAAATAACAATTACTATCCATGAACACTCAACTTTGTATCACGTTTTGCAAACACTTTATATCTATTATCTTATTTAATTATCACAGCAACCCTGTGATGTGGGCACTGCTACAACCACTTTAACTGTGAAGTCACCGAGTCTAAGAAAGGTTCAATAACCTGGTCAAGGCCATACATTCAGTAGGTGTTAGCTCTGGAATTCAAACTCAAGGCTGTCTGACTCTAAGTCCATATTCTCAAACACTGCGAATGCTACCTCCCAAATGTGTGCTATGTACTGTGTACAGAGTACTGGAGCAACCACTGTGACAGAGAGCAACACCTACTACCTCCCAGGGGACTCCATTTGGCCTCTTTGCTTGTGTGGAAGTTATTCCTTAGATCAAATCTTCAAAGGAAGAAAAACCAGCTTTAATAAAATTTAAAATAAAATTTTGGCAGCGCCAGCCTTCAGCAACAATAGCTTGCACTTACACGTACTGCATGCCATGCAGGCTTTCGAATAAGCACTAGACATATGGTGACAGACATACTGCTGCTCACCAATATTCCTGGTGTCCCGCTGCTTCTGGGCCCTTTCCATCAACACGAATTCATGCACCACAACTTGCTTTGGCCAATGAAGTGCAAACAGTGATTTGTGGTTTGTGATTTGTGTCGCTGCCTTCAGAAGTGTTTGAAAGCCAAGGCCAGAAGAGGTGGTTCACGTCTGTAATCCCAGCAATTTGGGAGGCTGAAGCGGGCGGATCACCTGAGGTCAGGAGTTCAAGACCAGCCTAACCAATATGGTGAAAGCCCATGTCTACTAAAAACATAAAAATCAGCCGGGTGTGGTGGTGTGTGCCCTGTAGTTCCAGCTACTCAGGAGGGCTGAGGCAAGAGAATCACTTGAACCCGGGAGGCAGAGGTTGCAGTGAGCTGAGATCACGCCACTGCACTCCAGCCTGGGGGACAGAGCAAGACTCCATCTCATTAAAAAAAAAGAAAAAAGAAAAAAGAAAAGTATTTGAGAGCCAGTAAATAATTCTCCATAATCTATTTTCCTTTTGCAGCAAGAATGGAAGCATGTTGATATGAAGGGGCTGTAAAATTGACACAGCAGGGAATATGTCAAGCCAACACATGGAGGGCAACTGTCTGGGGTCACTGGCCCTTCAAAGGAATCTGCATGAGTGACAAGTACACATTGGTTGCATTCAACCTCTGAGATTTGGGATTTGTCTGTTACTTCAGCATAACCCAGCTTATCGTAACAAAATCCTCACAATAACTCTATGACAGGGGTGCTGTTGTTAACCCCACTTTGCAGAAAAGAAACTAAAGCAAAGAAGAGTTGGGTAACTTGCCTAAGATCATATAGCTAGAGGGTACAGCCAACTGTGAGCCTCAAGAGTTAGGACTCCAGAATCCACACTCTTAATCAGTATCCTGTATTTCCTCACTCACACTTTTACCAATCAGATATACTAATGCATAAATATGTAGGTCTTCCAATTTCTTAGTATACCTTAGCCAATCTTTAAAGAATAAGAAAATTATCACGACATGTAATTTTTAAAATGCCAAAATTTCTTGCTTTAAAAAATAGAAGAAAAAACAGCCTAGTTTCAGCTTATATGGCAATTACAACTAAAAATGGGTTACAACAGAGGTGGCTGCTCTGTGGGGAATTGCCTAGAACAATGGAAAACCGCTTAAAGAAAAACTCTGTTTCTCTTGCTTTACTCAGTTTCTTAGTTTACACCCTAAAGGGCAACAGACACAATTAAAAGTTTAATTAGTGTTCTCATCCTCCCCTCCCAAATTATATGTTTTCTTTCTAATCAAAAATTATTTCTTTAACAGATTCATTGTTTTCTCCCTAAATTAAAGCAGATCCTTAATGAGGCACTGCAATCCTTAAGTCAAAATGGAATCATCAGAAACCTCACTTTGTGAACTCAAGTGTGTCTCTCTTAGTTCTCTAAGAAGCAAGGACACTTGTCAAGTCCTCTCTGTTGTGTGCAGTCCATCATAATTGCTGCTCATGGTAATTTAAAACACATGGTGAAGTGGTTCTTTCAAAAGCAATTAATGAATTTCATGGGAACAAGGCTGGGCAGAAGGCCTGCCCCAACGCAGTGAGGGGCATGCCATTTCAACCCGGGGACAATGACAAGCTGGAAGTCTGGCCTTTTAGCTGGATCTTCCTCTAAGTTTAAGGGTTATCACCCTTTCAAAAGTCTGGTGATGCTGATACGGGGAGGCAGCTTTATAATGGCTGAGTGATCTCTGGAGTCAGGCTGCCGGGATTCAAATCCCAGGTCCTCTACGTACTAGCTAGGTGAATTAGGACAGGATCCTTAATTCTCTAACCCTTAGTTTCCTCATCTACAAAATGGAAATGGACAGAATATCCAACTCATTGTTAGAAGAATCAAAAGAAAAGATGCATGAAAAATGTCTAGCGTAGTGCTCAGTACAAATTAGCTATCTTTTTTTTTTTTTAGACAGGGTTTGTTCTGTCACCCAGGCTGGAGAGCAGTGGCATGATCATAGTTCACTGCAGCCTCAAGCTCCTCGGCTCAAGCAATCCTCCCACCTCAGACTCCCAAGTAGCTGTGACTACAGGCATGTGCCAACCTGCCAGACTAATTTTTAAATATTTTTTAAAGACTGGGTCTCACTATGTTGCCCAGGCTGGTCTCAAACTCCTGACCTCAAGCAACCCCCGCACCTTGGCCTCCCAAAGTGCTGGGATTACAGGTGTGAGCCACTACACCTGGTCTACCATTTTTATTGTTATTATTAGAGAACAGTATTCCCCTCTACTGATGTTTCCTGCCACGTGGAGGGACATCCATTTGTATGACATTCCTGGCATTAGCCCCTTACGTCTTCCCTGGGGAGATGGAAGGCCTCATCTCATTAATGAGTTTGGGAAGAGAAGCTGGCAGGCATAGCTGAGCTCATCCACGCATCCTCCTTGGGAGCCAGCTACTAGCAGGAAGCAAGCATTCTGCTGATCTCCAGCATTACCATAGTTCCAGGTTGAGGTCTGCAGTTTCCTAGCACAGCTCATGAGTAGGTACTTACATCTGCTTCATTGTAGCATTCAGTATCAGGAAGCCAACTGTGGCTACACCACTAAGCCACTCTTAGTCTGTTTGGGTTGCTGTAGCAAAATATCATAGACTGAGTAGCTCAAACGACAAACATTTCTTTTTCACAGTTCTGGAGGCTGGGATAGTCCAAGATCAAGGTGCCAGCAGATTCAATGTCTAATGAGGGCTTCTTTTCTGATTCATAGATGGTGGTATTCTCACTATGTCCTAACATGTTGGAAGGGGCAAGTGAGCTTTCTGGGGTCCCTTTTTTATAAGGGCACTAATCCCATTCATGAGGATGCCACCCTCATGACCTAATTACCTCCCAAAGGCCGCACCTCCTAATACTCTCACATGGAGGAAAATTCAACATACAAGTTGAGGTGGCGGGGTGGGACACAAACCTCCAATCGATAGCAGCCATGTTCTACAAAGCAGCCTGTATTAGTAATACAAGCAGCATTTCCATCTCTATCTCCCTGACCTGCCCCCAGTCTACATCAGCTATATCAGAACTAGTGTAGAGAAAGGAGGTATTATTTATCAGATCCTCTCAAACCTCAATGGTTGTCACTGCAACCTTTCTGGGGGGCAATCAAAGCCTTTTATGAACTGGGGGATCAAATCCAGCAATTCCACATTTAGGAATTTATCCTCGGGATATAATCAATCATATACGAAAAGTTACGTTGCAGAGTAATTTACTCCAGACTGTAATTTGAACTGAAAAATGAGAAACAACTAAATGTCCAGTATTACAGAAGTGAACACAAAACATCATGCAACCATTTTAAATGATGCTGTCAAAGAGCGTATCACGACACGTAAGGACACTCATAATCTGACAAATGAAAAAAGCAGGCACAGAACAGTATGTGCAATATGATTCTATCTTGTAAGGAAAAAACGTAAATGCATAAAAACATTGGGAAATGCTATAATACATCAAGTTGTTAGCAGTGTTTAGCTCTAGATGGTGGGATGATGGGTCAGTTACATTTTTTCCTTTCATCACTTATGTGAATGCTCTAATTTTCTCTGATGTACATGTAGTCAGAAATATGAAAAGAAGGTATTTTTTATTTCTCAAAAAGCCAGGTGAGGCCAGGTACAGTGGCTCACACCTGTAATCCCAGGGGCTACTCCTAAAGTGCTGCTTTGGGAGGCCAAGGCAAGAGGATCTTTTGAGCCCAGGGGTTTGACACCAGCCTGAGCAACACAGTGAAATCCTGTTTCTACAAAAAAAAAAAAAAAAAAAAAATTAAATTAAATTAGCTGGGCATGGTGGCGCATGTCTATAGTCCCAGCTACTCAGGAGGCTGAGGAAGGAGGATTGCTTGAACCTGGGAGGTGGAAGCTGTAGTAAGCCATGATCATGTCACTGCATTCCAGCCTGGGCAACAGAGCGAGACCTTGTTTCAGAAAAAATACAAAAAGCCATGTACCCAGTGACTAATGGAGAGAACTCCTTTGGTGAGCACAACCTTCGCTTGTTGCCTTCCAATGGGCCTGGCTCCCCTTTGGAAACAGAGCCATTAGGTAAATAGGACTGTGCATCTTCCCTGACTTTGCCAGTTAAAGGCTGATTGCTCAGACTCTACTCTGAAACAAGTCAGGGCAGGGTTGTGTTGGAGCTTGGGGCACTTGTGGGACAGTCATTGCTGGCTGGGGAGGGGAGGTGGTGACCAAAGCAGGGAGCTTAGAATAGCCTAGAGAAAACATTCAGGAAATGGGAACCTGGGATTTTGGGGTCTTCGCTGCCTACTGGTGAAAGTCCCAACTGCTCAACATCTTACATCTTACCCCACTGGCTGGGCTCCAATCCAGCAAAACTCTTGCTGTCCCCCAGATGGTCCATACCCTAATCCCTCAAAGCCCCTGATGAGCTGTTTCTTCTCCTCACCCTTCTCCAACCACTTACTATCTCTTTCTGATGGACTCCTATTCATCCTGCAAAGCCCAGCTCAGCTATCACCTCCCCTGGGAAGCCTTTCATTACCTTCATTCCCATTGCATATTGTTCAGACATTGATTATATCAGTGACCATATAATGTAACAACTATTTAGTTATGTGACTTATTCTTACCAGCATGGGGTTTCTCTGAGAGCAGGAACTATCTCTTATCACTGGATTTTATAACTCAGCATAAGTTGGGCACGTGGTGGGCACCTGATAAAGTTCTGAGGTAGGAAGAAAAGAAAGGAATGATGACAGGAAGAGAGAGAAGAAGAGAGGGAGGGAAAATAGGAAAGTAAGGGAAGAGATAAAATTGGCAATAACCCTGGTGTCAAACTGGTGCCCAAACCATAGGCTGGCAGCTGACGATGAAAGGAGCAGAGGCAAGTGGAAAGGTCCCCAGCTTTGGTTCAGACTGAGGGAGGATCAAACCCCAGTCTTGGGCAAGTTACTTAAAGTCCCTGAGGCTTGGCTTTTTTGTCTGTAAAATGGGAATTTTACAGACAAAGTTTAGAAATGAGGTCTGCACAGCACCCAGCACATGGGATGCGGTCAAAACCTGAGAGCTATCATTTGGTGACTCACGGCTGCACTGAGTGCAGTCCACCAAGACAAAAACAAAGTCCTAAATAACACTCGGGCTGCCTGGTGACAGGCTGCAGTGCTCATCTCCCTAAACCTTTCATTTTAATATGACATCATGTCAGAGGCAGCTGTAATCTCTGCTATCCGGTTTCTGCTCCCTTTGGAGCCAGCACACCACCAGGATCCCCTGAATTTACCCAGCAGCAGTGTTCTTGGAGTACCCAGAGCCCTGAGCCTGGAGGCAAGACTGGAAAGGGAGCAGGTGCCTAGAAGCCCAGAGGATGCACAGCAATCTCATCTGTATCTAATTAGCAGTCATTTCTCCCTTCTAGGCCTCAGTCTTCTCATCTGTGAAATAAGACGCCTGGACCAGATGTCCTAAGGGTCTCTCCACCCTGACAGTCAATGATCCCATCTCTTGGGCATCAGCCCCACTTCCATGCCTCCTACCTTTTGTCCTCACAGTTGCCCAGCCCTCAATTTGAGCACAGGCACCACGTCTGACTTTTTTTATTAGTATGAATGTCAACTTCCAGATGCTGAGATGACAGCATTTCTTAGGATCAGGAGGTCAGGTCAACTCTGACACCCCTTCTGTCCCATGCCACACCTGCTGCTGCCCGCAACCTGCCAGAACATAAGATGGGACAGCAGACTCTTCGGGGGTAGTCAGGCCTGGCCTGGATGCTGCAGAGAGATGGCTCCCACATTTTAGTGGGTTTCAGAATCCTAGGAGGCCTCCTTAAAATAGACGGTGGAGGCCGAGCAGTGGTTCATGCCTGTAATCCCAACACATTGGGAAGGCGAGGAGGGTGAATCACCGGAGGGTGGATCAAGACCAGCCCGGTCAACATGGTGAAACTCCATCTCTACTAAAAATACAAAACTTAGCTGTGTGTGGTGGTGTGCACCTGTAATCCCAGCTATTCAGGAGGCTGAGGCAGGAGACTCACTTGAACCTGGGAGGCGGAGGTTGTGGTGAGCCAAGATGGTGCCACTGCACTGCAGCCTGGGTGACAGAGTGAAACGCTGTCTTGGGAAAAAAAAAACAAATAGATGGTGGACCCCACCCCCAGAGTTTCTGATTCACTGGGTTTGGGGTGGTTTAGGGACCACAGTTTGAGAATCATTACTTGAGACAGGATTTTAAACTCCACCCCATTACCTGTCTGAACTTATATCCTCCACTTTCCCCTCCGCAATGCACTCCAGCAGGCCTCCTCACTCTTCTACAAACACACCAGACACATTCCTACTTCAGTGCTTTTGCACATGCTGTACCTGCTGCTTAGAAAGCCCTTCTCCAGGTATCTGTGGAGCTAATTCCCTAACTTCTTTGAAGGTCTACTAACATGCCACTTTCTCCTGCCACCCCAGCAAAAATCACAGTCTCCCAATGCATATATCCTCATTCCCTGGTTCATTTTTCTCTGTAGCACTTATCCCCACCTAACAAGCTATATATTTTATATAACAGATTGCATTTATTTGTGTCTTTCCCCCTCCACCACTAGAATGTGGATTCCACTGAGGGCAGAAGATTTTGTCTGTGCTATTTACTCCTGGACCCCAGAGTACTGTCTGGTTCATTGTAGGCAATTTAATATTTGCAGGAGAAAGAGAGAGAAGAACAGAAGGAGAAAGGAAAGGGAAGGAGGGAAAGAAAGGAGGAGGAAGGAAGGAAGGAAAGATGGAATTTTGGAGACATGTAATTTTTTTAATAGTTGTAAGGGATCGACAACATGGGTGCCAACTGTGTTATTTTGCCAAATAGGGCTTTAAATGCCCAGAAATACCAACTACCATCTCTCATCCTATTAGGGCCTCGCAGGGCAGACCAGAGGCTGCTGAGCACATGTAGTCTGAGTGGACAGTGGAGTTGGGTGCTATGCAGCCCACGTGGTGCCACGCACGCTCTGAGCACCATCATTTCATGAAAGAAAGGATATTTTAGCCCCAGTAAAATATAACAGAGTAACAGAGAAGGGTCAGTAAGCAGATATCACTTATTTTTATTTTTTAATTTTTTATTTTTTTAGAGATAGAATCTTACTCTGTGGCCCAGGCTAGAGCACAGTGGCATGATCATAGCTCACAGCAGCCTCAAACTCTGAAGCTCAAGCAATCCTCCCACCCCAGCCTCCTGAGTAGCTGAGACTACAGGTGCATGCTACCACAAGCAGCTAATTTTTTTTAAAAGTTTTGTAGAGATGGGGTCTCCCTATGTTGCTCAGGCTCATCTCGAACTCCTGGCCTCAAGCCATCCTCCTGTCTTGGCTTCCTGAGTCTCTGAGATTACAGATTTCATTTTAAATACCAGCTCTGAAAGCCTGGGGCATTGGGTAGAGAAGGATGCTGAGGCCATCTCTGGGATGCCCACAACGGAGCAGTTGGTGGAGGTGGGAGCACAGGTGTGCTATACAGTTGCCATTCTTGCAAAATATGCCCCATAAATGCTGGGCAAACAGATAAGTGGCATTTGCCTGCTGAATGTGTCCATAATATGCTGGCTGTCTAAGAGAACAAGTACAGTGACATTTCAAGACATGACCCAATGCACAAGCAACTTCCCAAAGCTGTAATTCACGAGATTCCTCAGGGTCCTCTAAGCTCCTTGAGGGCAGAAACTTATCTTTGTATTACAGCTAACCTTCAATCAGTAGGTGTTGAGCTGATTTTCTTTTTCCTTTTTAAACTCAGAAGTTAAGTTCCAGCTTCAGTGGCTATGCCCAGATGGTCTGATTCTGAAGGACAAGAGAATTCAGTGGCATAAGCCCTGTGCTTGGCATGTAGTAGGTTCTCAGTAAACTTTAGCTGGCGGGATCACTGACAGATCTTCTGACTCATACAAATACTAACCACAGCTCTGTGGACTTGACTGTTGCTCAGTCTCTGCTGCTGCATTTGTTTCTAAAGGAGATAGTGCAGAATTTGTCTGGAGTATTGCCAGGATTTATGAGAAAGCTGGAAAAGAAGGAAAACAGCAAGTGGCACACAGGGTGGAACATTTTTAGCTAAAGAACCAGCCAGATGAGAGCTAATTTTTCCATCAGGGATCAAAGTGATGGGAAGGGCTGTATTAAGATGACGACATTCACAGTCCTATAAACCAAGAGCTTGAAACACCTGGAAGGGCTTCACACGGAGAATGGCAGGCTCCCAACCTCTCCATAGTGGTCACAGCATCATAGCTCCTAAGTACTCTGCTCCTGCGGTGCTGGGCCCCAGCTCCCAGCCAGCCTCCTCATCGTATTAAAGAGGATTCCTTCCGATCTTCTCCATAAGGAAGGGGAAGTGCATTCATTCTTCATCTTCCCCTTGATAACTCCGTTCATTCTGTCATCAATTCATTCATCATTTACCAAGTGCCCATAATGGATCTCTTATGGTACCTGGTGGTAAGGATACTAAGATGAATAAAACACAGACACAGCCTACCTATGACGAACCCATAAGCAAATCCCCGTATATCACGCCATTTCCTACCCCCAAGTGTGGACCAGCTATCGTTGTTGGGCAAAGCTGGTCTTAGGTGGTATATGGATGAACATTTTTATTGTGAGTTATGTGTTTATTCATTTGAAGGTGTAGTACAAAAAAATAAAACTAGCACATCAAACCCTCTGTGCTACAGCCTTTTTAAAATGGGACATGTTTTTGCTGAGCAAGAAATATTAAAGATGATTTTAATAAAAAACATTAGCTAAATAATAGCACAAGAGGTAGAAGTGACTTATGAAGGTGTTACACCAATAACTGAGGTTTAGGGCACACTGGTAGTAGATGAAAGCACAGACGGTGGGTTCAAAGTTACACATGGTTAAATAATTTGTTTAAAGTTGCACTGCTGATACTCAACAGCAGTGTAGTTCAACAGGGCTGCTGCATACCAGCAGTATAACTAAACAAATGATTTAACCACCTATGACCTTGATTTCTTCTTGCATAAAGTTATTATGTCTGTTTCATGGGTTCTGATATATATAATAAACCTGTTAGATGCAATTTCATTATTATTTTATATCTTTACATCATATTCTCCCTGAGCCTGTAATAGAAAGTTGGAAAATTGGAGCATTCAAGGGTGGCAGGGTGGGGGATGAGGGTGGCAGTGCTCAAAGCCCCAAGCTGCAAACCTGCCATGAAAAGATGAAAAGAGATAAGGGAACAAGAAAATGACTTTGTTTATCCGTCCAAGGAGCTTCTGGGGCTCCCTGATGAGACAGGAGACAGCTGGACACTGAAGGCTCAGGGCTCCCAGGCACCAGCTGTTCCACGTGGTCCAGTCCCCACCTGCCTCACTGGGCTGGGGCCCACACAGGCTGCTTCCCAAGAATGGCATGTCAGAGCCACGACGCAGAGAAATTCTAATCCCAGGTGGGTCTCCACCCCAGGAAGGCTCCAGCTCATAGACGGTGAGCCCAGCTCTGCAGCTCAGAGGGACCTACAAGAGGAAAAGGCGGAGTCTCCTGTGAGGCTGGCGGCCTGGGGAGACATGCGAAAGATCTCTCAAACTATAAAAAGCCCCCGCTCAGGTGAGAGAACTTGGCCTCTGATACATTTGGGCGAGGGACCCCTCAAACATTACTGGCAATAAAAGCAGGCACTCCTGGGGTAGCACATGCATGCAATGGAATGCTACTCAGCGACAAAAAAGAATGTAATCATATGGATGAATCTCAAGTACACAATACTATAGAGAGGAAGGCAGAGTCAAAAAGCTATATAATGTATGGTTACAGCCATCATATTCATCACAAGCAAATCTACAGGGTCAGAGAATAAACCAGTGAATTGCCAGGGGTTAAGGGTATATACAGGCAGACTTCACTGAGACACCACTTCACACCCACGAGGATGGCTATAATCAAAAATACAGATAATAACAAGTGTTCGGCAAGCATGTGGAGAAGTTGGAACTCTCGTACACTGCTCAGAGGACTGTAAAAGGTGCAACCGCTTCATAATAGCCAAAAAGCAGAAACAACCCAAATGTCCAGCAATTGATGGATAAACAAAACATGGTACATCCATGCAATTGAATATTATTTAGCAATAAAAAAGGAATAAGGTACCGATATCTGCTAGAAATGGATGAATCTTGAAAACATTATGATCAGTGAAAGAAGCCAGACACAAAAGACCAGCTATTATATGATTCCATTTCTATGAAATGTCCAGAATAGATAAATACATAGAGACAAAAAATAAATTTGTGGTTGCCAGGGGTAGGGCAGGGGAGAAGATAGACAAAAGGAATTGGGGGAGTATGACTGCTAAAGATTATAGGGGTTTCTTTTGGGGGCAAAGTGTCCTAAGATGGAGTGTGATGATGGTTGTACAACTCTCTGAATATACTGAAAACCATTGATTTGTATACCTTAAATAGGTGAACTGTATGGTATGTGAATTATATCTCAAGAAAGCTATTACAAAAACTAAGAGATAATAAATTATCACAAGGAGAGAAAGAATGTAAGAGGGTTTAGCTCTCAAAGAGGCAGGAGACAAGAGAATTGGGGGAAGGTTGTGGAACTATTCTGTATCGTATTTGCGGTGTTGGTTCCATGGCTCTATTACTTGTCAAAACTCAGAACTGTACAATAAAAACAGAAAAAAACACACCAAAAACTGGCCTATCCTAAACAACATTAAACATGGCTACCTTCTACTGGTCTACTAGAGCAGTGATCTCCAATCTTTTTGGCACCAGGGACCGGTTTTGTGGAAGACAATTTTCCATGGACGAGGGGAGGTGGGGGAGGGAATGGTTTCAGGATGAAACTGCTCCACCTCAGATCATCAGGCATTAGATTCTCATAGGGAATGCACAGCCTAGATCCCTCACATGCACAGTTCACAATAGGGTTCACCCTTCTGTGAGAATCCAATGTTGCCGCTGATCCGATAGGAGGCAGAGCTCAGGCGGTAATGCTCACTTGTACACTGCTCACCTCCTGCTGTGCCACTCAGTTCGGACAGGCCATGGACCCCTACTGGTCCACAGCCCAGGGGTTGGGGACCACTCTACTAGAGTAAACACCCTACTAAGCACTTTATATGCCTCAAATTATGTAATCCTTTAAGCAAACCTTTTAAGTATAATCACCCCCATTTCATAGGAGGGCAAACTGAGGTTCAGAGATGTTAAGTGATTTGCCTGGGCTCACAGCTAGGAAATGTTTTCAAAGCCAGAATTTGAACCCAGTTCTGTCTGATCCCAGATCCCATGTCAATATCCACTGTGCTCTGTCTCCCTACACAGCTGATAATCTGGAACATTCCTTGAGCATCTCTCAGTCTTTGATTGTTAACCGTCCACTTATTACCACCCCACTAGTGAGTTCCTTGACGGCTCACATGGTGTCATATGGTTCTATATCTCCCCCCCACCATGCTGGGCTCAGAGCCAGGCACTTAGTGGGTACTCCCTACATGTTTGAGCATCAGGGTATCATGAAAGAGAGGCAGGGATAATGCTGTTCAGAAACTCCAAAGAGCTGTCTACCATGACCTGAATGCCAGGGTCTCCTGACTCTTGGCCTTGAGTGTGGCCACTAAGCCACATGACCATCACCTGATGGGTCTCCTACAGTTGGATCAAGAGTCTGAGCCAGAGTTGGAGAGCTGGCAATCAAACCTAACTCTGGCTCTTTTGGTAGCCCAGGGGCAAAATACTTACCCTCTCCACAGTGTTCTTCCTCCACTTATGATTTCTGCTTTCGAAAGAACTTTCTCACCTCACCCACTCACAGGAAGTAATGAGATCCAGGTGGTTCATATAGGCCAGTGGCATCCTCAGTACTCAAACCCACTCATTCTCTCCAACCCCACTGCCTCCCCAGGTACCCCCCATCTCTTCTCTGCCCACAGCCCTGACTCTACATCCCCTCCTACTCCTTCCTCCAACAAACCCAGCAGCCAGAGAAGAGGCTGAAAAACACAGATATGATCACATCATTCTCCTGATATCAAGGATAGCACCAGCTCTTAAGGCTCCCTGATAAGAATTAGAAAAAGGCACGCTCTCACAGGTAGCCCCAGGCTCTGCACTGGGGCCCATGGCTTGGTATGTGGAAGGGCCCCCTTAGTTGGACACTCTTGTGCAAGACACAATCTGGGTAACAGCTAGCACAGCCCTGCCCTTTGATGCCTGCCCACTGCCCTGAAAACAAACATCAGTTTCCTCCCAGAGGTCTCTGAGGTCTTGCACAATGTGGTTCCTGTTTATTTCTGCATCCTCTTTTTCCTCCAGACTATTCCCTCCCCACTGCACTCTAGCCTCCATCCAGACAGTTGGCACAGCGCTCAATTCCCCAAGTGCTCCATGCGTGCCCTCCCTTTGCACAAACTGTTCCCTCTAAGTCTGGACAACTCCTGAACATCATTTGGCTCTTACCTTGGATGTCCCTCCCATCACCAGAGCCTCGCCTGACCCCACAAAGTCCTAGACAAGGTACCCACAGCACCCTGCACCTGCCTCCTAACAGCCCTCTTCACCCAGTGTCATAACAGCCTGTTGACTGGGGTATCTCTCCCCTAGACTCCAAGCTCTGAAAGGGCAGAACTGTCTGCTTAGTCACCAATATCTGGGGCACATACTTGACACAACATAGGTATTTATTAAGTGAATTAATTAATTAGTTAGTAAAGGAGTGAGTGAATGAAACAGAATGGCATGCCATTGGTAGACACACAGGATTTCATATCAGTTAAAGACTCTTCCTACCTCAGCCTGACTCATCATTTTACTGAGGAAAATGATGCCTTAGAGAAGTCCCATGATTTGCCTCAGGTCACACACAAACAGATATTAATTGGGAGAGGGTGTGTCTTAGTCTGTTTTGTGTTGCTATAACAGAATATCTGAGACTGTGTCATTTATAACAAACAGAAATTTATTTGGCTCATTGTTCTTGAGGCTGGGAAGTCCAAGATCAAGGGGCTGCATCTGGTGAGGGCCCTCTTGCTGCATCCTAACATCAGGAGAGACAGTGCAAGAGAGAGAAGGGGCCAAACTCAACCTTTTATCAGGAACCCACTCCCAAGATAACAGCGTTAATCCATTCATGAGAGCAGAGTCCTTGCATTCTAATTATCTCTTAAAGGTCTCACCTCTCAACACTGGTGCACTGAGGATTAAGTTGCCAATACATGAACCTTGGGGGATGCATTCAAATCATAGTAGGGCATTAGAAGCCAGGCCATTCCTCCATCCGCCACAGCAGGCAGAAGGAGCAGAAATACCTGTAGCCAATGGGGACACTCCCTCAGGAGAAAGTCTGATGGCAAAGTGCAGTGGAACACAATGGTAAGGCTCAAGCGTTTTGCAATCAGAAGACCTGGGGCTACTCATAAGCCAGTGCCCTCAGCAAATAACTCAAACCCTCTGGGTCTACAATATGTAAAATGGCCACCCGGATACCAACTGCATGAGGTAGGAATGAGGATCAAAACACCCTGAAAAGGTATGAAAAGCCCCTTGGCAGAGTGCCTGGCACTAACTAATCAATTAAAATTTGCTGCAAATCCTGTAATTGAATAAATGCCTTTAATAACCTTGTAGGACCCCTTTCATCCTCCCTTTCAGCCCCAGGCTTGGTTTTTTTTTCCGGTTTCCAATCTTACTAGCAAAGACCTTAGTGCTGACTCCTTCCCATCCAGCACTATGGCACAATGGAAAACTCAAACCTCACTGGGAGTTGGTTTCTCGAGGTGGCTAAAAGCAACCAAGAGGACTCCAGGATAGACTTTAGGCTTTCAGGCTTTTTAAAACAACCCTCTCCATCTAAAATATTCCCTTGCCATCTCTGGGAAAGAAGAGAGACCCTTCAGTAATGCTGTTAGACCATGTTCAATACCAGGCCACTCACTTACAAGAGAAGACAAGAATGTGTCTGGAAGATATCACCTTTTTAAAAATGTCCCCAATCTCCTCCAGCATTTTGATGCTTGGAGCTTTACCCAAAGAGATGCTTTGGAAATTTTTTAGTGTGAAGCCAGAGACACCAATTGTGTGCCTCCTATTAGATCCCTGGGTGGCACATGGGAAATTTACCCCTAGGTCTCTGGGGAAGCAGAATAATAATTTTTTTTTTTTTTTGAGACGGACTCTCGCTCTATTGCCCAGGCTGGAGTGCAGATCTTGGCCCACTGCAAGCTCCGCCTCCTGGGTTCATGCCATTCTCCTGCCTCAGACTCCCCAGTAGCTGGGACTACCGGCGCCCCCCACCACGCCCAGCCCATTTCTTTTTGTATTTTTAGTAGAGACGGGGTTTCACCGTGTTAGCCAGGATGGTCTCAATCTCCTGACCTCGTGATCCCTCGCCTCGGCCTCCCAAAGTGCTGGGATTACAGGTGTGAGCCACTGCGCCCAGCCAGAATAATGAACTCTTACCATTTTATCTGAGAAATGCACATTCCATAAAGTCAGGGAACAATATGATTTTTCCCCCCTAAATTAGTTTCATTTTATTTTTAAATGGCTTATAGAAAATTAGAAATAATGAACTGTCTGTTTCCTCTACAACAAAGGTTATCCTTTGCCTTGAGAGGGAAGGAAACAGAGTTCAGCCTCCTGGATTACTCAGTGGAAAAGCAAACTTGAACCATCTGTATTACTTAATGTGCTAGCATTTTGTGCTCTCGCATTGTCAATCTCACAGTCACCGGGGTATTTGACAAGCCTGCTAGAAATCAGCAAGCATGGGTCTGGATTCTTAGGAGCTCAAATGGAGATGTCTATGTTTCCACAGCACTCTGTCTGTGCCTCTGCCATCAGTCAAATTGCCCTTCAGTGTTTGATTAGCCTGTGCTCCTCCAAGAAAGGCATTTTTTAAATTAATCCTTATCCCTGGGTAGAGTTGCAGTTAAAATATAGGATGCACAGTTAAAGTTGAATATCAGATAAACATGCAATACTTGGGACATACTAAAATAAAATTCCTCATTTATCTGACATTCAAATTTAATTGCTGTCCTGTCTTTATTTGCTAAATCTGGCAATCCTATCTCCATAACTTCTCATCAAATCCTCACAACTCTTAAAAATAGAGATTGTACCCATTTTACAGCTGAAGAAACAAAGACTCAGAGAGGTTAAATAACCTGCTGAGATTACACAGTACATGGCAGAGCTGAATTTGAACCTCTGCCTTTCCATCTGCATGCTCAATGTCTGGGGAATGAATGAATAAATGAATGAACGAATTCAGAAGATGAGCAACTGGAGAACCTGTTATGCACCTTACTCTGAGTCATCATTCCCCGTCTGGAATCCCAGCACACTTCCTTATTAGTGAAATTGCTCACTGTGATGATGCCGCCCCACATTCCTCCTCTTGGGAAAGGGCCAGCTTCCAGAGAACAATGATGTTATAGATGAGGCCAGGCTCTCCCTAAGTGAAAACAAATCTCCCAATGCCAGGAACAGCTGGGGCTGAGGCGTCAGGACAGAACAGGCTGCTCATCCTGAGAAGCTACCTCTCCAGAGCTCAAGGCATGGAAGCTGACCAGTCACCACCTGCAGCTGCCCTCCTCTTTGGCTATGAGTGAGTAGAGGGCACTGAACTCTAGCTGTGTGACCTCAGAAAGCCTTCAGCGTGACAAGGCAGGTTTACAGGTACAGAGAGAACCACAGTGCAAGATGGAAGCTAAGTGCCAAGACAGTTCAAATATGCTCATGCCCAAGGTCTTCTCACAAGCTGTTCCCTTTGCCTGGAACTCTGCCTAGGGTCCCCCCCTCACTGCTGCTCAAGTGTCACCTCCCAAGGGAGGCTTTCCCAGGTGCCCTGTCTAAAATAGCATCCCTGACTAAGCTCTACCTTATCACTCAGTACTACCTGAAATCGCCTTCCATATTTCAATGTTTATTGCTGGTCTCTGTCACAGAACATAGGACCTTGAACAGATTTCTCTTTTTTATGAGACAGGGTCTCACTCTGTCACCCAGGCTGGAGTGCAGTGGCACAATCAAGGCTCACTGCAGCCTCAACCTCCCAGTCTCAAGCAATCTTCCCACCTCAGCCTCTCGAGTAGCTGGGACTACAGGGGCACACCATCACACTGGCATAATTTTTTAATTTTCTTTGTAGAGATAGGGTCTCACTATGTTGCCCAGTTTGGTCTCAAACTCCTGGGCTCAAATGCTCTTCTGCCTTGGCCTGGGATTGGAGGCATGAGCCACTGCACCAGGCGTGAACAGGTCTCTTCTGACTGCTTCTGTTTTCTTCACCACCACATCCTCAGCACCTAGAATACTGTCTGGCATATACATTAGGTGGTCAGGACACATTTACTGAATGAAAGACTGAATGGAAGTCTCTGTTAAAATATGTATGTGTGTGTGTGTGCGTGTGTGTGTGTAGATATGAGTATATACATATATGTATATGTGTGTATATATATATTTCTATATACATATGTAAATACATACATATGCATAGATACCCACATCATATATACACACACGCATGCACATATTAGTACATATAAATAAAAGTAGTGAAGTATGGGGAGACTTTCTGAGTAAGGCCTTCATGAGGACCCCACCACCACGCCTTCCCACCTGCAATTCTCTCTCCCTAAAGTGCACAAACTATTCATCTTTCAAAACCCATCTTTCAACCCCTGGTTGCTCTTTCTTTTGAAGCCTTCTGTACCTTCTCCCCACCCCAGCCCACTGGCAAGCCTGTTCCTCCATCTCTGGGCTCCTCCTTCAGCTTGCTGGTATTTCATTGTTGTGGTTACCACCCTGCATTATACTTTACTAAACTGCACATCTGGATGTCCTTTGTGGCCAACTGCATTTTCCAAAGAAGTAAACAATTGATCCCTTTGCACATGCTTTTTGGCAGGGTGACCTTGTGACTCTCCCATCAAGGGGTGGGATTCTTCCCACTCTCTTGAAAGTAGGCAACCCTGTGACTGCCTTGACCAATGATGAAAGTGACACTGTCAGTTTTGAACGTAGCCCTTAACTGACTTGGGAGTTTCTAACTCCTGACTCTTGGAAGCCAGCCATCATGTAAAAACAGCCATTACCCTGATACCTCCATGCTGTAAGAAGCCCAGGCCCTGTGGAGAGACCTTAGAAGACAAGACGCAATGTAGAAAGAGGGGGGTCGAAACGCATCAAGGCACCAAGTGTATGAGTAAGAAGCCATCTTGGGAGCCACATGCATCACAGATGAACTGCCAGCTGAGCCCTTCCTGGGTTCCTGATGCACACAATTAAATGGTTTCTTGAAGCCAATATGTTTTGGGGTAGTTGTTATGCAGCAATAGTTAACTGAAAGATTCTCAAAGGTAGGAATTCACCCTGCCTTCATATTTAACTTTATATTTATATTTATATCTCATATAAAGATATTTAACTTTATATCTCCTAGCCTAGAACAGTGTGAGGCTCATAGCTGGCTCAATAAAATTTGGCTGAATGTAATTGGTTTGCACTAAATTAAATATTCCCCAAGTTAGGAGGACTACTTCAGTAAATACAGTCAAAATGTAATCAGCTAAAGCTACTCCGTGGCCCATGTGAAAAATGGATGAGTAGCATTTATATGGAGATTTGCAGAATAATATATGCTGCTCTAAATGGAAGACTTTTACAGGGATGAAATAAAACTATGATTACCCCCAGTAAGTTTTAAGAATACTGTTGGTTATAACAGTCACTGTAAAAACATCACATAAAAATACCCCAGTTTTGTGCCTAATACTAGGAAGCCCTGCCCTGTTTCTTCATTCCCTGCAGGACCAGAATGGAGATGTGATACTTTGGCCTCTGCTATTTACCCGCAAGCAGTCAGAGACAGAGTCTGGCAAGCCAAGGTCTCTGTCTCCAGTAAAAATTGTACTTTTTATTGACAAAAAATTAAGAGCAGACTCACCGGGCATGGTGGCTCACGCCTGTAATCCCAGCACTTTGGGAGGCTGAGGCGGGCAGATCACAAGGTCAGGAGATTGAGATCATCCTGGCTAACACAGTGAAAACCCATCTCTACTAAAAATACAGAAAATTAGCCAGGCGTGGTGCCACACACCTGTAGTCCCAGCTACTTGGGAGGCTGAGGCAGAAGAATTGCTTGAACCCGGGAGGCAGAGGTTGCAGTAAGCCAAGATCACACCACTGCACTCCAGCCTCGGTCACAGAGCAAGCCTCTATCTGAAAAAAAAAATTAAGAGCAGAATCAATTTGAAGGGCTTCCTGTTATGTGATGGTATTTCTTGTAACGAAGAGCTATAGCTAGAGGATGCCTTCTCTGGACCATCACAAGGGGCCATTTCCTGGCCCTGGATGCTTCTCCTCCTAGATGCCCCCTAACTTCCTTCAATGGGGGTGCTTCCAGAAAGTATTCTCAGTTTAGCCCCCATCCCAATCTAGACTTTCCATCTTCCCCCACATCACAAACTCAGAAGCAACAGGGACTTGAGGACTACCTATTTCAGCAGCCCCCAAAAGAATCCCTAATCAGGAGCATGCTGTTTTCACTACCAGATTCCTTCCAGTGTGCAGGGCAGCTGGATGGGAATGAGCACAAGCTCCGCTCCACGCCACTCTCAACAGCCCCAGGTGTGAGCCCTGATTGTGCTACTTAATGACAAAGAGACCTTGGACAAATCCATGGACCTTCCTGGGTCTGCTTCCTCACTGGTGCAACAAGGCTAAAATGAGTTCATACCTCATGAGACCATTATGAAGATTAATTGAGATAATGTCTTGTAAAACTTTTGGAATCCAGTAACTATTGAACGAAAAGAGCAGCCATCTCCTTACGTCCAAGTAGCTTCTCTAGCTCGTCATTCATTTCCTTCTACCCACTGTTTCCTCTTAAGATCCCAGGCTTTGTCCCACCTCCCCACCCACCAAGCCCTACTGCCAACACCTGCCCACAGTCAGTTCAAATTTTGGGGAAAAATACATTGCAGAATGGGCATTTTTTTTTGTCTCCCTAGGTTTCCTTGTTTTCCTTTGGGGAATTCAGTCCCTCCTCCACTCTAGTGTGGTCTGGGAGCAGCTGATCTAGCCCCAGCTCCAGGGTTGGGGGTGTCCTATCTGGCCCAAGCCAGTCAGCATGGGCAGCCCCTGATGCCAACCCTGTCCCTGGGCTTCTCTTGTACATGAACCAATAATCCCCCCCTTCTGCTTAAGTGAGTTTGGGTTGGATTTTTTTTTTTATCACTTGCAACTGAAAAGAATCCAAAGATACCACACCCATTTTATCCAAAGAAAAAACAAACCTCCTTCCAATTCTCTTTGCTGGGCAAATCCTATAAAACTCTCCCTTCATAGAGAGCTCCAAAGCCAGAGAATGGAGCATCCACTTGCCTTATGAATAGCCTTGGAGATCCATTTTTCAGGCCCATCAAGGTGTCTACTTATTTGTAAAGAGTCTTCTGCCTTTATCACTCTTTTTTTGCCCATCTATTCAACCCAGAGGTAGCCCATGATCTTATATTTCATGTTTATCTCTATGCACTAAATACCCTGAAAAGAGAACACTTTCAGGTGGGTGAAAAGGGGCTCTCCTTCCAGGTAGGAAGAACCTCCTGAGCAACAGGAAAAGCAAGGGTGGTATCCAGCTCCATATCTCACAAGCCTGGATGAAGGACTAGGCTGGAAAATGGTTATCTTCCACTGGAAATAAACAAGGTCTGGCCATAAAGTTATGAGGTTGAGTGCTTTCTAATCCAAGGCTAATTTCTTTTAGAGCCCTTTTACCCACCAGGGTGATTTTAAAAGCAAATCAATCATTTTTAAAAATCAGAATTCACTCTTATTAATCAAGGCACTATATTAAAACCTACAGAAATATTAAATTAAGTCTGTGTTAAAGCTCAAAGTTGCATGGACTCAAGATTATGTTTATTATCATGCACTAGGGACAATGAATTTAATACAGAGGCTGTTCTGGCTCTACCTCTGCTTTAACAAATCTTAATGTGATCTGGAAAATGCCAAGAACATTCCTCAGTGGGAGGTGATGAGCTGGCCATGACAAAGGTGTCAGCCATCATCCCTCCACGAGGTCAATTGTAGTTCAGTGATTTGAGGGACTCAAGGTGAATCATTCAACAAACACTTGACTGGGGATGAGGTCTTAGAGAAACCTGACCTCTGATGTCCTGGGATTCACTGGCAGAAAACTGCAAAGCTGGGGCTGGAAATATCCACTGCCTTCTCTGACAGGCACTTACTCTGCCTGAAACACAATAGGTCATTAACTAGCTACGATAAGTACTATTGGTTGGCAACCCAACCAATTTCCCTTCTCTCCCTCTTCTTCACTAACATGATTGGGTGGTAGTGGTGGGAACACTGTTTGGGTAAAGAACTAAACTTCTTAGCCTCCCTTGGGGATATGGGTGCTGGGGGACTAAGTGCTGGCCAAAGAGATATAAGAAGAATTATTAGGTGGACATCCAGTGACGCTGCTTAAAAGAAAGACTGACTCCACTGGTAGGTACCCTTTTTCCTACCCTTTGTCACTCTTCATTCTGCTTAAAATGCACATGTGATGACTGAAGCTGTAGCAGCCATATTGGGACCATGAGGCTACCTTGAGACTGGAATCCATGTGTTAAGGCTGGCAGGGCAGAAAGACAGAAGGAGCCTGAGTTGATGCAGAACTACAGATAAGGTTTAGCTCTCTGTCCCCACCCAAATCTCTCTTGAATTGTAATCCAAATTGTAATCCCCAGGAGTCAAGGGAGGCACCTGTTGGGAGGTGATTGGATCATGGGGGTGGTGTCCCCCATGCTGTTCTCATGATAGTGAGTGAATTCTCACAAAATCTGATGGTTTTAAAAGTGGCACTTTTTCCTGCGCTCACACTTCTCTCTCCTTCCTGCTGCCTGTGAAGACGGTGCCTGCTTCCCCTTCGTCTTCTGCCATGACTATAAGTTCCTGAGGCCTCCCGAGCCATGCAGAACTATAAGTCAATTAAACCTCTTTCCTTTATATATGTCTCAGTCTCAGGCATTTCTTTATAGTGGTGTGAAAATGGACTAATATAATAACCATCCCAGCTTTGGACTGCCTACCTGCCTTGGACTGTTGTAAAAGAGAAAACCAACTCCCTACCTTGTTTAAGCCACTGTTAGTTTGGTCTCTGACACTAGCAGTCAAACACATTGTGGCATCGGATTGGCCAATACTTTCAAATCAAAGTTATTATTGGTCAAATATGGCACATTCACCTCCAGCCACCTTTAGCAATCAGAACACTCTATAAGTGAATACATGCATTTGTGCTCTAACTGAGGGAGTATTGACCAAGAGGCATCTTCATTGAGCAGAGAGCAGGAAAGAGATACAAAAGAACTGGAAGAGGTCAGACATGGTGGCTCATGTCTGTAATCCCAACACTTTAGGAGGCCAAGACAGGAGGATTGCTGAGCCCAGGAGTTCGAGACTGGCCTGGGCAACATAGGGAGACCCTATTTCTATAAAAAACCAAAAAAACAGCCAGGTGTGGTGGTGTGCACTTGTGGTCCCAGCTACTTGGGAGGCTGAGATGGGCAGATCCCTTAGGCCTGGGGGGTCGAGGCTGCAGTGAGCCATGATCGTGCCCCTGCACTCCAGCCTGGGTGACAGAATGAGATCCTGTCTCTAAAAATAAAAATTTTTAAATAAAAGAACTGAAAGATTCAAACCCTGCCCTAGAAGAGCTTACAGTCCAATGGAGGGGCAGGTCATAGCCACAGCAAAACACTTTCAACAGCAAAAGGACATACATGACCCATTGCCCAAGCTGTATTACAGACAGCAAGCAAAGCCTACGGGGGTTCAAAGGAGGAAAAAATGCTTGGATGGGAGCAACCCCAAGAAATACGTAGGGCTTGATTTGCAGCAGTGAAGCTGACAGCAGGGGAAGAGAGGAGCCATTCCAGGTGGGCAAATGACTTGAGCAGAAGCTTGGAATTAGGAATGACAGGGTTCATGGAGAGAATGGATGCTCTGCCTAGGAGGAGCAGAGGTTCCACTGAGGCAGAATTAGAGAGTGCCAGGATGAGGAGCTTGGACTTGACCCTGCAGTCAATAGGACAATAATAATATCAGAGCAGGGCTGATCTGGGGTGTTCAGGAGGGATGAACTTGGATGAGAGTAAGGCGAGGCTCCGATAAGAAGGTTGACCATGGTCCCTAGGTTCTTGAGATGTTCTGAGTGGGGATGAAACAGGACAGCTCTGGCCAGTGTGGGAGATGGGATAACAGTGACAACAGCATCACCATGGTCCTTTCAGCTGAGAGCTACTCTGGACAGCCAGAGGGACAGAGCAAGCCAACTACACCTCAGCTCTCTTCTCCCTTTCCTTCTCCCCATCCCCTAGGGAGCTGCTTGGATGGAAGCTTCAGTATCCATGCCCCTTCCACCACCCCCTCCCCCCAAAAAAATGAGGAATATGAATCTGGCATCCATCTGCAAAGAAGGATGCTAGCCCTGGACCCAACGGAAACTCAGGATTCCAGACACAGGATCACAGTGGCTTAGAAAGGAAGGGAACTGTCACCAAGAAGTCAAAAATTCTAGGACAGCTTAGTCTCCTGGAGGTCTCCCGTGTTAGGCTGTTCTTGCACTGCTATTAATAAATACCTGAGACTGGCCAATTTATAAAGAAAAGAGGTTTGATTGGCTCATGGTTCTGCAGGCTGTAGAGGAAGCGTGATGTTGGCATTGCTTGGCTTCTGGGGAGGCCTCAGCAAGTTTCCAATCATGGCAGAAGGTGAGTGGGGAGCAGGCATGTCACATGGCAAAAGCGGAAGCAAGCAAGACCAGGGAGGGAGGAGGGAGGTGCCACACCCTTTTAAAAGGCCAGATCTCATGAGAACTTGCTGTGGTGAAGACAGTGCCAAACCAACAGGGATCGAAACACCTCCCACCAGGCTCACTTCCAACACTGGGGATTACATTTCAACATGTGATTTGGGCAGGGACAAATATTCAAACTATACCAGCTCCTCAGGGATCACTTCACCCACTGGTTTTCAAACTGGGTTCCACTGAGTAGCATCCACTGATGCTGATCATAGCCAAACAATTCTGCTTTTTAATGTTTCACATATTGAGGTTCCCAGAAAGACTGCACACCAAACAAAGGGGTCACTATTAAGTCTGATAACCACTGACAGCTCAACTCCCTCCCTCACTTAACAGCTGAAGAAACTGAGGCCCATGGAACCCTGCACTCTCTTTCTTCTTACCCCCCTCAGTCTTGCACTGACTTGGTCAATGTCTACATTTCCTGGACAGCCTCACGGGGTTGGGGCAGTGGCATTCTCATTCACTGCTAGACTCCCCTGCCAGGGAGTCTAGTCAACCTCCAGGTTGACCCTCAGCTCCTGGGACAAAGCCTGTGTCACAAGGTAGGTGCTTCACAAGTCCCTGCTACAGTGCTATGGAAGAACGTGGATGAAGACAGCACAGTGTGTCAGGAGCAAAACCATGATTACTCAATCCCTGTCTGCACCTGCAGCTTGGTGTGGCCCAGCTATTGCGGGAGACAGCACTCAGGGGTATGCTAACAGTGCATCCTTGGCTCTTCTGCTCATAGAGCTCCCAGCAACCTGTGACAGGGCTTGGAGTCTGTGCCCAGCCCTTCCCACGGCCCGCTGTTCGCAGCCTGCATTACATCTCACATCATCCTAGATTTGAGTAATGGTGTGTGTTTCTCAAGGGCACCAACTGCATTGTATTCATCTTTGTCTCTCCAGCACCAGCCTGGCCAAGAATGGGCACTCAGCACCGCCCTTCTGTTTCTCTTCACCAAATTCCTAATTTTTGTAAGCATTTGGCAAATTTTCGAAAACATACCTGGGGATGTGCAGATTGTAAAGTGACTTAGCTAGAAAAGGGCTCCATCCTGGGAGATCTCTGGTGAATTTCCCAGGAGGGTTTGTTTGTTTCTTTGTTTGTTCCTGCCTGGTGCTTATTTTTTTATTCTCTCTAAAATAGGATGGGTGGCCACTTAATCGATTCTCCAAGGGTTGCATCGATGCTTCATGTAGCTGTAGGAAAAGGGACCAGTGAACTGAAAAAAAAACGAGGAGTCACATCACAGGTACCAACTGTTTTTCCCTTCCCCACCTCCAGATTCTGAACACAAATATCTTCCTATTCAGATTTATAGACAACACACAGCACCATCCACAGGGAAGGGGGAAGAGATGGGAGAAGGCTCACTGTTTGGTTTTGTTTAAATTTTGTACTAGATTCTATTTATTGTTAACAACTGCATAGCCCTGCACAGTGTGAGTGTGTATGCATTTGAGAATGTGTGAGATGCCTCAGTCAGAGAATGAAACTCTCAGAGTTACCTTTCTGAGGCCAGTCTCAGCTGGGTTTCTTTATGTCAAAAGCACAAGACCATTTTTTCTCCACTAAGCAACTCAGTTCTTGGGCCTTCTTGAGCGCAAGAAAATATCCAACACTTCAAAAATTATCAACTCCAACACATGAAAAGAAAACTGCAAAGCCATGATTAATAACTATGTAAATGGCTAACATGCTTAATGTGAAGTCAGCATAATTAATTGTTGACTTCAGTATTCACAACAATTTCGTTGGGGGGCAAAAAAAAAAAGTCTGGTTAGATGTTTCTCATTTTGGAAGAATTCCTGAGGATATAAAATAATAGCAGATAAATCAGAGCCCTCATAAAATAAATATGATATCAACACAGCAAAAACCATTCCACAAAAGCAAAATCATTACAAATTTTTTTCTAGCCAGGAATATAAAGGTAATGGTTTGTGTTTGAGTGTGACATGGGATGGGGCCTCCATAGATAAGAAGGCTGGAGTCTATGAAGATGTTAGAATTGCCTACATGACAGTTGGCAAATTAGTTATCAAAACTCAACCCACACTCAGAAGCTATGGCAGGCGTCCAATTTCTGATAATTCTGCTGAGTTGATATAGGCACATGCACATGCAACATACACACACACACACACACACACACGTGCATGCACACACACAAGCTCCCTGTTTCTCGGGCACTACTATAGCAACAAATACTTCCCATTGCTTAACCCAAATGAAAACACACTGAAGCTTCCTTTGATATACGATGTACAATCAATAACCTCCCACTTCTCCTTTCATAGAAAACTCATTTTAAGGAAAACATGATGACTGATTAAGATCCATAACAGAGGCCCTGTGAGCAGAATACATAAAGATTTTGATTGTGACAATCTTTCAGTGGAAATCTTTTAGCAGAGTAAAAACACAAAAGGAAGGGAACCTGTCTAGAGGCATGTCTCTCACCGGGCAGTCCTCATCTTTTCAAGAATCCGGTGCAACACAGAATGGCCTCTTTTGGGTGGGTGCGGAACAGATTGATAGCTGAGCCGAGGCATGTGGGGCTTAAGCCTCTGCACTTGTGTTTTCCTTCAGAAAGAGCTTGATCGGGCTGGGCCACAGGTTCCTCCAGAAAGGCCCACTATGGGAAAGGTGCAAGGAGCCCAGGACGGTGGCCCATTCTTTCTGGGCCTGTGGGATGTTGACTAAGGGGTTATCCGACCTGCAGAACTAGCAAGAGTGCAGATAATCTACAAGTTACATCCTCCTCTCCTTTTGAGTGGACATTCCATGGACTTCCTAACTTTCAAGTAGCAGCATCTGAGGTCTAAATCAAAATGCTCTGATAAGCTGAGTGCTGTGGCATACCCCGTAGTCCCAGCTACCCTGGAGGCTGAGGCAAGAGGATGGCTTGAGCCCGGGAGTCCAAGGCTATAGAGCACTATGATTATACCCGTGAATAGCCACTGCACTCCAGCCTGGACAATAGAGAGAGACTCTGTCTCTTAAAAATTAATTTGTTAATTAATTAAAATGCTCTGGGTGGCTCTCGAGGAGCCTCATCACCTCTGATGACTGCTGATAAGAGGGTAGGGGCCAGGGTCAGCCACAAGGCTTCATAATGGCCTTAGAGGCTACAGGGGACAGAACAACTTCATATGTCCAAGAGTTGGGGGATTATGTCCCCCAACATAACGTATTCCTTGGGTTGGTTGGATTATGTCCAAGGCTGAGTCAACCTCCATGTCCTCATTAGTCTTCAGATGAGACTTCCCAACCCTGGAATATTCAGTCCAGGTCCTCAAGACATTTGAGCACTAACAATGTGCCCAGAAAGAGCACTGGAGTGGAATCAAACATTTGCCCAGACTGCCACTTATTTGGTAACATAGGGCAAGATACTTCACCCTTCCCACCCTCAGCTTCCTCTTGTGTGAATTAGGATACTAACGCCTACCCACTCTACAACATAGGGCTGTTGTGAATATTAATAGAAATAATTAACAAGACGCTGTAAATTATGGAAGTCTAAAGAATTAATAATAATAAGGCGTTGTGGGGTTCGAAATTACAGTCAGTATAGCCTGATTAATATTAAACATCTCCTCCTGTCTTACTGTGGCCCCCTTTTCAGTTTCATTCAACTGGCAGGTGAGTTTGGTCCCTGAGGAAGTGGAAAGAAGATACAGATTTGAGTTAGTCAGGAGGAACATTAGGTTAAACCGGCTCAGATAGAGTATTTGAATTAATTAGTATCACACTGTTCTGGGGAAAAAAAATGGTTCTGGTCTTTCCAACAACAAAACCAGGTTAGAAACTGACAGTGGCATGTCCTTTTCCCATTACACCAGTACCTGGCACTCCTAGGCACTGAACTATTTCCTGAATGAAGAATTAGAAGAGAGATGGAGAGAGAACAGCAAGACCACAAACAACGACTCATAAGAGGATAGACAAGTGGTTGCTTTATCTTTATAATTCTACATTGCCAATTTGATTAAATCAACAATTATTCACCTAATGGCTGATTTTCCCCCATGGAATTGACCGGCTGCCTTAACAACATCTAGACACAGTTTTGGTGTCATCAGAGCATTGAAGGAACTTTCAACGTGTCACACTGTGCCCTTACCGTATGTGGCCAACACAGTTAATGGGAGGGTCTGGTGATGATGAGCCAGGTGGCTGGGTGGGAACCTCAGCCCCTACATCCCCACTGCATGGCCTTGAGTATCTGTTAGCCTCTCTGAGTCAGCTCCTCAATTGTGCGGTGGAACTAGTAACACCGACATCATCGGTGGTGATGGAGCAACTGAATGAGATACTATTGTGAACGTGCTCAGTAGAATCTGGTACATGGGAACCAGCCACATTAATAAGTAGGAAGTGGTGTGAATCACAACTAAAGAAAGAGAACAAAGCCTTGTTTCCTTTTCCCTGGGGCAGCATGGCATCGTAGAGGCACCAACTGGGAATTCAGAGGGCTGAGATCCCGATCCAGCTGAGAAGGAAGGACTTTCCACCTTTAAAACAGGACTTCTATCGCCCACTAGACTCACTTGCCTGCCAGCAGCTGTGCAACCCCATACAAGTCTATTAATCCCCCTGGTTCTCAGGTGTCTAGCTTGCAAAATCCATCTGATACCCAGACTGAAGACAGCGGGGCTGCGCCCGGAGAATTGTGAAGCTTCTCTCAGCTCTAAGATCCAAAAGTCTATGCAGACACAGCTTTCAACTTTGGATTAGAACGAGGTGCCATCTCATGGGCTGAAACTGGGTACAAAGGGATAATGGGCAATCATTTCCTTTCTGTTCTTCAAAGAGAAGCAAGCTTTGAAAAGGAGCGTTGTTCAGGGCTGAGAATTCAGAAATATGCAGGAAGACTCCCAGCCAGTTAACCAATGGTTAGCAACAAGCTCTGGATTTGCCTGTTAGTGAAGCTCCATTAATTCACAGTTCATTTTCACAGGCTGCAAATATTTATTCAGGACATACTATACTCTGGCAGTCTTCTAGGTGTTGCCGGGATAGTAATGAATAAAACAGACAAATATCTGTGCTTGCATGAAGTTTACATTCTATGGTGTCATCCGCTGAACAGTATGTTGAAGTGCCTACTATGTGCCAGATGCTGTGCTGGAGACACAAGATGATCTGTAAAGACTGATAGGTTAGTGGGTCATTCAGTATAATCTGATGAGTGTTATAATAGAGGTTTTCTATGACTGGGGAATGACAGTCCCAACAATACCAGCCAACATGTATCAAGAACTCACTGCCACACACTAAGTGCTTATAGACGTCACGTCATTCTGTTTTATCCCCAAACACTCCTATGAGGTTACCATGCTTACAAGGGAGGAAACTGAGGCTCAGAGAGAACTGGCCCAAGGTGACTCAGCTAATAAGGGACGATGCTGGGATTTGCAGCCAGACTGTCTTCAGATCCTTGATGTAACTTCCATGTGATCCCTCCCCTTAAAATCAACCAGATTAGACGATTGAGTGGGTAAGTAACTTAAACTGTACAAGTCACAATATCCCAAAGTCATCATTTGCTCACGTCAGCGTTTGGGAATGCAGGACTGATCCTTTCTGTTTTCAACCTCAGACCTTTGAGAGCCATCAGGTGGATGTGCCAAGTTTGACAAATGACAACAAGCACTTTGGCATGGAAGGTTGGGAAGTGTCTGGCTGGACAGGCTATTTTTGGTTCAGAGATGGCTTTGATGAGTTCTACCTCTGCTCCCACCAATCAGCAATGCCACCTGGGAGGTGAGGATGCAGCAGTGAAGGAGGAACACGAACAAGCTTTGCATTGGGCGGGTGGTGGGGAGGGAGCAGAATTGCAAACAATTGTCGGGGCAGGAGGAGGAAGGGAGAGTCATCTTCAACTGTGAAGCATCCAGTTGTTGGACCCTGAATTCTGCCAGTTCAGTTTATTACCAATATTGGTTCTCCTCATGCCCTGTCTTCTCTCTTCCATCCCTGTTGGGTCCTGGAGCTGCAAAGGTTCCAAGCGCAGCACTCTTTCCCTCCCCTCCTGGCCCTACCTCACTCGCCTAGCCTCATTCAGCTGCTTCTCTGAGACTCAGCAGGACACTTTCCAAGCTTGTCTCATTGGTCAAAGCCAAAGCACACATCCACTGTGGGATCCCAGCTCCGTGGGTAGTCAGAGCCTCATGGGATGCCAGAGCAGGAAGGACTTGCTCATTACCCAGGCTAGTGCTCTTCAAACTCTACATCTTATTCAAAATCCCAGTATATATAAAACAGATACAAGAAGAAAAACTCTGCTGATGTGTGTGTACAGGGTGGAAGTGAGAAGCCTCCCTGCCTTAATCCATGAGAACCCAGATCAAAATCGTTGATTTGGCCTAATCCCCCTGGTTTATGGTTTATAGATGATATACTGAGGGCATTTTCCCTCTATCCCCTTAGGAAAACATCACAAATATCCTCAGAATCATTATGGTTAGTGTGGTTCCCAATAAGTACATCGATGCTGCTGCTTTTTTTTTTTTTTTTTTTTTTTTTTTTTTTTTTTTTTTTGAGACAAGGTCTTGATCTGTCACCCAGGCTGGAATATAGTGGCATGATCATAGCTCACTGCAGCCTCAAACTCCTGGGCTTAAGTGATCCTCCCACCTCAGGCTCCCGAGTAGATGGGATGACAGGTGCATGCCACCACTCTCAGCTGACTCTTTACATTTTGTATAGAGATGGGGTCTTGCTATGTTATCCAGGCTTGTCTCGAACTCCTGGCCTCAAGCAATCCTCCCACCTTGGACTCCCAAAGCACTGGGATGACAGGCGTAGGCCACTGCACCTGGCCTCAATGCTGCTTCTTCATGGGGTCTGAAACAGTCCCCAAGGGTTGCAGACAGAAATACTCACAGAGTTTGGGGGTACAATGGGAGTAACTACCTCAAATACCACCTGATGCAAGGGACCACTTCCTCCTTGGGGACACACTATCTTCTGTTAACTTCTAGGACATTCCCAGTTCTCCTCCACACTTGGCTGCTCCTTCTCAGCCTCCTCTGCTGGTTCCTCCTCTTCCATCTGGCCCAAGGAAGGGCTCTGTCTTTGGTCTTCTTGTCCCTTCTATACTCACTCCCGCTGTGACCTTGCCCACCTCATGGTTTGAAATATCATCCACATGCTCTCAACTCCCAAATTTTTATCTCCAAACCATCCTCTCTCCTGAATCCGAGATACTCCTAAATGAGTATCCAATGGCCTAGTTAACATGTCCTCCTGGACACCTAAAAGATACCTCGAACTTTGCATGTCCCAAGCTGGAGTCCTGATTTTCCTGCCATCTCCAAACCTGCTCTTTCCACGGTATTTCCCGTCTCAGTTAAGACAACTCCTCCTCGTTGTTCAAACCAAAAACCCTTCAGAGTCTTCCTTAACCCCCCTCATTCCCTCACACCCCACACCCAACGTATCAACAGGAGCTTGGTGAATCCACCTTTTAGTTACAGCCAGAAGCCTCTTCCTAGCCCACCTCCACTGCTACCACCCTGGCTAGGCCACCATCCTCTCCTGCCTGGGCTATTGGAAGAGCCTCCACACACTGGTCTCCCTGCCTGCACTCTTGTTCCTCTGGAGTCCATCTTCAACCAGACCTGCCAATCCTTATTCAAAACCTGCCATGGCTTCCCAGTTCACTAAGAACAAAAGCTAAAGTCTACAATGACCTATGGGGCCCTACCCAACCTGGCTTACGGTGACCCTGTGCTTTCACCTTTCATTACTCTTGGCTCACTCATGCTTCTCCACCACAATGGGTTCTTAGCTCTTCCCACCTCAGTGCCCTTACACTGGCTGTTCCCTCTGCCTGAAACAGTTTTCTCCCAGATACCAACATGATCAATTCCCTCACCTCCTTCATCTTTCTACACAATGTCATCTTTGGAGTGAGGCTACCCTGACCATGTTATCATTGCAACCATCCCCTACTCTCCCGATTCCCCTTACTCTGATTTATTTTTTCCATGGCAGGTGTCACCTTCTAACACTTTTACTTATTCAGTGTGTTTAGTACATAGGGTCTCTCCCACTAGAATGTAAGTTCTGTAAAGGCAATGATTTTTTTCTATGGACTGATGGATGCTAAGTATCTAGAACCATACCTGGTATATAGTAGGCTCTCGATAAATAGCTATTGAACAAATGATCGAATGAATGGTTATTTTACAGTTTACAGAGCACTTCTACATCTGAGGATTCCTTTGAGCCTCAAAACAATTCTGAGAACCTGGTATATTTCTTATCTCCATTTTTCTGATGAGGAAACAAGTCCAAAGAGGTTAAGTCACTTGCCTGAGATCAACACGGCTTGTTCTAGAGTGGGCCTCATGTCCTCTTCTGGCACTAAACCCTCAAGTGCTGTCTCATCTGACCACAACGATGAAACCTCTCCAAAGCCCAGGTCCCACCCAGCTCTCTCCTGCCTCCCTAAACTTGCACCCCAGCTTGCTGATGACTATACTTGCAGGTGCAATGTGTGGTCTGCTTATTTTGTCCCAGAGGAGCATATGAACTCACTCTGCTTCTCTACAGACCATCTGACTTAGATATACACTTCCAGGCCACCTTCTGACCCTAAGACCCTCCTCCAGAACATAGGAGGAAGAGTCATATGCTGCCCCAACCCCTGCCTTCTGTTTATACACAAAGAACAACTGGACATCCCATAAGGAATGAGGGAGGGGGTGAAAGCAGCAGGGATGGGTGGGAGAGACCCTTTGCAGATCAAGAAGCAGCTCCCCTTGTTCTTCCTTAACAACCGTGGGCTGAAATGTGAGGTCACTAAATGCAGCTTAATAATGGCTTCTAGTCTCCTACTGAGAAACTTCTTTCTGGCCTAAGCAACAGGCACAGCTATAGCAACTAGTTTATTGCTGTCTCATCTACCACATAAAGAATTGTGAGTCGGCTCATGATTGCTTCTTTTGCACAGGCTTCTGGGAAGCTCAGCAGTGGCAAATCTGTAGCCCAACCCTAGCAGGGCCAGTAGGAGAACAGGGCCTTCCTGCGGGTCACAACATCGCATGGCATGGCCTGGGGAGACTCACATCTTTTCCCCTCCTCCCCTCATGTGTACTCAGGCCTTGAGGCAGGATGGCCTGGGTTCAACCCCGGCCTCTGCTGCTACTAGCCACACAGTCTCAGGACAGCTGCCTCACTTCTCTGCCCCTGACAGGGGTGACATTACTCACCCCAGGTGCCTGGGTAAGTACTCCTCAGTCATCTTCCATGATTTCTGAGTCAGATCTCTCTCACATCCCATATTCCCTCCTCAAGGCACGGTGGTTAGGAACAGGCACCGAGAACCAGGGATGGAGTCCCCACTCTGCATCTTACTAACTGTAGGACTTTGAGCAAGTCTATCCATCTCTCCCAGGTGTCCTCATCTGTAAAACAGAGATGATAACCATATCTGCCTCATAGAGCAGCTAATGCTCTCCATTACCTAAAATGGTGCCAGGAGTGTGGCAAATGGTCAGAATGTGTCAGATTTACCATGACGATGTGCTGGGCTTCTTGGTTTTCCAAAGCATCGCCTCATTAGACAAGTCCAACTCTATCAACACCAGAACCTGGTGTGATCATTATTTCCAACTCCCATGTGAGGGCAATGAGGCTCAGAGAGGTCAGGAGCGTGAGATCACACAGCAGGAGCCCGCCCTCCTGGGCCTGAGCCAAGTGACGCCTTCCCATGCACTGTGGGGCTCAGGGAAATTCCTACCCCAGCACACGCTCCCAGCTGCCCCTCGAGGCTCCACATTACGGGGCCATCAGAGGCTGTGAAGGTGCCAGCTCACTCTTGGTCTGTTTCCTTAATCCATAGCTCTCATGCTGGGAGAGAGAAAACTTAGAGCAGCAGCCGAATCAGCGAGAGCAGCCAGCGGACCCAGGTGGGGAGAGGTGGGGCGGGGGGGAGGCCCCTGCCCTCCATCCACCATGGCTGCCGCAGCAAGCTGAACCAGAGGCCTATCATCTGGCCCCAACAATGGCAGCCGCAGAATGGCAGGAGCAGGACGAGGGTGGGGAGGGCTTCCAAAGGGAAGGAGATTGAGCAGAATCAGAGGCACTGACATGGGGATGAGATTCCCTGCTCTCCGCCCTCTGCCTGCCCTGGTGGTGCAGACTTCCGGGTGGGAAGGAGGAGCTCCAATCACCTGTGCACAGATCACACTCTTACCCACCCCATCCCTGCAGGCTTCCCCACCGCTTGTGTCACCACCAGCACCAGGTGGAGGAGGCTGACAAGGAGCCTTCCACCTCTGAATGCCTGGTGTCCCCGGTCCCCCCGGAAGCCCAAGGAAGGGGCAGCTCCCCTCCTTGCAGGCACCGCCCTGGACCTCACCCCGCAGTCTAAGGAGGCTTTGTCCCCATCAAACACTCCTGTCCCCGTGAACCTCTCCCGCGGAGCAACTGTCATGGGTGCAGTTTGACATCTGTGTGACTATCTGTGAGTAAACTAAACCCGCCTCAAGCCTGCAAGCTCCATGAGGGCGGGAAGCACCTGTGGCTTTGCTCACGAGGGTGAGCCCAGCCCCTAAACCTCAAAGTCAGTATAGAGAAGGCTGAAAGGGGCTGAGGGAGGAGTCAGAGAGAGAAAAAGGCTGTGCCACGTTCCCAGTACTTGAAATGCTCAGAAGCATCCAGAGAAAGAAAGGTAATTTAAGTCTGGTGTGCTTCTTGTGCACCTCATGACTCTCTGGGTGGTAACCTGAGCTGGGATTAGGAAGGAACAATGACACATACCACCCAGAGAAAATCAGTTAATCCATGCAGCCTCAACCTCAGAGGCAGGCACTGTACTTTAAGATTTCACTTACCCCTCCTCAAAGCTTCCTCTCTGATTTGCTTTTAGATATGAATGCACAGGGGAACTGTTAATTTGATTCTGCATTTAGCACACCTGATCTTCACAGTAATTGCTTTCAGTGGTTCAGCCACGATGTAATGGGGACCTCCACATGCTTCCAGACTAGCATTTATTTTACTGTGAGATGTATAGCAAAACCGGAGATATTACAGCAGGATCGTAAATTAATCTCCAAACTGCTGTCAACAATGCAGGCTTTCATCCCACTATGCTTCCCACGAGTGATCTGGTTTAGAGGAGACAATACATCACTGTGGATGGGAGATGGGCTCTAAAAATCCAGAAACCTGGGATACCGGTTCCAGCTCTGCTGTGTGATCTTGGACAAGACAGTAGCCCACTCTGGGCCTCAGTTTCCACATCTGTAAAATGTGAGCGTTAAACCAGATACTCCCTTGGAATGAGGCATGGTATGGTGAGAGGAAGGTCAAATTTGAAGTCCCTCAGACTTAAATTCTGTTTTTAAATTGAGTTCTCTACTTATTGTCTTAGCAACTTTGGGCAAGTGACTTAATGTGTCACAGCCTCAGATTCTTCTTGGGTAAGATGGGGATGATGACAATACCTAACCAGCCTTCCCACATTCACCCTTCCAGTCTGCTCTCTGAACTAATGCCAACATGATCTTTTTAGAACACAAATCTGATCACTGCATCTCCCTCCTTAAAAGCTTTCAAGGGCTCTCCAGTGCCCTCTATAAAAGCCTGCTTAATCTGGCAGATGCTTAGTCTAACCTCTACCAGGCTCCCTCCCTACCCTCTCCCATTCCAGCTGCAGTGGCCATTCTACCTTCCCCCCATGCTCTCCCCTGCCACAGGCCCTTTGCACATGCAGTTCGCATTCACCAAGTATTCTTCCTACCTTTTCCACCAACTTGGCCATGCTTCAGCCTCATTCCAGCCTCACTCAAGCCTCACTTCCCCATTTCCTTAGTGAAGCCTTACTCCCAACCACATCAAGAGCTGTGGTAAAGACTCTAATAGCCTGTATGTCTCTCCTTTGTTGCACATGTCACCAGTTGTAAATTTACATCTGCATAATTCTTTGATGAATAAATTAAACCCAGCACAGGCCTGCAAGCTCCATGAGCACAGGGACTGTGTTGCTCAACATTTAACACAGTGCCTATAGAAACAGTCATAATGAATATAATAAAACCCCACAATAGCCAACATGTATGAAGCAATTTCTACATGTCAGGCACTTCCCAACAGCCTTCAGAATTAGTTTTCACTATTACTCTCATGTAACAAAGGGAAAGACTGAGTCACAGAGAGGTTAGGTAACTTGCCTGACATCACACAGCTAATAAGTGGTCAAACTCCAGAAGTCTGTTTACTGACAAACTATAGAAGGCTTTTCAGTCACTCAGTAAATGAGGCAGCATCCAGGGAGCAGTTCTTTCAGCAAGGAGGCTGGCACTGCTTAAGCACTTAATAATAATGATGATGATTATTAACAGATATTGAGTACTTATGATGTGTCCAATATTATTCTAAAGACTTTTATATGAATTAACTCATTTTATTCTCTCAACGACATTTTCTTTATGAGGGAGCGCTACCATTACCCTTATTAAGCAGACGAGAAAATTGAGGCTGGGAAAGATGAACTGACTTGCCCAAGATCACCTGGCTTGTAGGCAATAGAGCCAGAATTTGAACCCTGGTCCACCTAACTCCAGAGTCTGGGAAAAACCCAGCTCTGTGATTCTCAGGGAGGACCAGCCTCAGTCTCCTCTGCAGTAGAAATGGAATCAATTCTCCTGTATGTCACAGTTTTCTGAATTCAGTTCTACTTGTCAGAGGGCCTGTGCTTCTTATGGCACTGAGCCCACCCAGCTAGGCAGGGTATGGGGGGAGCTGTCCCTGGAGACGATAAAGCCAGCTATTTCCCCAGGGCCTCCAGCTGAGGAGGCTACGCTGTGATCTGATGGACAGCTGGGAAGTGACTCATGGGGCAGCCAGGGAGAGGGGAAGCCGGCGGGGACTAAAAAAAGACCTGCGACCACATATTATGCGCAAGGACAATCATCAACCATAACCACCACCACCAAGGCAAGCCCCGCCCTCTACCCCACACGCCCCTCAGGCTGCACTTGAGTCCTTCTGGGATCCTCCTGGGGGCCCCTATGATCCAGATTTCACCACTGGGCTGCGGCAGTTCAGCGCACAGGCTTTTGAGCCCAAGTCCCAACTCAACCACTTTGTAGCTGTGGCATCCTGAACTAGTTGCTGAACTTTTCTGAGCTTCAGTTTCTTCCTCAGCACAATGGGGATAAGAAACAGTCATTTCACAAGAAGAGTGTGGAGATTAAATGAAGTCATGTGTGTGGAAATCCTGGAATAGTCCCTGGTTCAGCAACTGGTAGTTCCCCCTGTGGATAAAATGCAGGAGAAGGCAAAGAAGAAAAGACAGACACGTAATACAATTTTCCTGGAGCACCCACTCATTCAGATTGACATTTTATCTTTGCATCCATTCACTGTTAAACCACTCCACTTTCAGTATAGAATGATACTATCGATAATAATAAAGATAAAGATAACAGTTATTAAGTGCATATGAGATGCTAGGATCAACGTTTCACATTCATTATGTCATTTTGCTCCTCACAAGTATTCTATAAGGCAGTCTGCCAAATGCCTAATTCAAATCTGGCCAGCCACTTGCAAGCCATGTCACCTTAAGCAAATTCATTAAACCTTCTGTTCCTCAACTTCTTAATCTGTAAAATGGGGATAATAATAGCGCCTGCTTTGTAAGGTTGTTGAGGTGGCTAGCTCTATTAAATGCTTATGCCCCTCTGATAGTGTAGACTTGTGGCTGTGGGTGGCTGCCCTACCAGAGACCATAATTTTCAGTCCCCTTACATCTAGTGGAGGCCATGTGACTGAGTGCTGGTCATTGGAATGCGGAAGGAATTGACACACCCACACCCAGGACTGTATTATAATCCTCCACATTCTCTATCATCCTCAATCAGAGACATCTCCGGGAGTTATGCGTCCAAGATGGCAGAGCTTTCATCAACTTCCACAGACAGAGCACCTCTCTCCCCTGCCATCAGGTGGACTCTACATGAATGAGAAAGCAGCTTTCATTATGTTCAGCCACTAAGACGTTAGGATTCATGTGACACATCAGCTAGCATTACCCTAACTAATATAGAACTTAGTTCCAGAAGTGGGCTGCTTAAAACATGTGACATTGGCTTAGAAGTCAGGTAGCAGGTTATACTAGAGCCTGGAAAACTGGAGACCCATGTGATACAGAAGTAAAATGTCTCATTAAACTGTCATCTATGATAACTTGGCAGTCAGAGCTCATGCCTACTAAGCCTGTATGCTCTATAGAAAGAGACTGGAAAAAATAATGGTAATAAAGTTTGCTAACTGTTCCTGGCTGAGTTAAGTAAGGTACTAGGGAAAGAGAAGAACTCAGGCCTAAATTAACCAGTTTGAAAGTAATTTTAGAAAGGAATAGTGGAGAGGTAAAAACAGACAACTATGTCTAAACCCCAAACAATAAGACAAAAGAGTAAGAAGACATTTAAGTGAAATAAGTATCATATTAAGAATATAAGCTTCCCACCTAAGCCTGATGACCTCAAGGTAGCTGCCATTAAATTTAGAGAGAAAGACAGGTGTGGGGAAAAGGAAGTAATAATCCGGGCTTCAGAATTAAGTCTAGGAAATAACTCTGGGTGTGGCTACTGGCATATTAGACATCATAGATGAAAGTCTTACTAAATTGTTGAGGGAATTGCATTGCAAAATCTATAAACCTTAATTTTAATAGTCTTTTACTGTTACTGCATTAAAACAATCCTTGGGCCCCCAAAGGTTCAAGGGAAAGAACTAGGTCACAAAAGATTTAGAGCCCCCAAGAAGGCCATACTGCCCACGACCAACTTCAGGTGTGGCCACGAAAAATAACAAAGAAAATCCTCCCACCAGCACAGCTGAGAGGGTGGAGAACAATGAACTAGTAAATTCCCATCAGGAGAAGAATCAGGACCTAATCCAGGAACTTCACCCACTGCTAGGATACAACCCCACAATGCTTGTTTGGCAAGATTTCATCACTACTGAGGACCAGTGACTGCTGTGTATGTACCTTCCATGATTATCTTTTCCAAATGGGAGTTTCATGATGGTTATCCCACCCTGCTCAGATGTGGGATATGAATGCAGAGTGGCAGATAATATGTTTGTTTTGCCTCATGGGTCCCTGGACCATGGTGAGGTGCCACACTCAGCTTCATGGATAGGACTATCCATGACTCTGAACTTTAAGTTGGAAGCAGGGATCAGAAAAAATGTGGGTTCCTCCCTTAGGGAAAAGAGAATGTGTTTTGTGCATAGGAAGAAGGAGGCACACATGTATTGGTGGTCAGAGAGCCAATGATACATCTGGTCAATGATATGTGAACACAAGCAACGTTAAGTCCCTCCAGGCTTAGCCTGTACCACCTTTCTTAAGCTCCTCCACACTCACTGTCTCCCTCTACCTACTGGCTGGATGAATGCCCAAGAAAGGTACTGAAGGCCACACGTAGAAGATAAAAAAGGCAAACTCTCCATTAATCAAGCTTGGTACCTAAATGACCCTCCTACCTCCTCCAACCCCACTCCTCTCCCAATCAGAGTTTAAGTGTATAAGAAATGAATTTCTATTGTGTTAAGCTACTGAGATTTCTGAACTGTCTTTAATAATAGCTGATGAGGCTAGGCACGGGGGCTCATGCCTGTAATCCCAGCACTTTGGGAGGCGGAGATGGGTGGGTCACCTGAGGTCAGAAGTTCGAAACCAGCCTGGCCAGCATGGTGAAACCCCTTCTCTACTAAAAATACAAAATTAGCTGGGCATGGTGGCGCATGCCTGTAATCCCAGTTACTCAGGAGGCTGAGGCAGGAGAATATCTTGAACCTGGGAGGTGGAGGTTGCAGTGAGCTGAGATTGCACCATTGCACTCCAGCTTGGGCAACAAGAGCAAAACTCCATCTCAATAATAATAATAATCATAGCTGATGTAACTATAATGATTATAATACATAAAGCTCTTAAAATAGTGCCTGGCATATAATAAGCTATACAAGTAGAGCTGTTTATTATAATACCCATTTTACAGATAGGGAAACTGCAGCTTACAGGTGTGCCTGACTCCAGAGTCAATTACTATTTTGTATTTACCTCTCAGTAGATAATAAGTCTGGTAATAATGAGTTTGGTGCCTGGCTCAAGGTCACAAATACTAACAGACTCAGAATTAGAGGCCTTCCTTCTATTCAAAGTTCATCAACTCCACCCTTGACCCTAGGTCTTCAGGTTAGTCCTTCATTGTTTTTATTTTGTTATTTTTATTTTATGTTTCAGGAAAACACCCAACTTGCAAATGCCCCAGCACTGAACTAGCAAGTCTGCACAGAAAACCAAATCACCCTCTACTGACCCAAATTCCAAGTTTTAATTTACATCAAGCCAGTTAATTAAAAAGGTGCTCTGTGAGCACAGATACTGCTACAGCTGGCTCTTGAGATAGCATTTGTTGTTCCTCTTAAGAAGATGGGTTCCTTCTGTGACATTTTTGGTCCAACACAGCAACACTGCTCAACAGAACAGCATGACCAGTTTAGGGACAGGAAAACGGCTGAGCAAGCATTTTGTGCAGAGACAATAGAAAAGCAAGAGACCTGAAAACCAACCTACCCTCCAAGCCCGTGCTGACAGGTGAGGGCTTGTGTTAATTAATGTTTATTAAGTGATTGGGGATCCCTGAAATGAAAGAGACTATTCAAAATCCCACAAGTATTATTGTTATCTCCAGCCTGAATAATCTGTTTTTTGAGGAAGCCATTATTATCGAGTGCCTACTATGTGGCAGGTGCTTTTATAAACTGTATCTGATTTAATCTTTGTAATCGCCCATTGCGTTCGGTTTGGGTTTTCTTCCTTTTTAAAATACATCTTCTTTTGTTTTGTAATCCTCACTGTACAGATGAGAAAACTAAGTTCAGCAAAATTAAGTCACTTGCTAGAGAATGGTAGAGTGAAAATTTGGGGTTAGATCTAAGCGTAAGGTCTTTCTCCCTTTCCTTTTCATCATTCCATACTGCCTCTTCTGGTCTGCCCTTCAAATTGTACATTTAAAACAAAATTTAATTCAAGAATGCCTATGGCTTTTTTTTTGGTGTGTCTTTTTTTTAACTGAAGTATATTTCACAATACAGTAAAATGCACAAATACTAGGTTTACCATTAGATACCAGCCTGGCCAGCATGGTGAAACCCCGTTTGACAAATGCATATACCTCTGAACCCACATCCCAATTAACATAAGGGACTACATCCAGAAAGTTTCCTGGTGCCTCTTCACTAAAGGTAGATATCATTGAAGTTTAAAGTACAGCAAATAAAATAAGCTAACTTAATTTTATTTTATTTTATTTTATTTATTTATTTTTTGTAGAGCTGAGATCTTACTATGTTGCTTCAGCTGGTCTCAAACTCCTGGCCCCAAGCAATCTTCCTGCCTCAGCCTCCCCAAAATAAGCTATTTTCCTTTGACCAAAACAATCTTTTTGTGACCCTGGCCACAGGGCTGTGCCCATGGCATCAATCCTTGAGGTGGGTGTACTGAGTTACTTGGTGCTATAATAAAAAGGAGGATCCAGTTAAAATTCTGTGCCTTGTTGGCTCCATCCACCCTAAGCATGTGGGAATGAATTAATCTGGATGTGATAGAGATGAGATACCATTGTGCCTGGATTATCACAACTATCATCATCATTTTAGCACCTACCATGTGTCAGCACCAGATTATAATAGGCTTAGACACATAATCTCATTTAATCCTTGTAATTATTACCTCTGTTTTACAGCTGAGGAAACTGGAGGACAGAGAGGTTGGGTCGCATACCTAAGAACACACAGCTAGAAAATGGCAGCCTTGAAATTCAAATCCTAGAGGTCCAACACCAGAGGCCATTCTCTTAACAACTGCCTTTACAGGTGATAGGCAAATTTTAAATGCCTAAAATTGAATGAGCTGGTTATATTCGTTTAACAAGCAGTAGAGAGTATCTGTTATACAAAGTGCCAGGCACTGTGCTGAGTGATATGGAAGGAGACACAGAGATGAATAAGAATGGAGAAGGGGTTGCATCAAGGAAGCCCTCACAAGGAAGCCAGGAAGACCAACTCATTCTTGAAGCCAAGTCTTCAAGGATGAGTAGGAACTGGCCAGCTCTAAAGGAGTTTAAGGTACAATGACTAGCACATACAAAGGCACAGTGAAGTACTTCTGCCCCCTCCTTATTTAGCTCAATCAAGTCAAATTTTTAAAACTCCACAGAAACATCAATGGGGTCCCTTAGCTGTTTCCCCGGCTCTTCAAAACAGCTGAAAATCAACACAAAACTCCAGTTCTGAAAAGTTTTTACATAACCACAAAGTTCATGCCCACAGCAAACCCATGGATGTGATTTTCGAGAGCCCCTAAGCCTTCTTTTGCTTTAGAGCCAATTATCTTTTTTTTCTGAATCCAGTCCCATGTGACTAGTTTCACAATTCCTTAGCCTGGGCAGTTTAGCAGCAGCAAATTAGAAAGGTGGACAGGTACAGAAATGGCAGTAAGAAGGGGCAACCAAGGAAGAAGAACTTGGAGCCAGTGCCTGCCTGTAGTCCCAGCTACTCGGCTGAGGTGGGAGGATTTCTTGAGCTCAGGAGTTCAAGGCCAGCCTGGGCAACATAGTGAGACCCCTTCTTTAGAACAACAATAACAACAAAGTAGAAAAACTTGCAAAGATGATTCAAGAAACTCAAAAAGCAATAGCTTCTTTCAGGACATCATTGTATAATACAGTACAATAGCTTGCTCAACTCAAAAAGGTATCTAATAAGCTCCAACTGTGTACTAGGGCCTCTCTTAGGCTTAGCAGGGGATAGAAAAACATGAAAAATCCAGTTCTGCCCAGTTCCATTTGATAGGAACAAAAAGTATATAATTCAGGAATTATATGACAGGAAGGGTCTCTGTTCACCTGTGTGGGTAATAAAGGGCAGGTGGGATGCCTGAAGGCAGGGAACTCATCTGTCACTAAAGAGTCATACAGACAGGAGTTAAGAGTACGGACTCTGGAGCCAGGCTATCTGCATTTAAATAAGCAAGATACTTAAGTTCCCTATGCCTCAGTTTCTTCCTGTATATAATGGGTACTGGGGATCAAATGGGTCAATATACAGAGCCCTGCTGGATACATGTTAGCTGTTATTACCTCTTACCCAGCACTTGCTCAGACCCTAGAATTCGGCAACTGTAATAAGTTTCGATAAACAAATGAATTCACAAATGAATAAATAAATGATGCTACCAAGTTAAAGGAGGGAAAATCTATTATGTAAGGTATGTTGTCCTTAATAAGGCTTGCAGATCAGAAAGACTCCGTACAAAATAGTTTAAGAAATAGGTTTGATGTTTAATGTATGATTCCAATACCTAAGGAATTAATCACTCATTCTTTAACTCTTCTGCATATTCAACCTGCCATTTTAAACAAGCCCAAAGAAAAGGCATGAAGAGATCACAATGAAATCATAGTATATCTCATACCCAGAGGAGGCTGAAGGGGCCCCGAAACCCAAGAGTTAAGCGCTGTGGTGTGGGAGAGGTTGTGATGGCAGCAAACCCCAACCGTCACACACTCACCCTGCCCAAAACCAACTCTGTGGTCTTCTCCTTCCTTAAATTATACTTCCTCCAAAAAGGGTAAACACAAAAACTGTTTTTAAAAGTTGTTAAGGTTCATAAAAGTAAAACCTATTTGAAAAAATATAGAAGCAACTACCACAGAGCTACAAGAGGACCTGGGGGTGTATTACATATCTAGCCCCCTATTTTACAGATGAGGCAACTGAGGCCCAAAGATGTAAAGTGACTTGTCCAAACTCACAACTTCAGGATAATGGCAAAGGCAGAAGTAGGGCAGGGTGACCAGATTTCCACACTAGAGCCTTCCAAAGGAAATACTGAGGGAGAAAAAAGAAGAGGTTCCAGGCCCAGAAGGTGGGTAAGGAGCTGGGAGTCAGGGGCAGCAAAGAGTAAAAGATGATTGTCATGGGAGCCACCAGGAAGGAAATTAAGCCCCTCTGTGCTTTTTGGTGGAGGTAGGGTTTCAAACAAAGAGCAATCCAGTCCAAAGCTCCCAGGTTTTGCAGGTGAATCCCCGCATTCTGAAGAAGCACATACAAAGCCCAATGCCTTCTCCCCAGATGTTTCCATCTTAGTCGATATTTCAGGATGTGTGTGTGTGTGTGTGTGTGTGTGTGGCCTCGAAGATATCCTCTCTTTGAGGGTTGTGCCCTGGCTGGCAGCAGACGGGGAAGGGCTCTGGCAAAGAGATCCCGAAGAGTCTCCGAGATCAGTGCGGATTCCCCTCCCCAACACACACAAACACACACCCGCTTTGCTCCTTCCTTCCCCTCCCCCACTGACGATCAAATCCAGGTGAAGGGACCGAGGGCGGCAGGGTCGGTTTCCAAAGGCTTCGGCTGGAGCCGGGCGCCCTGCGCGCCCGCTTGTTCCTGCGCACACTCACAAGCACACTTACACACGCACAGACGCGCGCGCACACAGACTCTCACACGCACATGCACACCCTTGGCACCGCCCACCGCAGTGCTCCTCCAGCCCCCGGGAAACAGACAGGCAGCAACATGAATGAAATCTGCCCAGAAAGACTGCATTTCAGCTCCAACCGCGCAACCTCTGGCCAAACCGCCGAATATGTAACAAAGTTTTATTTCGCCTTTAGAGTCTCCAGTTACGTTTCTACCATTTCCTGTGGAAAATTGAAGCTTTGAAGTGTCTAGCTCCGGCTTTCGCAGACGGGCAGCACCGCCAGCGCGAGCTCTCGAAAACAAGCGCCCCGGCCCCACCCCCTTCAAGGACAGAACTGCGGGTTCAAACCTACCCAAGTCAGGCCTTCAAAACAGTGGGGCATGAAGAGACGATGATAGAACCTGCTGGAAACGACGCCCTAAACTAACAACCCCCTCCAGAACTGCCCCCCGCCAGCTCCATCCTGCCCAGATCCCCAGAGGCGCTCCTTCAGCCAAGTGGTGAGAGCTGCAGCTCCCTGCCAGAGGGAATGGAGAGGCCAAGAGCTGGGAGGCTGGAATTGGGGGCTTTGTCCATCCCGCAGCCCCCACCAGCTGTGTGCTCTAGCCCTCAAAAACTGCTCTGGAAAAACTTGGCACCGACAAGTCTTCCCGCACCCCAGTCTCACCACACACACCTTTACGACTGTCTAGGCCGTGCAAGCTTTCAACCATTCAGCCGGTACGGCCGCCAGGCCCCTCCTTCCCCCGTGCACTGCGTGCCCCCCGAGGGAGTGGGGAAGTGGGAGCACTGGATTGCGGAGAGCGGAACGCGCCTCCTCCCAAGTCCTAGGGAGCCCAATTCATGCGCCCAGGGAAGTGGCATCTTCAAGGTCAAAACAAACAGTGCAGGGGTGGAGTATATGTACTAAGCGCAAATGATCTCAACCCTGCTCCAAAAAATGGTGCTGGGTTTTGCTCACTGCCTGCTGGAGGCAGCTGTCGCCCCGCCCCGCACCGGGGGCGGAACCTCGCGCTCCCGGACCTGGGACAGCACCAGCAGCGTGAAATACGCGCACCCGAGTGCAGGAGCAAACAGGCAACCTCTTGTTCTGGCTACCTCCAGCCCGGCCGCCTCCTCAGCGGCTTGGGACAGCAGCGCGTGGCTGGGAAGACGCGGGAGGGGGACGCGAGGCAAACTTGCGCCAAGAGTTGGCCAGGTTAGGTGAGAGGGAGTGGCACCCGCGCAGACACTTACCGCTGGCGTTCTTCCCGCAGATCAGGTGCTGGTAGGGCTGCAGGAGACCCCAGATCTCCGAGTCGTTGTTGACCGTGTGCTCCAGGGTCTCCACGGTGAACTTGGGCGCCTCGTGGAGCGCATGGTGGTGGTGATGGTGGTGGTTGGCGGCGGCTGCCGGCGGGACTGCGGCGGCCGCGGCGGCCGGCGGGGCGCAACAGCTGCTGCCCCCGCTGGCGCTGCTGGCTGCGCTGCAGGCGCCGCCGCTCGCCGCTCCTCCCCCGGGCGCCTCCCGCTCTTTATCCGCCGCGGGGGCCGCACCAGGGCCCGAGCTCGGGCCTGGGCCGGAGCCCGAGCCTGACCCAGGGCCACTGCAGCTCCGGGGCACCCCGGAGGCCACGACCCGCGAGTAGATGTCCCGGAAGAGGCTCTCCATGCAGGCTGTCAGGTAGATGGCGGCGTGCTCGTGGATGCGCAGCGCCACGCGGCTGTCCACCATCCAGCGATACACGCGGCCCACGGAGAAGGTGAGGCCGCAGCGGGCCGACTTGCCGCGGCCCAGGCGGTCGCCGCCGGCGCTGCTCATGTTGTAGAGGGACAGTGCGGCCAGCGCAGCCGCCGTACAGTGCGCGGCCAGGCCCCAGGACAGCACGATCTCCATGGCGCTCTGGATCTCGTACTTGGTGCACTTGGCGAAGCGCAGGCTCAGGCGCTGCGCCTCTTTGGCTATGCGCACCAGCGCCCGGCTCACCAGCGTCGACAGCTTGGCCAGCGCGTCCTTGGGCAGGCCGCCGGGGACCGCCGGGCCTGCCCGGGGATCCCGCGAACGCAGCAGCAGCGCCTCCAGCTCCTGGAGAGTCCAGGGGACCTCGTCTAGGTCCGGCAGCAGCCGCGAGCAGTGCTGGCCGGCGCAGTCCAGCCCCTCGGAGTCTTCCACCAGGGCAGTGTTGACAGTGTCAAAGCTGTTGTGCCGGCTGTGCATGGAGTCAGCTAGAGGCGGCCAGCAGCTCCCGCCATACGGGGACGCCGGGTGCGAGTCGGAACAGCACAAAGACAAGTTGGAGGAGCGCACCGAGTCCGCCGCGCCACCATAACCCGAGTCCAGCGTCAGATCCTCCAGCGTTCTCACCACGGGCTTCTTACCTCTCCTGGCCATCGCTGCGCCACTTCATGCTGCAGCCGCCTGGGAGCCAAAGGGAAGGAGCGGCGAGGAGCAGCGAGTGCCGCGGGGCGCGGGGAGAGCCGAGTCCGCGCCGCCTTGGCTCACTTTTCCACTAGCCGCTGCTACCAACTGTTAGTACTTTCGGCTGCCTCCCGGAACTGCCGCCGCTGGAATATACAGAGCAGACCCTGGAGTCATCTTCCAGAGTCCGGGCCGGAGCTGGGCGCAATGGGGAGCGAGCCAGGCCGGGAAGGAAGCTCCCGCCGGGGCTTGCCCCTTTCTTCCAAAATAAAAAGTGTCTAGACCGCTCTTCCCTGAGCCCCGCTGGGCGCAGTAGCCACCGGGCGCCGGCCACGGTGTTCGTGGGACTGAGACCACCCCAGATGCCGCCGCCGCCGCAGCTCCGCGGGCAGCTGGCTCCCGGCTCCCGGCTCCCAGTTCCCGGCCCTGGTTCGCTCGGCGCCAGCCTGCCCTGCACCGGAGCGCAGCAGCGGCCGTGGCGGCTGCAAACCTTGCCGAACCCCAGCAAACCCCGGGCAGCCAGTGGGACGGGCGTATGCAAAGCAGGGGCGGCGGAGAGCCAGTGGAATCGGAGAATGCTAATTACCTCGCTTTTTTTTTTTTTTTTTAAATCCCTCCTCCCCATGCGGCCCCGCCCCTCACACACGCCCCCGGCGGACACCGAGGCTGCAGGAAGTGGGGAGCAGTGGCCAGGGACTTGGGGAACCCTTGCAAGCGTAGAGACGTGGATGCTGCCCCCTGCTGCTGTCCCTGCCCGCATTCTCCCGGAGGGTGGTGGGTTGGGCCGGTGACCTCCCCACCTAGGTGTGCTCTCCACCGCGGTTCACAAGGTGTCTGCCTGACGGTCGCTCTCTCCCCTGCGGTTCGCATTTCACTTTTTTCCCCCCGTAACACCTGAAACATGGTTTTCCTCCCTCTCTATTCCCACTTCGGGTACGCAAACCAATTAGTGCGGCCCTCTTTCAGCCGGGGTTTGCTCCAGCATGGAGGGAAATAAGCCTGTCGAGCGGAGGCCCGTGGCGGTGGACACCACTGGGAGGCCGGATCTCCGGCCATTCGCCACCTGCCACTAGGGCGCGTTAACTCGATTCCTTTCAGTAGCCAGGAGGACCCTGTCCCTGCTTCAAAGTCCTGGGCGTGTGCTGCAGGGAGGGCTCAAGCACCACTTTGCCATCCTGGTGGGCATCTTTCCAAATAGCTCGGCCTTCTTAAAAGGAGTAAATTTGCTCAAAGGAGAATCTTCTTTCCTGACTAAAGAAAGATATAATATATATATGCATGGCTTAGCTGCATTCCTGTGTCAAATAGCATCGTGTCATCTACTTGTCTGTCCCCACCCACCCAGGCAGAAACCATATCTTACACACATGGGGATTCCTAGCTCCGCACACTGTGTCTCTCAGCTTAGAATCCCCTCCTATAGGAAGCTGGCCCAGATGTTTCAAGACTGGCTTCGGTGCTTCCACTGCCTCTATCCCCTTCTGTGGTTGCTGATTTCTGGGCCCTTGCAACACTAGGTTGCAAAAGCCTGGTTACTTGTCTGGATTCTACACTGGGCTAGGGGTTCCCATGCATAGTCCTGGCACAGTATAAGTGCTCAGTAAATATTTGTTGTAAATTGATGAAGGACGTAAGGATATGCTTTTAAATTGTTGCTTTGAATGTTCAACAATGGCCAACAGGTATATGCAAATATGCTCAACATCACTAATCATTCGGGAGATGCAAATCAAAACCACAATGAAATATCACTTCACACCTGTAAGGATGGCTATTATCAAAAAGTCAAAAGATAACAAGTGTTGGCAAGGATGTGGAAAAAAGAGAACCTTTGTACACTGATGGTGGGGTGTAAATGAGTACAGCCATTATGGAAAACAGCATGGAGGTTCCCAAAAATAAAAATAGAACTACCATGTGATCCAGCAATCCCACTTCTGAGTATACACCCAAAGAAAATAAAATCTCAGTCGAGTGCAGTGGCTCTCGCCTGTAATGCCAGCACTTTGGGAGGTTGAGGCGGGCAGATCACTTGAGGTCAGGAGTTGGAGACCAGCCAGACCAACATGGTGAAACCCCATCTTTACTAAAAATACAAAAATTTGCCAGGCATGGTGGTGCACACCTGTAGTCCCAGCTACTCGGGAGGCTGAAGCACAAGAATTGCTTGAACCCAGGAGGCAGAGGTTGCAGTGAGCCAAGATTGCACCACTGCACCTCAGCCTGGGTGACAGAGTGAGACTCCATCTCAAAAGAAAGAAAAAAAAAAGGAAAAGAACATCTCTGTCTTGAAGGGAGAGATGCACTTCCATGTTCATTGCAGTTTATTCACAATAACCAAGATGTGGAAACATATCTAAGTGTCCATCCACAGATAAATGGGTAAAGACAATGTGGTGTGTATATATCTGCAATGGAATATTATTCAGCTCTAAAAAAGAAGGAAATCCTGTCATTTGCAGTAACATCATGAACTTGGAGAATATTATCCTAAGTGAAATAGGCCAGACACAGAAAGACAAGTACTGCATGATCTCATTTATACGTCGACTCTTTAAAAAAAAGTTGAACTCATAGTAACAAAAAGTAGAATGGTGGCTACCAGGGGCTGGAGTGTGGGCAAAAAGGGGACAATATTGGTCAAAGGCCACAAACTTTCAGTTGTAAGATCAATATGTTCTGGAGAGCTAATGTATAGCATGATGACTATAGTAAATAATAACATGTTATATACTTGAAATTTGTTAAAAGAGTAGTCTCACATGTCCTCATCACACACAGAAGGTAAATATGTGAGGTGATGGATCTGTTATTTAGCTTGATTGTGATCATCATTCACAATGTACATGTATGTCAAAACATCACATTATCCACCCTAAATATAGATAATTTTTATTTTTCAATCATACCTCAGTAAACCTGGGTGGTGGTGGGAGTCAATAGACTTTCTCAGATAATCTCATGAATTGTCTCATGTTTCTCATACCAGTGAGCCTCAAATCTGCCATTGCCCTATAGCTGCTATGCTCATATACATGCTGATCACCTCCCACTTTGACTATTATACTTTCCTACCAACTGGTCTCCTGTTCTCCTGCCCCTACCTTCTCCAAACCATCCAGCCCAAGAATCTTCTGAAAGCCTTGTTTTCATTTTATCATTTTTTGTAATTATCAAAAAAGAAATTCAAAGGCTCTCCATTACCTTCCAGATAAAGTTTCTACTGATTAGCTGAATTTCAGGGATCTGTTTCCAGATCTCACTGTGTTTCCAGACTCTTTCCATAATATCATAAACCTTTATAAGGGATGGATGGCAAGGATGTGGAGAAAAGGGAACCCTTGTACATTGATGGATGGCCAGAATGTAAATTGGTACAGCCATTGCAGAAAGGAGTATGGAAGTTCCCCCCACCCAAAGAAAAAGAATAAAAATGGAACTACCATATGATCCAGCAATGCCACTTCTGAGTATATACCTAAATGAAATAAAATCTCTATCTTGAAGAGATATTTGTACTTCCTCTCTAGGGTCTCATCACCCCAGCCTTCTGAACACACACTCACACTCATGTAGACACACAGATATACACAGATACACTCACACACCTACACACAGAAACATGCATGCACTCATAGGCAGGCATACTCACATACGCATGCACCCTATGCTGCGGCCATCCTGAAATCGCTTGCTGATTTTCCAAGGTAACATATTGTCTCTTGCATCTGATATGCCTTTGCAAATGCTGCTCCCTTTGCTTGTGGCATTCTTCTCGCACCTCCACTTCTCCATCCTTCCTTCTCAACCATTAATGTTCAGATCCAAGCTTAGCTCCACTGTGTTTTCCCTGATGCTGCCTCTTCTCCACCAGCCCCGACCTGGGAAGGTGTCCCATTTCTGAGCTTAGGGCTTGTTCCCAAGGCCTTTCTCTCTTCTCTGTATGTTTCCCTGGTGATCTCACCTACCCCATGCCTTCAGCTACTATCATCTATCTAAAGTGATGAACACTCAGTAGAATGCAGGCAGCAAGAGAATCCTCATTTTCTCCATGAGGGAAAAACCTCATGGAGAGGGAAAAAGGGACTGAAAGCAATGGGCTGTATGTTGACTCTTTCACCAGGTTGACTTGGGTTCCAGTACTATCTCTGCTGCTTTTCCAATCGCGTATCCTGAAGTCGCTCATTCAATCCCTTTGCACATCTATCTCCTTGCCTTTGAAATGAACAAAGTAATCGCACTCACTTTATAGGGTTTCTGGGAGTGGGGAAGGGGGATTAAATGAGATTTTAAAAATATGCTCTGTAGGATTTGGCACAGTGTTCCACCTTGATAATAACCCTATAAATGTCTGTTAATAGCTCTCACATTTTCCTGTTTTCTGTAATAAGCATTTATTTCTTATAGAGTCAGAAGAAAAATAAAACAAATGTTTCATTAAAAATTCTACTTATCCTTCAAGACTGGGCTGAAATGCCACCTCCTCTAGGAGATTTTGCTATTTCTCAGCAGACATGCTCTTTCCTCTTCTTATGCTATAAATGTCTTCTCTCCCCTTGCAGATGGCACAATTCTTAAATGCAGGGATCTTGTCCACAACATAGTGCTAGTACGAATGAATGTGATCCTTAGAATTATGAATAAACCAAAGCACACGTCCATTTGGTTGACGAAGGTAAATCATTCATGATACTGTTAAGCAACTGGGAGTGAGTGATCCCAACACTGATAATAATAAACAAGTCAATCAAATGGTAAATATTAGCCCCATACTATTTGAAAATTCAGTGTCTGCAAGCACAAAAAATTAAGAAAGTTTAAGTCAGCCAAAATCCCATGCCATGGAGGTAACCAACATTAACAACTTCTTGTAGTATTTCCTTCTAGCCTTTTAATTTTTTCCCCAGCCTTTTTGTTTAAACACATATATTTTAACGTAATTGGGATTATTCTGCAAGTTATTTCACATTGTGATTTTTCCTCAAAAAATTTTCTCAAACTTTGTAGTATAATAATTTCCCCATGCCATCACATATTCATCCAAAATATTCTCTCTCTCTCTCTCTCTCTCTCTCTGTGTGTGTATGTGTGTGTGTATGTGTGTGTGTGTGTGTGTGTGTCTACAAGATATTCTTCCATTGTATGTTTATACTTTCATTGGCGTTCAGATTCCCCCTTTGGTTCTTTCTGCTTATTAGCTGGTGTAAGTGATGCTGGGAGGAAAATTTTTGTACCTAAATAACTAATATGGTTCAGCTGTGTCTCCACCCAGCTCTCACCTTGAATTGTAATAATCCCCACGTGTCAAGGGTAGGACCAGGTGGAGATTATTGAATCACCAGGGCGGTTTGCCCCATACTGTTCTCGTGGTAGCGAATAAGCCTCACGAGATCTGATGATTTTATAAAGGGGAGTTCCCCGGCACAAGTCCTCCTGCCTGCTGTCGTGTAAGATGTGTTTGCTCCTCATTTGCCATCCACCATGATTGTGAAGCCTCCCTAGCCATGTGAAACTGTGAGTCAATTAAACCTCTTTCCTTTGTAAATTACCCAGTCTCGGGTATGTCTTTATTAGCAGCCTGAGAACAGACTAATACAATAACTATTCAAAACTACCAGTAATATATGTTATCCTCTAAGAAACGCTACTAGGCTATAAACATATACTAAAGATTAAAAATATATTTAAAAAATCAGAAATTAAATTACCAGGATTATTTTGCCTACCAGATTGGTAAAGGTTTATAAAACCAGTGATGATGAATGTATGTCATGACAGAGCATACATCTGGGGAGGGTAGTTTACTGATATACATCAATATGTCAATGGGTATTGCTTGCGACTTCCCAGAAATCGTATCTTCTGATATTATCCAAGGGGATCCTTATACTTTTTTAAAAATATAAAGGAAGCTCTTGATCATGTTGTCACATAGGACTTTGAGAAACAATCTTAAGCAGTTGCAAAGAATAATGATGGTGACCTTTATTTCTACAATATACTGGTGCATGAAGAAATGTTTTTAAAAATAGGTTTGAAAGAGTATATGTACTATGATCCTGTTTATGTACAATGCCTTATGTAGAGCTAAATATGTATATAAGTGTGTCAATTTGCTTGAAAGGCTAGAAACAATAGCTATAATTAGTTTGTTGGATTTCTGGTGATTTTTAAGAAGTGAGGTCTCACTCTGTTGCCCAGGCTGGAGTGCAGTGGCAGGAGTGCTCACTGTAGCCTCGAACTCCTGAGTTCAAGGGATCCTCTTGCCTCAGCCTCCCAAGTAGCTGGGACTGTAGGTGCATGCCACCATGCCAGGCTAATTGAGTTTTGTTTATTCTAATTTTATTCTGATGTTTTCTTCTTTTTCTTTTTTTAAACTTCTGAACATTTTATAATAAACAGATATTATTTTTATCAGAGCCACAAAATTATTTTAAAAGACAACAATTTTCACCAACTATTTTGAATCCTACCTGTCAATCAGAGTACTAATATAATACTTTGCCTTTCAGCATTTTAGAAACCAAAGAGTAAGCACAACAACTAATCCAACAACCATAATACAAACTAGCCTCATTTGGCTGAACTCAGACATACTGAGTTCTGAGCTCATACATGTTGGTGTTTTCTGAGCATCTACCATGTATGATTGTACCAAGCAACACCACTTGGATTGAAGCCTGTCTCTACTACTTAACTATTAGGTTGGTGCAAAATTATGGTTTTGCAGTTAAAAGTAATGGCCTCTGCTCTTCATCTTCAGTCGGGGATAATAATACATTCCTCAGAGGCTCAGCTGTGAGGTTTAAATGAGATAACTAGAAGTGTGTCTGGCTAGCACTGTAAATGCTCGATAGTGCTGGTTACTTTTATTATAGGTCAGGTACGGTGCTATGCGGCAGGAGGCTATGGGGACTCAGCTTCCCTTCGGGAGCCTGCCTTTGCTGAGCTTTTAGTTGAAAAAAGGACTTTAATAAGAGCTGCAAGTGCAATGAATTTCAGAAAAGGGGAAGTTTGAGAATTACACACATGAATGAACAACTTCTGTATGTTTCACTGCATCATTTCTGAGCACACCCCATGCAGATATCAGCTGTCTCCCAAATGCATATGTGTAAACCTCCGCAATGATCCTTGTGCTAAGGCTAATGTCTGTGTTGTGAATGGAAGACTCTCCTACTGGGTAGATGATTATAAGTGAACCTACCCAATTTCAGTCTGCTTCAAATCAGAAGGAGATGTATTTTTCCACTTCTGAATTCTCTCCTGAAATAGAATTGCAAAGTCAACATAATGGCTCGCCCGTTTGCAGAGCAGATAGGTCACATAACCCAAAGAGCTTTACTTATTTTATTTTTTTGAGGTGGAGTCTCGCTCTGTCTCCCAGGCTCCAGTGTAGTGACGTGATCTCAGCTCACCGCAACCTCCTGCTCCTTTGGGGTTAGATGTGGCTATGTGCCTGGCTTTAGCCAATGAAAAACAAACAGAAGCGATGTGGCGTGTAACTTCCAGGTGAAAACCTTAAAATGTCAGTTTTATTCTTATGGCCTCCACAACCTCCGCCTCCAGGATTCAAGCGATTCTCCTGCTTCAGCCTCCCGAATAGTTGGGATTCCAGGTGCCTGCCACCATGCCTGGCTAATTTTTGTATTTTTAGTAGAGATGGGCTTTCACTGTGTTGGCCAGGCTGGTCTCAAACTCCTGACCTCAAGTGATCCGCCCACCTCGGCCTCCCAAAGTGCTGGGATTAGAGGTGTGAACCACCATGCCTGGCCTCAAAGAGCTTTAAAAAGGCACCTGTTAACTTTGGGGACTGTCAGAGCATATCCCAATGTGAGCATGGCCCTCCTAGCAGTGATTCTTTATGTCTTGGGCATCAGGCACCCTTTGTCATAGTGGGAAAGCCATCATCTCTCTCCCTGGAAGCACCCTCTCAACACACGCTTCTAAAACTGATGAGGCAGAAAAAGGGGTGGAGACCATAAGAATAAAACTGACATTTTAAGGTTTTCACCTGGAAGTTACACACCCACATTGCTTCTGTTTGTTTTTCATTAGCTAAAGCCAGGCACATGGCCACATCTAACCCCAAAGGAGCAGGAAACTACAATCTTAACACCCACCCGTAAAGGGAACTGGAATGTTTGTGGACAATCATTACAGCTACCACAAATGCAGCGTTCTGCTCCACCAGGAATGTTATTCTATCGGAGGTCAGTTTATTGAATTGACAGACTGGAGGAAATGCTGACCTTTCTAAGTTCATTATCTTCAGGCAATCTGGTCTGTTAAAATCTGAGAATGTTGGTGACAAGCACTCAGAGAGCAGTAAGAAAATAGGACAGGCATTTCTTGGGTCTCGCTTCCTTGGGGAGACTTGACCTGACCATTGAAACCCCAAGCTAGATGACGTTCTCCTACTATCAGCTCTCGTAGGATATTTACTTCTCTTTCAGTGCATGTGTTCTGGTTTTTATTATAGATTTATCTCATTATTGCTTAATACCTGTCACCCCAACTAGACTATATGATGCATGAGGATGTTGACCTATTTGTCTCATTCACTACTGTAAACCTCATCAACTAGCACATAGCAGGTACTCAAGAAACGCTCATTGGAGTGAATGGATAGGTGTGTTAGCACAGAATCTGCCCCCAAAAAGTCTTACCCTAAAAGTCTCTATTTCCTAAGCAGATTCTCTCTAGTCAGTGACTCTGGGAAAAATGGACCAGCCTCATCTCCCCAATGGCTTTCCAGTGCACCAAAGTTCCCTAGTAATATGCGAGCTCCACAAGGAAAGGCTCATTCTATATCCCCAGCATTTACTAGGTACTCAAAACATGTTTGTTGATTGAAGGAATGAAAGAATGAATGAAAGGAAACTACTCCACAACCCAAGCAAAGCCCCTGGAAGGAGGATTAAGAACTCGTTCCTCTTTCCCCCGTATCTTCTCTTTGCAGACCCCACACAGGAGAGCCTATGAGAATCACTGATGGGATCTGAGACCAGGAAATCAATCAGATAATTCTTGAGTAACCGCCATGTCCCTCCTGTGGAATTCTAAAAATGGAGAGAGAGTCTCTGTCCATTAGGAACTTCTGCTGTAGGTGGGGAATGTGTCAGAGTCCAGCCAGTGAATAGAAGCCACTCTAGGTGTTTTAATCCAAAAGAATCTAATACAAAGAATAATTTACAGCAGGCATGGGAGAGCTGAGGAGTTAAAAGGACAGGGAAGGCTGGGTGCGGTGGCTCATGCCTGTAATCCTAGCACTTTGGGAGGCCGAAGTGGGTGGATCACTTGAGATCAGGGGTTCAAGACAAGCTTGGCCAACATGGTGAAACCCCGTTTCTACTAAAAATACAAAAATTAGCCGGGTGTGGTGGTAGGTGCTGGTAATCCCAGCTACTCAGGAGGCTGAGGCAGGAGAATTGCTTGAACCCGGGAGGCAGAGGTTGCAGTGAGCCAAGGTTACGCCACTGCACTGCAGCCTGGGTGACAGAGCGAGACTCTGTTTAAAAAAAAAAAAAATGGACAGGGAGGAGGCAGCTGAAAAATTCGCACCAGCAGGCAGCCTCAGCCACCCCCAAGGCTGAAGGGACAAGGAAGGAAACGGTACTACCAGAAGCCAAGCTAACCGACAAGAGCTAGAACCACAGTGGAGGCTGAGCAGGAAGAAGCCTATGTTGGGAGGGGCTGTCTGGCAGGAACTGGAGTCAAAGGTAAGACACAGCTGCTGCCAGGAATACAACCTGAAGCAGACAGAGAGGGACAGAAAAGCCCAGGGATCTCCTCTCCACCTACCTCACATCTTCTGCCAGGGCCTCCTGCTGGCTAAACCTATCAAGCAGCTGGAGGGCAAGAGGGTCTGGGAAGGGGAGTTCCCCATGATACAAAGTAGGCAAGGCAGGGCAGGAGAATGTCAGGCATGGTTATGAGTATAGACAAGCGAAGGACCATCAAGGAGATAAGACACACATGTAGGTAGTTTATCATATTGTAAGACAGGTATTTATTAGGGAGGGTATCCATGTAATGCCTTCCCACTGTCCTTATCCCGGTAAAATCACTCATCACCTTCTGTTGGGATTGTTACCAACAGGCCCTCACTTGATGTCCCCAGTACCAGACTTACTGTCCATGCAAACTTACCTCTACTCTGCTGCCTGGATCATTCTTCTACACTAGCTCCCATTGCATCAGAAGGTAGTAGTGCTGGTCTCTGTCCAACCTCATTAGCTACCACCCTGCTTGGATAACCAACACCCACACTCTTTAAAAGCAAATGACAGTTTTATAGTTTCTTAAAGATAGTGTGTGTCTTTACTCATGCTGTTCCCTGTATTGTACTCATGCTGTTCCCTGTATTGAATACTGTTACTTTTTTTTTCCTGTTGTACTCCTATGCATCCTTCAAAGCCCAGGTCAAATGTTACCATTTTGGTAAAAACTACCACACTACTCCTATCCTGCCCTAAAGAACTGGCCCCTCCCTTTGCTCTGCTTCTTTAAAGCATTGAACATGTACCTCCATTACCACCCTTATCAATAATTATGAAGTACAATCAATATCATTTTAGTAGCTGCAGCAACCTTCTGCTCTTTGTGCAAAAGAGTAGTATCAATAGTCAAGAGTGTGGACTTAAGGTCATAAAGACCCATGTTTAAGTACCAGTGGCTGGTTTGTGGTTTTTAAATAAGTTTTTAACCTCTGAACTTTCATCTATTGATTGTTTACGTGGGGAAAATTGTATTGCCTCCTAAACCTCATGGGGGGTTATAATGACATAAGACAATGCCTGTAAGTGCTTTGCACAGTGTATGGCACATAGACAGACTCCCCACAAAATACCAGCTAATCCTAATCTTTTAACCAAAAGTGGGATCATACTGATTATAGTCCATTTGTTTCATTGAAATATATCATGTTTTTCTGGGTCTTCAAATGTTTGCTTATGTTTTTCCAGGTTTTTATTTTGAAAAATTTTAAACAGAAAAGTTGATAAACACCCCATCCATCCTTCACCCAGATTCACCATTACTAACATTTGCTTTCTCTCATTCTCTGATATTTTATATATATTTCAGAAATAACATATATATGGTTTTTTTTTCCCGAACCACTTGAAAGTGTGCTGCAGACATCATTAACACTTCAGCATGTATCCTATATTCTCCTACGAGGAAACATAAGATCATTATCACACCAAGAAACAGCATTGACATAATAGTATTACCCAACAATATATATTTCATATTCTAGTTCTCCCCAAAATGCCTTTTATAGTGGTTTTGCTTACATCATCTGTAACGATGATATAGTCTACTAAACGGATGTTCAATAATTTGCTCACTGAATCTGTTATTATTGGACATTTGTGCCCTTTCCAGTATTGCATAAATAAATGTACACAGTTCTGAACGGAAGCCATTTACAGCTATTTCTTCATATGTTTGACTTCTTATTTTCTTGGGAAAGATTCTTGCAATGGAATTTGATCCAGGGCAATGTAGCATTCTAAGAGCTTGATGCATGATGCTAAATTGCCCTCCAAGAAGACTGGACCATTTTATATCCCTCTAGCAGCATGCAGCAGTGCCTGTGTCTCTACTACATCAGCACCACTTGCCATGATCATTTTTTTCTATATAGCACTTTAAGAGAAATAACTAACACTTATATACCATTCGCAATGTGTCTGGCACTATTCCAAGTGCATGAAATACATCAGCTTGCCTTACAACAACCCTATAATGCTTATTTTACAGATGAGGAAACTGAGGTCCAGAGATTTAACAGCTTGCCCAAGACCATACAAGTGGGAAGCAGCACCCCTTTGGCCCTGAGATGTATTTTTCTTATTGGTTTATATGAACTACTTATAGAATTAAAATACTAAGTCTTTCTCTGTCATATATATTGTAGATAATTCTCCATGGCTTGTCATCTTCCCCCTTAAACTTATTTATTTACTTTGCTTTCAGAAGATTTTAATTTTCTCATGGTTAAATTTGTCAGTTCTTTAAGGTTCATAAGTTTAAAAGGTCTTCCCTATTTTGAAGAGATAAAGATTATCTTTTATCTTATTTTATATCTGTACATTTTACTTTTGAATTGTCAGTCCATCCCATTTCTTCTTACCTTTACCAACACCAGCACTGCCTTATTTCTATAAATCCAGACCTCAAATGCCTTCCAGGGATAAAAATGGGATATCATTAGCTGACAGATTGATCCCAGCACATTTACTATCTCACTAAATCTGGGACTGTCACGTGAATTCCTCAGGAGCAGTGCACCAAAGACAAAATAAGATTGCCATTTCAGTCCATTTCATAAACGAGGTGTCCCTTTCTCCCTGCCTTCTACCCAAAATATGAAACACTTGATACACATTAGACATCAAGATAAAAGCCTGGCTTCCACTCACTGCTTCTCTGAAGCCGGCTATTGTGGGGAAGACCTTAGTTGTGGAGGGAAAAGCACGCCAAGAATTCATTTCAATTTGAAAGACCTTTTCAGGGCTTTATTTGTTCCAAGCTTTCTTTAAACATTTTAAATACAGTACAATAAAGTGTTTCAGGCACTATTTCAATACGGATTATGTCTTCTCTCCTTGAGGACAATTCTCTGCTTTAATACACATTACTGTTTTCAGTGAGGCTTTGATTTTAACATTAGCCAATTCCATTCTTTCTCTTCTTTGCTCTTTGCCCAAATATTGTGACTGAAACCATTACTCCCAAAATGAAACAATTAGCTAATTTCCAAATAGACTTGGGGAGAAACACAGCAGCACCATTGCCCAAGCAACAATCCGGTGCCTGCAACATCGTAGATAATCAGTCAATGTTTGCTAAATAAATTAGTGAAAGTGTGCATGTGGTCCAGGAAAAAAAGAATCACTATTAAGCTCATAATGAACAAAGGGGGGCATACTCTGAAATATTTGCAGAGGAGTTTAAGCCTTTAAAATTACAAGTTTAATTCATTAACTCATTTAGCTTATAGAAAATTTTCTAATGTGTGTTCCACAAAACATTAGCCCTATAAAATGCCAAGCAAAATAAAAATGTTTAAAGTTTGGGATCCACCAAACACTTTCTACCCCTTTTAGAGATTCATGATTAATATTTACATATTAAAGCCTCTGTTTATTCCTGTAGGATAGAAACAGGTTTAAATTAATTAACTCCATAAGGGCGGAACTCAGTTCTATTGTAATCACTAAAATGTCCCAAGAGCCTTGCATCATGTGCTTTGATATTTATCGAATGAATGAAAGAATATACTAGTTATCTATTGCTATGTAAAGAATTATTCTGAAGCTTAGCACTTTAAAACAACATTTTAAAACATTATTTCATAGATTCTGTGGGTCAAGAATCCAAGCACAGCTTAACTGGGTTCTGTGCTTCGGAATCACACAGGCTGAGATTAAGGTGTCATCCTGGCTGCCATCATCTCAAGCCTCACTTGGGGAGGATCCACTTGCAAGATGACTCACATGACTGTTCATGGGCCTCTGGTCCTTCCTGGCTCTTGGCTGGAGGCTTTAGTTCTTCGTCATATAGGCAGCTCCCAACAGGACAGCTGGCTTCCCCCAAAGCAAAAGAGCAAGAGAGAGAACCCAAGATGGAAGCCATATTCTTTTTATAACCTAATCTCAGAATTGACATCCCATCACTTCTATTGTAGTGCATTTGTTAGAAGTGAGTCAATAAACCCAGCCCACACTCAGGGAGAGAGTATGAGACAAGGGTATGAATAACAGGAGATGCAGATCATTAACCAGCTTAGAGGCTGCCTATCACAAAAAATGACTAAATGAATTTAGCATTTTCCATAATTATTTGACCCCCAACTTTTTTTCAATAGCTTTTAATCTAGAAAAGTACTTCAGAAACATGTAGGACAATATGTGTTGAATGCTGAGTCCTAGGGCATAAGAATAAAACACATTCCTTTATTAATTTATTCCCTTTTAGAAACCAAAAATGGTTTGAATAGCTAGTACTATCTCTTCAAAGAGTGCAAAGGTTATCCCACATCTAGAGATCCTTTTTAGAATGCATCACCCTGGTAGAAACAAGCTTGACCAGCAGTGCAAATTCCAACTAACAAAGAAGAGGAAAAATTCAGTCATATTTGTGGTCTTAGGGCTGACCAGCATGTGCTGTCTCTCATGTGTCTTTCTGATGGGGCAATGTGCCAGTGAGACACTCTTGCCAGGATTTTAGATTTTAAATTTTGAGTAGCACAAATTGCAGAGCTAGTAAGCAAATATTCATGGTGGAGGTAGTATTGGAGTTTGTGAAGTCATCAAAGCTGATCATAAATATAAAAATTCTCCTTGGGGATACTTAAAAGATTTGTACTTTCCCACCCCTTATGAAATTAGGCATGGCTATGTGCCTTGCCTTCATTAATGAAATGTGAGAGGGAGGTAGCATGTGGTACATCAGAAAGAAGCTTCAAGAGCTGATGTACAAATGGCCTCATGCTCTTCATTTTTCCAGCCTCTGGGATCATGAACACCTGAGTTGAGCTGGAGTCTCTATCAGCCTGGGATCTTGAGCAACTCTGATGATCAGAGTCATCCTCCACACCATGGGAGACAGATAATGGGAATAAAAACTTAACTTTTGTCATTTAAGACATTGACATGGGGTTGTTTGTTACTGCAGCATAACCTAGATGATACAGTATTCCAGCAGTGAACATCAGCATTCAATATCCAGCAATGACAGACTGAGTGTCTAGTAGGGGTAGTGTCAGTGGTGGCAGCTTACCCAGCCATGACTTTGGTTATATTCTTGCCATGTAACCTCTTTTAGTTCCTGCCAACATTATAAAGCTGATTCTGTGGGCTATGTCACTCTAATAAATCCCTTTCCTGCTTAAATCACTCAGGACAGGTTTCTGTTGCTTGCAGCCAAGAACCCAGTCTCATAACATTCTGTTTCATCCAACAGTAATCTACTGAACTCAGTGTGCCCATTACTGTCTTAACTGCAGGCAATGCAGGCAAGTTTAGGATTGGAACTCAACAACGGATAAGACATACTCCCTAATCTCAAGTACTTTACACTCTCATTAAACAAATTAAAATGCACGTAAATGATGCTAGTTGAGAAAGTTAAAATAAGCATGTGACAATGAAGGTACATGGGTGTGTTCTTTACCTAGAAACTTTCAGAAGAAAACACACAGATAAAAACAGATAGGACATTTATATTTTAATTTCTTTGTCTTACCCTTCACTTACAAAAGTTTAAGTCTTTTGATTTGAGAAATATTTTCTAAATGGAGGAAATATGATCATTGCAACAGTGCCTGGCACACAGTAAGCACCAAGTATATATTTGTTGAATGACTAAATGAATGATTGTGATCACAGGTACATAAGCTTTAGAGTCGGTGGCCTAGAGCTTTGAGTCTTATCTCTACCACTTATTAGTTCCTGCAAAGCTTCCTTAAGGTTACTGAGCCTTGAAACAGATACTTTTATAATTCTCACCACAAAATGGGGTGCCACTCTTGGCTTCACAGGGTTATTGGCAGAATTGAATAGACATTATATGACTAGCATAAAGGAAGCATGCAATAAATGGAAACTAGGCATTTAAACACCCACATATAGGTACCTATGTGTGTGTGTACACACTCCCCAGAATGAAATTTCACTTCACTTATTTATTATAGAAATAGTTCCTGAGCATCTACCACAGGCTACATGCACTGCTAAGGACTGAGAATCAATGGTAAGCATGACATAAGCCCAACAACAGAGGAAGGTCATGAGAAGTTATGAGACTACACTGCAGAGGAAGTTTGGGCTGACCTTGGAAAATCAGCATTTCTGCTTTTTGTGCTTTTCTGGAGTCCCAGGAGTTCTCCAAGTTCTACCCTCTAAATACTTATCCCAGCTGAGAACAAAATCAAAGGCCAGATGTGGCTGATGGTATAAGTCACCTCTTTGATATCCATTTCCCCTTTCACCTTACTACCAGAAACTTGATTTCCTTTAGGGTATTAATGCATCCTGCTAGGAGACTATAATACCCATCCTCCCCCGTAGCTTGGGGTGACTCATTTCTGGCTAAAGAGATACATGCAGAAGTGTGCTGGGCATTTCTAGAAAGTTTTGCTTTCCTGATGTAGGTGGAACCTCTTTCTCCCAGTCACTTCCTTCTTTATAACCTGGAGCATGAAGGGGAGCCCAGAGGTGAGGCGAACATCCTCATGCTCATGAGAACACCATGGGGAGAAAGAAAGCCACCTACCAAAGATGGCAGAGAGGAAAGCTAGATGGCCAGGCCCCCTGATGGCCTTGTGCAGCCACCCTACTGGCCTGAACAGGCCTCTGTTTGAGTTTTCTGTTGTGCAGCAAAATTCTAAACCTATAATGTTATATTCATTCATCTGACCTACATTAATTGAGCACCTACTATATGCAAGGCACTAATCGAGACCTTGGGGATATAGCAAAGAGTAAAACAGACAAAGATACCTGTATTCAAGATGCTTACTTTGGGGTGGAGGGGTGGAGACAAGATAAGTAAGTAAAACATACATTATGTTAGTGAAAAATCCCTCAGCAAAGCACAAATAATGGAAGCAGGCTAAAGGCTGTCAAGGGCAAGCTATAATTTAAATAGAGTGACCAGGGAAGTCCCTGGGGAGAAGGCAAGTATCCAATGAAGCCCCAAGGGAAGGAAAGGAGCAAGTCATGAGGATACCTGGGGAAAAACATTCCCAGCAGAAGGACCAGCCAAGCCCAAGGCCAAGATGGAAGAGTGTATGATGCTTTAGGGAAGGGGTGTCGAATTTTTGGCTTCCCTGGGCCACACTGGAAAAAGAAGACTTGTTTTGGGCCATACATAAAATACACTAACACTAATGATAGCTGATGAGCAAAAAAAAAAAAAAAAAAAGAAAGAAAGAAAAAATCTCATAATGTATTAAGAAAGTTTATGTTTATGTATTTGTGTTGGGCCACATTCGAAGCTATCCTGGACCACATGTGGCCTGTGGGCCGTGTGTTGGACAAGTTGCTTTTAGGAGAATAGCAGAGAGCCTAGTGTGGATGCAGCAAAGTGAGCAAGGATGAGGTAGGGTCTGAGAGGCGACAGTAGAGAGTGGAGATGGGGCATGAGGTAGGGCAGGGGTCAGCAAGATTTTTTTATAAAGGGCTGATAGCAAATACTTTAGGCTTTGCAGGATGCATGGTCTTTGCTGCAATGGCTCAACTCTGCAGCTGTGGCAAGAAAGCAGCCCTAGACAGTAAACAAACCAATGGGCATGACTGTGTTCCATTTTAAAAAGACTTTATTTTTTAAATGGACAGCAGGCAGCTAGGTTTGGAGCATGGTTGGGAGACCCCTGATGCACAGCCCTGTAGATCAGTGTAAGGACTTTGGGTTTATGGGAGTAATTGGTTAGCTGTTGGAAGGATTTCAGCATACTGACATGATCTGAATTGTATCTTAACAGGATCACTCTGGATGTTGGGTAGAGAATAGAAAATAGAGAGGAGGAGACAAAGGTGAAAGTAGGGAGACCAGTTAGGAGGCTACTTCAATAATCCAGGCTCATGTCACATAAAATATTTCCTTGGTTTCCAAATCCTGGGAAAGAGTACAACAGTGTTACCAGAGTGATTTATTCAGACCCACACAGCTTTTGTGTAATTAATAATACCTGCCTCCCCGCCAAACCAGGAGGACCCCAAATGCTTTGCAACCTGATTTGCCAAGCAGAACATGAAGAACACTTCATCTAATTGAAACAGTGGGGGGAGATTTTAAATAGGCAACATGCAATTAACCAAATGAGGACAGACACAGGACACTAAGACTCACACCCCAACAGAAATAAAAAACAAAAGCAGTCCAACCCCAAGCTCAGGAGATTGGCAGAGAATGAGACCTGGAGCCGAGCAATTATTGGTACCATGGCAGAACAGGTTCATCATGAATATTGAGACTAGGACAGCATAATGGAGCTATTTTCTTCCCTTCTACCATAGACATGGTGCAGGCCCTGGGATCCTATTTAGAGAGGAGCCATGTCTGCATGAAGTCTGGCTGAGATGGAGTGCTCAAGGGCCATCTGTTGGGGCAAGGGCTTTCTTGAGGGGTGAGCTTTCTTGAGGCAGTGGGACTGACTTGGCCTATGGGCCATTGTTTGATGACCCCTGTACTATGTCATCACACATTTGTTTCTCCTATTAGTACTCCATGGGTTCTACCACCCCTACTACCACTGTGCCTGTTCCCAGTGAAACAGGGTCCAGATGACTCTAGTTCAGTGTGACGGCAGAGGCTGATTACCTACCATGAAGCTATTGAAGCTTTAGCTCCACAGGCTCACTTGAACAAGCTCCTGCTATGGCCCTGGGTGTGCCCCCAACAATGGGATTACATGATTTTAGTTTTTATTTTAAAAAATCATATATTTATATATATAATTTTTAAAATTTGCATAAGACAGCCATAAAAAAGGAGGAGTTCATGTCCTTTGTAGGGACATGGATGAAGCTGGAAACCATCATTCTCAGAAAACTATCGCAAAGACAAAAAACCAAGCACTGCATGTTCTCACTCATAGGTGGGAATTGAACAATGAGAACATTTGGATGCAGGATGGGGAACATCGCACACCAGGGCCTGTCGTGGGGTAGGGAGAGGGGGAAGGGATAGCATTAGGAGATATACCTAATGTAAATGACGAGTTAATGGGTGCAGCACACCAACATGGCACATGTATGCATATGTAACAAACCTGCACATTGTGCACATGTACCCTAGAACTTAAAGTACAATAATAAAAAAAGGCAAATCGTCTTCCATTAAAAGAAATTAAAAATTAAAATTTGCATAAGGAAGATATTTTAATAATATTTCCTCTCTTCCTCCTTGTTCTCATGTCAGTGGCACTGAAACGGTCATGAGTATTTTGGGGGATCTAGTGGAAGGGAAACTTGAGTCTGGAGAAGCATCTAGTTTAGGTCTAGTGGGCTGTTTGTGGGATCACAGTCAGTTGTGTGTATCGTGAGGCTACTGTTTGCTGCCCTAGTGTGGGAGTGGCTTCCAGGACATTCTTGCCACCCTCCGTGACACCCACATACTCTCTCTAGCCATGAAGGTGCAGGGTAGAGATCCCAAGGTGCTATGACAGTGTCCTACAATGGCTGGTACTGTGGGGAGGGAGGAAGGGGAGAAAGAAGACTTGATCTGTGGGAAGGCAGAACTCCATCCGTGGAAAATTTCTTTAATCATCAGACATGTAAAACTCTAAATGGAGAATTGAGTTCTCATCCATGCCCAATCAAAACAGTTTCTCTCTTTTCAGGCCAATACTTAATAATGCAGCATCTGCCATTGTGAACACACTACAGATTTTTTACGGGTATTGCACAAGACAGTAAGGTGCTTAATGAATATTAGTTATTTTATTCCATTTTGCTCTCATTGTTCTATCAAAATGGGTGGAAAATAGAAAACTGACAATGTTGATATGAGCACTAAGAAATATAGGTCTCAGAAATGTAACACTATTAAGAAACAAGAGAAAGTACATTGAGCAGATAAAATCGGTGAATTGTTAGCTTCAATTTGACACTTACTGACGTAAGGTGAACAACCCATAGTCATTCAAGAAGGAAAAGAACAAAATGAAAGAACATGTACAAAACATAAGAGGCATGTCATCGAAAATGATACATAAATAGGAATTCCACAATGTTTTTGTAACTGGGAAGCAGTCTCCCTTCCTTAGTCCCTTATGACATTTGACACACACACACACACACACACACACACACACACACACACACACTTTCAGTAGCTCATTTATATAAAAATCAGGCACTGACTAAAGACATTTCATCTCCCTGAGCCTCAGTTTCTTGATGTGTAACATGGAGTTTGATAACATGACTATTGCAAGACTTCCACTAGGAAATGTTCGTGAAACTGTCTAGCAGAGGGTGGGGCCCCCTGAGGGTGCTCAATACATTTAATTCTCTTCCCGATACCAGGTTGTCGAATGTGGAATAAAGAGTTGGGAAGCTTTGAAGGCCTTGTTTGCCAGTGCTTGCCAGTGTCCACATCATTTCTTAGTCCAACACTTGGCTTCCGCATGATGTTGAGTAACATCCTGCACTTTTTCGGAAATGATTTAAATCCTCTGCAGCAGATGCAGACCCCTGGTCTGAAACAAGAATGGCAACCCTGTGCTGCTAGGAGTAGGCCCAGAGCAATGAACATTTCAGAGGAGGTGTGAGAAGGAAGAGAAACACTTACAACCTGTTTGGGATAGAGGAAATAATGGAATTCCTGTCTTTATAAAACTGCCCCTGCACTTCATCCTATGAGAGATGCACTGAGCCATGTGCATCTCACCCTCACGTCTGTCCTAAGCTGGGGATTATGATCTTCATTTTACAGATGAGGAAACTGAGGCACAGAAATTCCAAGGAGCTTGCCCAAGGACACATGGCAGGACAGGGCTGGGGCTCAAATTTCCTGAACCCATCTCTAGTGCTCTGTGGCACTTGCCTCTCCCCATGTCACAGATTCCGTGTCTCTTCCACCTGCTCATGGTGAAGGCTTTGGGGTGGGTTCTCTGGTCCTGCTCCTCACCTTCCCACCAAACAAGAGGAAAGACACCATGTAATTTTACTTTGGTAAAATTACTCTCACTGATAAGCCAAATTTTGTCTAGAAATTCTGTCTAAGGTCATAAGAGTTTCTCTGAGGAGGCAGGACATTGAATCCCAAGTCCAGAGAGGTTGATCTCTATCTTTAAGAGTTTATCTGAGGCCAGGCATGGTGGCTTATGCCTGTAATCCCAGCACTTTGGGAGGCTGAGGCGTGCAGATCACGAGAGCAGGAGTTCAAGACCAGTCTGGCCAACATAGTGAAACCCCATCTCCACTAAAAATACAAAAAATTAGCCGAGTGTGGTGGTGTGCGCCTGTAATCCCAGCTACTCAGGAGACTGAGGCAGGAAAATTGCATGAACCCAGGAGGCAGAGGTTGCAATGAGCTGAGATTGTGCCATTGCACTCCAGCCCAGGCAACAGTGCAAGACTCTGTCTCAAAAAAAAAAAAAAAAAAAAAAAAAAAAGAGTTTATCTGGAAGAAAACACTTTATCCCAGCTCTTCACTCACTCACTCACTCATTCGTTTATTCATATGTGTATCGAGTGCCCACTCTCCATCGACTGCTATGCTGGGCACAGGCACACAATGGTGGACATGACCAATGAGGTTCTTGTCCTCCTGGACCTGCACCCCAGCAGGGAAGACAGACCAAAAGATAGGAAAACAAGTAAAAAGTACGACTGCAAATGGTGATGAGAGTTAAATAAGAATACAAACAGGAAGCTGAGGTAGAGGCTGCCACTTTGGGTCAGGTGGTACAAGAAGGTGACATTTAAGCCTCGCCCTAAGGGATGAGGGGAAGGCAGCCAAATGAAGGGTGAGGGTGGGGTTAGGATGCTTTGCAGGTAAAGGGAACAACATGTGCCAAGCCCTGACCCAGGAAAACGTGGCCAGTGTGGCTGGAGCACAGGGAGAGATGGAGAGAATGGCCAGAATTGAGTTTGGAGAAGTCATCAGGGACCCACTAATGGCAGGCTTTGTAGTGACGGTAAGGAACCGGTATTTTACTCTGGTTGCCATAGGAAGCCACTGAACTTCAAAAGCATTGCTGTCTAACTGTACTTTAGTGGAGTAGAAAATGGATAGAAATAAGAAGGTTTTGATTTGGACGTTCGCCTTGAGGTAGGCTGATTGCATTAATAGCTCCCAGTCTTCACCCTGTCCATATCCATTTGCCATGTGACTTTCCAATTCCTGCCAGAATCTAGGCGGGATGTGTGACTCACTTTGGCCAAAGGACTGTCGGCAAATGTGATGCAAGCAAAGACTTGAACAAGCACTCGCATGTTTCTATTTGTTCTGCCATCACCATCAAACATCCAGCCTAGATGGAAGAAGAAAGACACGGACCAGAGCTGGGACCTAGTCATCTTATTCGATGAATAGGTGGCCAGCCAGCTCTCACACCAATGAATGAATCTGGCCAGGTCAGCAGAGCTGACTAGCCGAAATGCAACTGACTGCAGGCACATCAGTGAGCCCAGCCACACCCAGAACAGCTGAACCATGCAGACTTGTGAGCTAACTAAATGTTTATTGTTATATGCCATTGAAGTTTTGTGGTTGGTTATTACACAGCACTGTAGTGGCGATGGATAACCAATTCATACCTCAACCTCAAACCGCTTATATCTAAACCCCTGAAACTTCAAAATCAAAGAGTTCAAGTGGACTATTTGGATGCTTCAGCTCCTTCTAGCATGAGCTCTGGAGTCAGGGGTCTGCTCTGCTGTTTATTCCCAGTGAACAGTTGAACAAGGTATTTTACTTCTCTGAATCTTAGCTTCTTTATCCATAAGATGGATTTAATGACCACACCCACCCAGTGGGGTTATTAGAGGAATCAAAGGAGAAAACACTTCATAAACGTTAAATTCTGTCTTTGCATCTTCAAGTTATGATCATCGATATCTTCATGTACAGAGAACATGGAATCAAAGTGAAAAGGAAATAAAAGCAGCTATGGAAAGTGTGGCACAGAGAAGAGATATAAGAACCTGTGCAGAGCTGTGTGTTGAGAATGCACCCTGGTTAGTAAGGTGGATCTGTCCTAGGAAAAACCAGAGATCAATGAACGGTCTTTTACCTGGGGTGTAATATGTTTGGTTGTAAATCACCTTTTACGTGATGGATTGAAAAGGATCACCAGAAGCTAAGAAATTGTCGAGCTAGTGTAACCAGAGGCCCAGAGGTGGTCTCCAGGGCTAGCTGTGTCTAGGCAGCACAAGGAAACACTGCCTGGGAGTCCTCCATTCTGTGGATCAAGATGTCATAACTGTCAAACAGGGCCCTGAGGCTGACTCAGCGGCTGATTCAGGGTTAGGATCACTCACCGGTCAGGCAGCACCTGAGGGTAAATCCCTCCTCCTGTGCTCTGGCCTCACCTCCTGCTTCCTGGGAGGCCCTGCCCCATAGCTTCCACCTTTACCTCTTAAAGATAGATGTTGGCTGGGTGCAGTGGCTCATGCCTGTAATCCCAGCACTTTGGGAGGCTGAGGCAGGAGGATCACGAGGTCAAGAGATCGAGACCATCCTAGCCAACATGGTGAAACCCTGTCTCTACTAAAAATACAAAAATTAGCTGGGTATTGTGGTGCATGCCTGTAATCCCAGCTACTTGGGAGGCTGAGGCAGGAGAATCACTTGAACCCGGGAGGCAGAGGTTGCAGTGAGCCGAGACTGTGCCACTGCACACCAGCCTGGCAACAGAGTGAACTCCATCTCAAAAAATAAAAATAAAAAAAAAATAAGGTAAATGTCTACCTTTCCCACCTCTTTGCAACTCTCTACTTCTGCCTTGACCTCTCAGAAGCATTTAATTCCACATCATTTCTTGCCCCACCCCCAAATATCAACTGCTTGTCAAATCCCAGAGACTTTCTACACCTCCCACTTCCATCATCTTGTTGTTTTGGCCGCCATGACCCTGGTTTTGATATTTATTACTTTTGATTTAAATAATTGCAAATAATCTCTGGTCTCTTTCTTTGCTATTCTGTATTCCATATTATTTCTGGACTCTTCTTTCTGAGTAACACATCTGAGCCTAGCTGTTTCCCGCTCAACATCTCTCACTGCCCACGGAAGGAGTTAAATAAACTCCTTAGAATCCTTCAAAGGCCTTCATGCTTTGGTCTCATCCAGCCTCCCAATTTTATTTCCCACCACTGTCATTCATGAATCCTGTGTTTCCATCAAAATGAATTTTTTTTCCTTCTACATATTGAGTACTTTAATACCTCCAGGCATTTGCTCATGCCATTCCCCATTCCTGGAAGGCATCCCTGCAATTTCTACACAATTGAATCATACCAAATCTTCAAAGCCCAACATAAATAGTTCTTCCTGCATGAAACTTTATTTTATTTTTTAGGAGAAATACATCTTTCCCTTCTCCTTTCCTAGAAATGGATACTTTTGCACCTTCGAATATAGTTGTTGTGCATATTATATCCCCCAAACTGGACTAGGGACTTCTTAGAGCAGGATTCATCTTTGTTTTTTGGGGGTTTTTGGTTGTTGTTTGGTTGGCTGGTTGGTTGGTTGGTTTCTCTGAGACAGGGTCTTGCTCTGTCCCCCAGGCTGGAGTGCAATGGCATGATCTTGGCTTACTGCAACCCCCGCCTCCTGGGTTCAAGTGATTCTCGTGCCTCAGTGTCCTGAGTAGCTGGGACTACAGGTGCATGCCACCATACCCAGCTAATTTTTGTATTTTTTGTAGAGATGGGGTTTCATCACATTGCCCAGGCTGGTCTCAAACTCCTAAACTCAGGTGATCCACCCACCTTGGCCTCCGAAAATGCTGGGATTAAAGGTATAAGTCACAGCACCTGGCCAGGATTCATCTTTGTATCACCACAATACTTAGCACAGTGCAATGCACATAGCAGCTAACCAATTACCATTTCCTGAACAATAAACAAATATGCTTCAAATTATCATTGACATAAAGATGGCTACCATAATCATAATCCTAAACAATTTTACCTTATGGTAAAATCATGTTTAACATACCAGTTAACCTAAGGGTTGTCAACCCAGATGATTACAGGGGCCAGGCAAGTAATATAAATGGTAAAATAGCTAGGTAGGTCCTGTGGCTAATGTTGTAGTCCCTGCCACATACAACAGGAGCAGCAGCTACTTAGTACCAGCCAATTGTCACCATTTGGAGATGTGGGTCCTACATTACCAGGTCATTTGATTATTAGAGATGCAAGAAATCTGAATATTATATGAAATCGTTCTGTTTTTAAAAGTTGGCAACTAGCTCAATTTTTAACAACTGGGCTGCCAATTTGCAAGTACTGGGCTAGAGAATGCTGCATTCTGTTTAAATGCTACTTAATTGACTTACCAGATAAAATATAACCAGGCAAAGATGGTTGGCTCTCAGAGAATTAGAGCATCCTATAACGTAGTTAATGCTGGCTCCATGGTTGATTCAGAAGCGTGGCTTTGCCATGTCTCAGCTTCTCATTTCCAACATCAGTCATCATCAGGGAGAAGACAGAAGAGCTTTCTGGGAACTGGAACTCTCTGCTGTCTGTATTGCGGAGACAACTGCACTGCTTTCTTCCAACTGCATCTATTTCTGAGACTGCTCTCATTTTCCCTGTCTTCTGCACTGAGCAACCACTAACCACTCTGTGGGCCTCTTGGCAGGTTTATTAGTCAGGGTTCTCTAGAGGGACAGAACTAATAGGACAGGTGTATATATGCAAGGGAGTTTATTAAGGAGTATTGACTCACATGATCACAAGGTAAAGTCCCACAATAGGCCATCTGCAAGCTGAGGAGCAAGAAAGCCAATCCTAGTCCCAAAACCTCAAAAGTAGGGAAGGAGTGCAGCCTTCAGTCTGTGGCCAAAAGCCTGAGAGCCCCTGGCAAACCACTGGTGTAAGTCTAAGAGCCCAAAAGCTGAAGAACTTGGAGTCTGATGTTTGGGTGCAGGAAGCATCCAGCATGGGAGACAGATGAAGGCCAGAAGACTCAGCAAGTCTGCTCTTTCCACCTTCTTCTGCCTGCTTTATTCTGGCCATGCTGGCTGCTGATTAGATGGTGCCCACCCAGATTGAGGGTGGGTCTGCCTCTCCCAGTCCACTGACTCAAATGTTAATCTCCTTTGGCAGCACCCTCACAGACACAGCCAGGAACAACACTTTGCATCCTTCAATCCAATCAAGTTTATACTCAATATTAACCATCACAGCAGGTATCAGAGAACTCCAAGGTCAGGTCTCTGATCCTCTCAAACTCCATATGATCTCAGTGGCTGGCAGAGCCCAGTCTCAAGGAACTGGGGGCCATACAGGAAGCTGCCTGCTCCCCCAACCCTGAAGCCCCAGATCATTTGTTTAGCACCATTCCTATAGGACTTATTAATAATTTTTATGTGACAGTGACCATATATTGAGCACCTAAGCTAGGCATTTCCCCAAGTGTGTTGAATTCTCATGATACTGCAAAGTAGATAATTACATTAACCAGGATAAGTTAATGGCTATAACAAGACAACCCCAAAATTTCAGTGACTGGACATAATCCCACATGATTTGGGTTAGGAGGGAGAGCTCTGCTCCATGCAGCCATTCAGCGACTCAGGATCCTTTCACCTTGCAACTAGACCTTCTTATAGGATCTCAGGATTCTCTCTCTTCAGGTGGCAGATGGAGAAAGAAAACAAGGATTGCATATGGGAGACTTTTATTGATCACACCTGGAAGGGGCTCACATCACTTCTGCCCACATCATGTGGACCAGAACTTTATCATGTGGCCATACTTAACTGCAAATATAGTCAGGCTCTATGCCAGGGCCAGGAAGAACAGGGGAACTAGATATTGGTGAGCTCTAGTAACCTCTGCCATAGTGGTCATTCCCATTTCTCACATAAGGAAATTAATTTCAGAAAAGTTACTTCATTGTCTAAAGTCACATATCACTAAGTGAAGAACTGGGCCTAAAACCTAAGCTCATCTGGCACTGACATCCACCTTTTCCCACTGCTCCACTTGGTCCTTTTGGCATCTCCCATTCCATCGCACACTCCTGGCATTAACAATTGTTATGTGTCGACTCCCAGAAGAGCACTTGCTTCAAGGGAGTGTTTTATTGGCATATCTCCATGGGACTTTGCCTAAAGACACTCTCAACTCTTACATCTTTGACCTTTCCTAAAGAGGTACACATTACTTTCTTCTGGTAGAGAAGGAGGACAGAAGCAGGCCACAGTGATGTGCGCATCACTTGCTCATCAAGGCCACTCTCAGACGACAGTGTGCCACTTCATATCACTGGTTAGCTTGTATTGTGTTTGTATATTGCTTCCCCCACCCCCAGTAGCTTGAGAACGTGTTGAGTCTCATGCTTCCAGAATGTTCCATAGCCCCATCATGGACCTGTGTACATCATAAATACCTACTAATACATTTTGGTTGATTAGTTTCTTAGAGTTAAGGTGGCTTACAAGGTCCATACAAATGCAACAGCATTAACTATGTGAGAGAATTTGGGAGTATAATTAGTTGCAGATAATTATAGATAAATTAAAGACAAACTTGGCTGAGTGCTTCTGTTCCACACTCTGCCAGCACTCTAGATTGACATGGACTTCCGTCATGACTACTGATCACAATTACGTTTTTGAAAATTGTCTATATAATTATTGATTTAAGTCTGCCTAACCCCTTCAGGCTATAAACTCCATGAGGGCAGAGATCATGTCTTTGTCACTCATCATTACTTGTATTGGTCAGTCAATGTTGCATGACAAACAATCCCTAAACTCAGTAACATAACAATAATGATGTATTCTCACTTGCATATCCACAGGTTCACTGGAATTTTACTGATCTAGGCTTGTTTCCACCGAACTTAACTCCAAGCTGACGGTGTTTCTTATCCTTCAGAGATCTGCTCTCATGTTTTTCTTATGGCAATGACAGAAGTGCAAGAGGCAATGAAAGCAGTCTCTTACAGCCTAGTCTAGGAACTGGCACGCAGTCACACCTGCCCACACTCTGTAGGCTAAAGTGAGCCACATGGCCAAGCCCAACCTCAGTGGGGTGAGACAATACACTCTGCCTCTTGTAGGAGCAACTGCAAAGTCCTACAACACAGGACACAGACGCAGATAGGAATGAACGATTTTAAGCAATAATGCAAGGTATCACATGGCTGTATCTCCGTTAGCCAGCACACGGCATTGTACATCAGAACTGTGAAATAAATATTATTTGAATAAACATATAGGATATTCTAAGAAAATCTCTCTGGGTTGAAAAAAAAAAAAAAACCCAAACCACTGGTTGGTGAGGATTAACTAATGTGACAGGATAATATATTAAGGGATTAATTAATTGTATGTTTAAATTGTACTTTGTATATTAATTATATTAAAAGATTAATTCCTTCCCTCTGTTTCAAGCAGGAAGCCAGGTGTAGTTTGCGTCCCTGCTCACAGGGCAGGAGAGCAGAAGCAACCTTGAGCCAAGAGCTCCTCTGATGTTTTGTTCAGGTCTCAGCAGATGCAGAGAGAATGTTGGTCTCCCTGAAAGAGAGGGTAGAGAGACTACTGAATGAGGAAGACTTGCCCAGCTAGGAAGGGGCGAGCTGACCGTGGGTTCATCACGCAGCAGACACACACACGCTGCTCTGTGCCCTTCTTCAGCACTTTGAGAGGCTGAGGTGGAAGGATACCTTGAGGCCAGGAGTTTGAGACCAGCCTGGCCAAGAAAGCAAGATCCCATCTCTACAAAAATATTTTTTTAAAATGAGCTGAGCATGCTGGTGCATACCTAAAGTCCCAGCTACTGGGGAGGAGACTAAGGCAGGATACGTTGAGCCCGAGTTTGAGGTTACAGTGAAATGAGTGGGACATTGTCACCAAACTGGGTGACAGAGCAACATTCTGTCACCGAAAAAGAAAAAGTGGCTATTGTGTCAGGGGAACAAAGATACTCAGACACACGCACACTACTCTGTGCCCTTCTTCTAGGAAAATGCCTCAGAAGAAAGGCAGTGAGGAATCTTCAGCAAGGACAGTTAGTGGGTGTGCCTGAGGCAAGGGAGACCCTGAGTCCATCTGGAAAAGTTCCCAAACCCTATAAATGGCTCAGAAGCAGAGACTTGCAGACATCAAGGACCCCCTTGGGCTTAGGCAGTGAGGACACCCAACCACTTAAGCCTCCCAGATCCTTTTAAGCCCCTGGGACATGAAGAAGTGTCCCCAGTATGGTTTGAGATTAAATTTCCCACATCCCACTGGCATAAGGATATGGTGTCATAATTAATCTGATTTAAAGAAAGGAATGAGGCCAGGTACTGTGGCTCATGCCTGTAATCCCAGCACTTTGGGAGGCCAAGGCCAGCAGATCACTTGAGGTCAGGAGTTCAAGACCAGCCTGGCCAACATGGTGAAACCCTGTCTCTACTAAAAATACAAAAAGTAGCCCAGCATGGTGGCAGATGCCTGTAATCCCAGATATTCAGGAGGCTGAGGCGCGAGAATTGTTTGAATCTGGGAGGTGGAGGTTGCAGTGAGTGGAGATCACACCACTGCATTCCAGCCTGGGCGACAGAGCGAAATTCTGGCAAAAAAAGAAAAAAAAAATAGAAAGGGAGGGAGAGGGAGAGAGAGAGAAAGAGAGAAAGAAAAAGAAAGAAAGAGAGGGAGGAAAAGAAAGAAAAAGAAAGAAAGAAAAGACAGTGTTATTTCCTGTATTATACACCTGAGTTACAGGGTAGTCATTAACACCTATTAAACTATAAAAATTATAGCTGGGAATCGGAAAACCAAGGCTCTTTGATAACATAATAATTGTATTTAAATATTTTGGGGACATTTGTTCCCATTTTCATGGGAAACCTTACAAATCTATACAAAGGCCTGCACAGCACACCAAGGGAGAGGTGCCCCCGTAATATAACAAAGACCTTTCCCCTGTCTTCCAGGGTTTGAGTACTCTCTTATAAAGCCCACATAATCCCAGATTGTTAAATTAAATTATCAATAATGTTTAAATTATGCGGGTTCCTAACTGTGCTGTGATGTTTGCACACTTTATAGGAAGTGACTAATTATAATTAGTGCTTCAATACAAAAGAGCCGCTGTCATTAAAAGAAAAGGAGAAAAATTCATCTTACGTGCTTAGACCTCGGCCTCCCAGCACAGGCTCTTTGCTTTCCCTTAGGCTGGGGTTGCCGAATGAAGGACAGGCGGGAAATGAATGCTGGTTTACACACGACGTGTGAGAAGATGGATTTAGATATCCTTGGGTCAAGTGAGGTTGCCAGACACAGAACAACTCGCAACACTGAGAATCTGATGTCAGCGAGCCACCTCATCAGAAAGGCAGTGAGGAGTAGAAACCGGCAGCAGGCCATCAGCGTTGCTGGGTTCTTGTTCCGGCTCCGTTCCTCATTATTTGCAGAAGGTCATTTAAATTCTCTGGGTCTCAGTTTCCTGAGTTGCAAAGTGGAGCCAACAATGCCTGCCCTACATCTTTGATAGGGTTTTTTTGTTGTTGTTCCCCTGACACAATACACAATGGCCAGTTTTTTTTTGTTTTTTTTTTTGCGACAGAGTGTCACTCTGTCACCCAGTTTGGTGACAGTGGCTCAGTCATCTCACTGTAACCTCAAACTCTTGGGCTCAAGGGCTCCTGCCTTAAACTCCCCAGTACCTGGGACTATAGGCATGCACCAGCATACTTGGCTCATTTTGAAAAATATTTTTGTAGAGATTGGCGGTGGGGGCGGGGGGGGGGGGTCTCACTTTCTTGGCCAGGTTGGTCTCTAATGCCTGGCCTCAAACTCCTCAGCCTCCCAAAGTGCTGAGATTACAGGCATGAACCACAGGCGACTATTTTCTAAGTGCTTGCAGGGTCCCAGGACCTAGGCTGGATCCTCTGGGGTTTATTAAAGAATAAACACAGAACCTTCCCTCCTATGCCCCCCCGACTTCCTGACCTATTGTTATCATGGTGGTTTTCTCAATTGATCTCCCTCACTCGCCCTTGATCATGAAGGACAGGGTCCAGGTCTTATTCATTGTTTACTGTTGCATCACCATCACCTCCCATAGTGTCTGCACATTGTAGACATTTGAGAAACGTTATTTGGAAGAAGGAAGGGAGACGCCTTGTCTTATATTAACAGAAAATGATTTAAATGTATTAGTCTTGCCTCATTTGCACCACAAACTCTTTGAAAACAAGGAGCGTGTCTGATGTTCCTTCTGGTATTTACTACAGTGCCCAGCAATTCTGAGATCCCCTACTATGAGGAAGACTCTTTGGTAGGTGTTGAGGGCACAGCACGGAACAACACAGCCACACATCCTGCCTCACGGCAGTTACACTGGAAAGGAGAGTCAGATCTTAATCATCAAACCAACAAATACTCAACCACAAATTGTGAATAGTACTACAGTAAACACTGCAAACTGCCAAACACCATCACTCCCACTTCTTTCTTTTGCTAACAGAACCCTGATTTGATTCGTGAGGTCAAATCTCCGGTTCCAAATGGTTCATCATGATTTAGTTGACTTGGACTAAGCAGTCATGATACTTCTGTTTCTCTTTGCTAGTCAATGGTCTGAGTGGATGTGTGACCCAGCCTGGCCAATTAGACAGTAAGAGAGGGGGCATTCTGCCTAGTGACTTCTGGGTAATATTTCCCTCCTTGATAAAAGAGAAAAGCACCTTTGCCTCCCTGTCCTTCCAGCTTGGATGTGTCACATGATAATGTGATATTTGCTGCTGTGGCAGCAATGCGATGCTAAGGGGACATATCTCCCAGGCACAGGAGGCAAATTAAAGGCATCTGGGCTCTTGATGGTGTCTGTTGGAGTCTCTAAAGAAGCCTACTGAGTAGCTGCTCTCCCTTCTGAGTTCTGAGCAAACTGAGAACTCAGGCCTCCAGGTCATAGGTAGATTCAAAGATTTTCTTTCTTGGCCAGGAGTGGTGGCTCACACCTGTAATCCTAGCACTTTGGGAGGCTGAGGTGGGTGGCTCACTTGAGGTCAGGGTTTCGACACCAACCTGGCCAATGTGGTGAAACCCCATCTCTACTAAAAATACAAAAAGTAGCCGGGTGTGATGGCGCATGCCTGTAATCCCAGCTACTTGGGAGGCCAGGCAGGAGAATCACCTGAACTCAGGAGGCGGAGGTTGCAGTGAGCCAAGATCACGCCACTGCACTCCAGCCTGGGTGACAGAGTGACACTCTGTCTCAAAAAAAAAAAAAAAAAAAAAGATTTTCTGATTGGCAATTGGTTGAAGAGTTAAGTTATTGTCTAAAAACCTAGAATCAATAGAAGGGAATGTCCGGGTTAAGATAGAGGTTGTGGAAACCAAGGTTCCCATTATGCAGAGGAAGCCTTTGGGTAGCAGGCTTCAGAGAGAATAGATTGTAAACATTTCTTAACAGAGTTGATTCTCTCCTGGATCAGGAAAAACACCTATAGCAGGAAGGGGATTCTCTTCAGAATGTAGATTTTCTCCCAAGAGACAGACTTGCAGGACTATTTCAAGATATGGCAAAGAAACATAATTTGGGGTAAAATACTTCAATTTCCTTCAGGGGCTGCTGTCTGTCAGGTGATGCTATCCTAGAGTGAGGTTGGAATTTGGTATCTTATTGCTACAAAGAGTCTGCTTTGTCACTCTTAAGATCTGTTTTAATGTTAATGCTTGTCAGCTGGTCCTGAATTCCAAAAGGGAGAAGGGTATAATGAGGCATGTCTGATCCCCCTTCTCATCACGGCCCAAACTAGTTTTCCAGGTTAACTTTGGAATGCCCTTGAGTGAGAGGAGGGGTCCATTCAGATGTTTGGGGTGCTTAGAATACCATTTTTATTTACAAGGCCAAGCACATATTCTCTGAGTCTGAATTAATATGCATTGTGTCAACTTCTGTTCCTGCAAAGAATGAGCCATCCCACCAGCTTTTTCTTTTCTGAACCATTGCTTCTGTGACAGGATGAAGCTCTCAGAATCAGAAGGAACGCTTGAGAGAGCAGACTTTTAGACACCAGAGGCTGGGTTCTGTAGCTGGCATCTCATGGGGATATTTGGGTCTCCATAGCTCTCTCCTTCAAATAATAACTGTTCCTCCCATCTCTTAGGGAGCCACTTCTTGGTGGAAGCTACAAGTCCTGTTCTATCCTCTGGTCTCTGGGTTGCCACTATCACACAAGATGGACCAATAAGAGGGCCAAATTATCTGATCTTAGTGATTGGTTCAATGATAGGCATGTGACCTCAGCTGAACCAATCACTGTTCAGCTCTTCTTTCTTTCTGGGCACAGATTTGGATGGCCCAGGGGTTGCAGGTATCAGCTACCCTGCGAGAGGGAGAATAGAGCTCACATAAAGAAATAGCAGAACAAGAGACAGAGAGCCATAACAGCATTGAGACCTCCTGTGGCAGAAGTTTTGGAGGCCAGCCCATCCATCTCCTTGATTATGCAGGGCTAAAAATTCTATGTCACTCCACTCTCAACGTCTTTTAATTTTTTTTCTTAAAATAGTTTGATTTGGGTTTCTGTTCCTCAAAGGGAAAAATTCCTGAGCAATACAGATTAACTAAGTCACAATGCCGTATCTATAGCAGTATGGGATATTAGAACAGAAAGAGATAGTTTTATTCACTTACTCATGTGATCACTCAACAAATATCTACCTGTCTACTGTTTCAAGACAGTCTAATAGTAGTTAAGGGTGTAGCTTAGGAGTCAGAACTTTGGGTTCAAATCCTGACTTCATCTCTCTGTGACACTGGGCAAGTAAACTGGCTGAGCCCTAATGTCCTCATATCTTCAAATAGACGTTAAAAGTATCTATATCAGGTTGTTGTGCGATTTAAATAACCTATTTAAACATGTTCAGCAATTGAGCCTAGCATTTTCTAGGTGCATATAGAATAACAGTTCTAAATGTAGATAACATCTCCTGCAGAAAGAACAGGGAATTTCCCAAGGTCACCCAGCTATCTAAGGACTCGATTTATCCCTGTTTTGCTCAGACTTACCAAATTCCCTTAAAGAACCAAATAATTTAGATCTAGTTCGCCATCCATTACTTTTAAGGGGTTGTCATTAACTTAAGCTTAGTCAAGTAAAAGGTGAGGTTAAGAATGCTTCAAAACTCTCTAATACCCTAATATCAATGAGCTTGTATCAGCATACACTGATGCAAACTCCAAATTGCAGTAGTGTAAGCACATAGGGATTTATTTTTCTCACATAATCAAATGTCGGAGAAAGGCAGTTCAGGCCTGAATTGCTCCATAATTCAGTTCAGACTCTGCAATGCCATCAAGGATCCCAGATCCTCCTGTCTGTCTTCTGTGCCATCCATGCACTGTGGCTTTTGTCCTCATGGTCACACCATGGCTGCTGCACCTCAAGGCATCACTTCTACATTCTAGCCAGAGCAAAGAAGAAGGAAGCAGGAAGAAGCGGTACCTATATCAGAAAAATAAAAGCTTTCCCAATAAAAGCTTACCCATCCAATGTCCAAATATAGCCACAGGAAGTCTAGGGAAGTGATTATTTTTCTTCTGGGTACATTGACCCCCTAAAGAAAATCAGTGTTTTTTAGACAGGAAGACAGAGAATAAATGTTAAGTAGAAAACTTGCAGTGTTCACTGTATTCCTATCTTCCAATTGGCAGCTAGGTCCACCTAAACCCCAAAGGACCTCACCTTTTATATCCTATCAAACTCTTAGTTACAGACAAATAGGAATTAATTACATTGTTTATTCATTTATTCAGCACATTGTCAGATACTAAGTTAAGCAATGTGACATGACAAATAAGAGATGGTTCTTGCATCAAAGGAGCTCTCAGGCTAATGGAGAAGATAAATAAAAACAAATGATTACAATATAAGTATGATAAATAGGGTATTAGAGGTAGGTTCACAGAGCAACTGGAGCACAGTCCAGGGAGTGGCATCTTACTCTGTCTATACAGGCAATTAAGGGGAAGTTTCACCTTTGGCCTGGGCCTTGAAAAGCGAGTAAGTATGTTAGTTAGGATAGGTTGTGCTTTGCTGTGGTAACAAGTAAATCTCCAAATCTCAGAGGACTAACAGTAAAATTTTATTTTATACTCGTACAAAGTTGAGTGCAGACACAAATGGTCAGGAGGCTCTCCTGGCTACCTCTACAGTAACTGGTGACTCGAGGGACACAGGCTTTTCCAACTAGGGGCTCCACTGTCACCTGGGGGCATCGGAGTCCTATCCAGATACTCTAAATCCAGCTGGCCATTGAGTGAAGAGAGACTGCATGTGGAGGATTGTGAACCCCAAACTGAATGACATTACCTGCAAGTGTCACATGCCAATTCTGCTCACATTCTATTGGTAGGTGCTGGTCACGTGGTCCCACCTATGTGCAATGGGTGCTGGGAAGTGTGGTCCCTGATTGAGTGACAACTCTGCAATATGGAAGGTTTACACTGCTTTTGTTGGCCAGCCAGCCATCTATGCTACTGTAGAGTTCGGTAGGCAGAGGAGGGAGATAAAAGACATTATTTGAGAAAGAAGGAGGGGCTTATGCAAAATCTTGGAAGTATAGTTAATTAGGGACACCTAGAGTAAGTTTCTGTGACTGGGTTTCAGGTTACAAGGAAGGGGAGTAGTGTCTACGGAAGAGATTGAGAAAGTAGATATAATGGGGAAGGTCCTTGAAGGAGCTGTAACTACATGCTAAGAATTTGGCCTTGTCTTATAGGCAGTGGGGAGACATTAGAGGTCTTTGGTATGTGAGCAGGACTTTGATGGCTACGTGAAGGATGAATTAGAGGATGCAGAGAAGGTAGGCAGGGGCCACATTTGAGGGACAAAAGCAAAAGCCCAAGTGAGAAATGATGAAAGTCAGACCTATGCCAATGGCTGGGAAGTGGAGAAGAGAAAGCTTTGGGAAACACTGTGTAGTAGAGTTGCTTCGACATGCCCACAATAGAACAAGGAAAAGGAAAGCTCCAGTTTAGTACAGGGTGCAGCATTCAAATACTATTCTGTTCTGTGCTCCCATCTTATTTCCTACTATGGTGACCTACATAGGATCTAAAGGAAAACAAATAACTCCTTTCTCTCTCTTGTCAATTTGGAACACATCCATGCAGCCTGGGCATCACCCCCTGTCCTGTCCTCAGAGTAAGCTACCCTATCCCAGTGCTCTTTTTGCACCATAGTTCAATAACAGCACAAAACATCATTGGGGCAGTGATATGGTTTGGCTGTGTCCCCACTCAAAATCTCATATTGAATTGTAATTCTCATAATCCCTACTTGTCAAGGATAGGACCAGGTGGAGGTGATTGGATCATGGGGGAGGTTTCCTCCCATGCTGTTCTCAGGATCATGAGTAAGACTCACAAGATCTGATGGTATTATAAGCATCTGGCATTTCCCCTACTTGCACTCACTCCATACTGTCACCCTGTGAAGAAGGTGCCTGCTTCTCCTTTGCCTTCCACCATCATTGTAAGCTTCCTGAGGCCTTCGCAGCAATGTAGAACTGTGAGTCAAAACTCTTTTCTTTATAAATTACCCAGTCTCAGGTATTTCTTCATAATTGTGTGAAAATGGGCTAATACAGTAAATTGTTACCGAGGTAGTCAGGCACTGCTATAAGAATACACACAAATGTGGAAGCAACTTTGGAACTGGGTAACAGGCAGAGGATGGAACAGTTTAGAGGGTTCAGAGGAAGACAGGAAAACGTGAGAAAGTTTGGAACTTTCTAGAGACTTGGAGGGCTCAGAAGACAGGAAGATGTGGGAAAGTCTTGAACTTCCTAGAGACTGTTAAATGTCTTTGACCAAAATGCTGATAGTGATATGGACAGTGAAGTCCAGGCTGAGTTATTCTCAGATAGAGATGAGGAACTTGTTGGGAATTGGAGTAAAAGTCACTCTTGCTATGCTTTAGCAAAGAGACTGGCAACATTTTGCCCCTCCCCTAGAGACCTGTGGGACTTTGAACTTGAGAGAGATGATTTAAAGTACCTGGCAGAAGAAATTTCTTAGCAGCAAAGCATTCAAGAGGCAGCAGAGCATAAAAGTTTGGAAAATTTGCAGCCTAACAATGCAATAGGAAAGAAAAACCCATTTTCTAAGGAGAAATTCAAGCCGGCCCTGAGAAGAGGGTTACCATCCTCCAGACCCCAGAATGGTAGATCCACCGACAGCTTGCACCATGCACCTGGAAAAGCCTCAGACACTCACTGCCAGCCCGCGAAAGCAGCCAGGAGGGGGGCTATACCCTGCAAAGCTACAGAGGTAAAGCTGCTCAAGGCCATGGGAGCCCAGCTCTTGTATCACTGTGACCTGGTTGTGAGACATGGAGTCAAAGGAGATCATTTTGGAACTTTAAGGTTTAATGACTGCCCTATTGGATTTCAGACATGCATGGGGACTGTAGCCCCTTTGTTTTGGCCATTTCTCCCATTCGGAATGAGCGCATTTACCCAGTGCCTGTACCTCCATTGTATCTAGGAAGTAACTAACTTGCTTTTGATTTTACAGACTCATAGGTGGAAGGGACTTACCTTGTCCCAGATAAGACTTTGGACTTTGACTTTTGGGTTAATACTGGAATGAGCTAAGATTTTGGGGGACTGTTGGAAAGGCATGATTGTGTTTTAAAATGTGAGGACATGAGATTTTGGAGGGGCCATGTGTGGGATGATATGGTTTGGCTGTGTCACCACCCAAAATCTCATCTTGAATTGTAATCCTCGTAATCCCCATGTATCAAGGGAGGGTCCAGATGGAGGTAATTGGATCATGAGGGCGGTTCCCCCCATGCTGTTCTCATGATAGTGAGTGCGTCTTGTGCACTTTGCATACCATAAATGTTAAAAATGAAGGTAACAGAATTGCTGGGAGTGGTGGCTCACGCCTGTAATCTGAGCACTTTGGGAGGCTGAGGAGGGCAGGTCACTTGAGGTCAGGAGTTCAGACTCAGCCTGGCCAACATAGTGAAACCCCATCTCTATTAAAAATACAAAAATTAGCTGGGCATGGTGGTGTGCACCTGTGATCCCAGCCACTTGGGAGGCTGAGACACAAGAATCACTTGAACCCAGGAGGCAGAGGTTGCAGTGAGCTGAGATTGCACCACTGCACTCCAGCCTGGGTGACAGAGCAAGAGTCTATCTCAAATAAATAAATAAATAAATAAATGTAACAAAATAAACAGATAAATAATAAATACATAAAAATTGAATTGAAGAATACATAGTCACTTAGGATCTGGCATTTAGCTCTGGTACAGCACAAACAACAACCCTAAACATTCACTCCATTATCAACACGGTCAGGCTCCAGAGAGATGCTTCTCTACATTGCCTTACAAAAGGTGACTGTGCTCAAATGCCATGAGGGTTTGTAAGCTGTTGTGGCAGCTGATGTCAGAGACGGACAGTGATGGAGTGTGGAAAGAACAGAAAGGATGGAAGTGTTTAGGTAGGAAAAAATAAAAATGAAATAATTTATCAAATCTTCTGTCTCAGAAAACAATGCAATACATTCTTGTATAACAAAGTTTTGTTTCCCAATAATGTCAAATGCCTGGTTGCTGCCTCTCTTCTTGCTCCAATTTGAAGTTCCAGGAATACTCATGATTCAAAGTGGCACTCACAATAGTTGCATGTGGAGACTGAGGGACATTTTACATTAATAATTCATATTACTCTTACATTTGCATGAGATTTATGAAGTGAGATGCCAGTTATTTCCGCTGGCAGCTGTGTAACTATTGAATGCTATGAAATTAGATTTAATTAGAATCCTTTCTTTCTTTCTTTCTTTCTTTCTTTCTTTCTTTCTTTCTTTCTTTCTTTCTTTTTTAGACAGAGTCTCACTCTGTCACTTAGGCTGGAGTGCAGTGGTGTGATCTCGGCTCACTGCAACCTCTACCTCCCAGGTTCAATCAATTCTCCTGCCTCAGCCTCCTGAGTAGCTGGGACTATAGGTGCATGCCACCATGCCTGGCTGATTTTTTTTCCTATTTTTAGTAGAGATGGGGTTTCGCCATGTTTGCCAGGCTGGTCTGGAACTCCTGGCCTCATGTGATCCACCTGCCTTGGCCTCCCAAAGTGCAGGGGTTACAGGTGTGAGCTACTGCACCCAGCTTAATTAGAATTTCAAATCTTAAATAACAAGTTCAGCCATTTCGACAATTAAACAATGTTGATTTAAGTTTTGATATCATTAATATTAATTTGTATTCTATCTTTGAATTTCGATAGGTACTTCTGAATATTCTAGAAGAAAGAGCTGTTTTAAACATGTAAAATATTTCTAATTTTTGTTTTGTACATTGTGCTAGCTTTCTATTGTATAACAAATGACCACTAATTGTGCAGTTTAACATAACACATTCATTTTCTCACAGCTTCTGTGGGTCAAGCAAGAGTCTGAGTCTTAGGCAGGTCTTCCACTCAGGGTCTTACAAGGCTGCAATCAAGCTTTCAGCAGGAGCTACATCCTCATCTAGAGTTTGGGGTTCTCTTCTAAGTTCATGTGGTTGTTGGCAGAATTTAGTTCCTTATGGTTGTAGGACTGAGGTCCTCAGCTCCTGAGACCACCTGCAGTTCCCTACCATGTAGCCCTCTCCATTAGTAGTTCACAGCATAGCAGCTTGCTTCTTCAAGGGCACAGGAAAATCTTTCTCTTTAGTCTGCTAAGGAGTCTCACATAATGTAACCTAATCAAGAGAGTGATGTCTCACCTTTGCCATATGCCATTGGTGAGAAGCAATAATAGGTCCTATAACAATAAACAAGTACTGCCCAAACTCAAGGGGAAGGGTGGACTAAGATAAAAATCACTGGGGTCATTTAAGGGTCTGGATTCTATATTCACATCAATCTTTTTAAAAAGCAAGATTTAAATACCACTGTGTTTATAAATTTTCTTCGTGGAAAATGCAAACAGGCAAAAAGAAGAAAATAAAGAAAATTCATAATCCCATTCATCAGATAGAATTAGTTAATATTTTGGAGTACGTTGGCTTCTAGACTTTTCCCTCAAGTATCGGTATATTGACCCATTACTTTTAAAAAAAGCAAATATAAGATCCTACAAGTATTTCTTAGCCATTTCAAACACTTAATAATACCCCATGACCATTTCTCATGTCAATACATTTCTATGATTTTATATACCCCATGTAAGGATGTGCCATAATTTATCTACTCAATCCTATGTTATTGAACATTTAGTATTTTTCCTTTTTTGGTGTGTGCTACATTAGGCAACACCAAGATGAACATCTTAATAGCTGAAACTCTGGACACATTTTAAACTTTTCCTTCAAGTTAAGTCTTAGAAGCACAACTGTCAGGTTAATGAATATCTTAGGTTAATGGCATCTAAAAGTGTATCTTTTTAAAGGCTTCTAGCATATATTGTCACATTGTCATCCATACACTAATTTTCTTTTTCTTTTTTTTTTTCTTTTCTTTTCTTTTTTTTTTTTTTTTGAGACAGCGTTTCGCTCTTGTTGCCCTGGCCGGAGTGCAATGGCATGATCTCGGCTCACTGCAACTTCCACCTCCCAGGTTCAGGTGATTCTCCTCTCAGCCTCCCAACTAGCTAGGATTACAGGCGTGTGCCACCACACCCAGCTAATTTTTGTATTTTTAGTAGAGACGAAGTTTCACCATGTTGGCTAGGCTGGTCTCAAACTCCCGACCTCAGGTGATCCGCCCACCTCGGCCTCCCAAAGTGCTGGGATTACAGGTGTGAGCCACCACACCCAACTGACTAATTTTCTTAAATATTGTTTTCTTCTTGTTATTCCCTTATTTAAGAACTTAACAGTGAATTATTTACTATGGCCAAGTGTCTGTTTGTGTCATTCGGGTGCCTCCATAAATTGGCCTCAACCTTTCTTTTTACATTTATTTTCCACCAGACCTTACAAACACCATTTCTGCCACCCAGATGTTCTGTGTACTTTCTCCTCTGGGCTTTTATTTATGTTATTCTTCCTGGCCCTCCCCTGAACTAAATAATCTTCAAGGACTGACTCAAATGTCACTTTTTAGGAAGTCTGATGCCTTCGTCTCTAAATTTCTATTGCACTTATGGCTCTTCCATTGTTTCATCTGGGTAGTTATGTTTCCCTAGCTAAATTGAGTCACTATGAGCAAATGCCAAGACTATTATGCTGAAAACTAGTATTCCAGAAAGGGAAGTGATGCTCACAGCCTGTCAGCATGGGTTCACTATGATTAAACTTAATGTCATTTCCTCTTTTGAAGGGCTTGCTAGAAAGTTAGACTAAGGGAAGGAAGGAAGAATACTAGTATTTCTGTAGTATATAATAGATACATATATGTATCAGGAATTTTTTAGCTTTTTTTTTTCAAGTGTCTATTCTGGGTACTCTGCTAACCTCTCTGTGAGTACTATTTAAGCTTCTGCTTACAACAGCACTGTGAAGTGGATATTAGTACTATTCCCATATTCCAGATGAGGGAATTGATGCTCTGAGAACTTCAGTGACTTGTCCACAGTCACAGATTAAGTTGAAAGTAGAACTGGAATTTGAACCCAAGTAGTGTGTCTCTGCAAATGGCAGTTGTAACTACTACGTTCTGCTAACCTCATGAATTATACACATATTCCATTTAATGCTCACAATAATCCTAAGAGGTAGGAAATATTTTTATTTCAATCTACAAATGAGAAATCTGAGACTGAAAGACACTAAGACATTCATGTGAGGTCACAACAGAAAATAAGTGGTTGTATTAGAATCCAAACCCAGATTATTTGATTTCCATATCTACTGTAATTATGGTGTGGATGGATTATCAGGGTCTCCTTGAGTATGACATATTAGGTAGAGATGTAAGGTTTGATTAGGTGGATGTAAAACTGGCTAAATGGCCATGCCTGAAAGATATTGGGCATGCAATCCTTCCTTTGAGGAAGATTTCTATTGTGGTATCATAGTGCTCTGGCTGTAACACTTTCCTAACTAAGGAGCCTGCATAGTCCATATCTAGTCTGGTTTCTATGTGGATCTCCAGGGGGTTACATTTGGACAGAAGGGCTGGGCTCAGAAGATGCACTCTTGTGTTGAATTTCTCAGTGTGTGAGGAATGTCAAAGCCATAGACCAGTGTGGTCTGCTGGAGAGATGAGAATGTCAGAACCAGCCTAGCATGTATGTCTCTAGCTCTGTAATTAAGACCAATAGTGAGAATTACAAAGAGACCACTGATATTCAAAGTCAGGAATAACCTTCCTAAAGTCAGGAAGTTTGTTGATAGAATGGGCAACTGTGGATCCACATAAACCCAGTGTCAGGAGATTTGCAGGGAGAGTGTTTTTCCCTCAACATTCCAAAATAATGTCTGAATATCCCAGAAGGAAAAAAAATCATAAGAATTGGAAATGTCATAGACCTGACAGAAGAACATGAAAGCAAAAAAGTGAAGTATTAAAGCAGAGGTCTATTTGTTCCACAGTCATATAGACTTGCAAAATTTTCAGCAAAATAGAAAGTAAAAACAGAGTATAAGCATCAGGTTATAGAGAGCACTGCCCCATCTAGATTAGCATCAGCCATTTGCTGTGCTGTGCTGTGCTGTGCTATGAGAGATAGTGAGTTTCTTGTCAATGACACATCCAAGCAGAGGACAAATGGCCATTTTGCAGGGAGAAGATGCTGAAGCTATTCTCAAGCACAGGTGGAGAAGCAGATTCAATGGGTTTCTTTCAGTCCTAACATTCTAGGGTTCTACAAAAGGAGGCAAGAAATTTTCAAGAAAATGCTAAAATAGAAGGTAGGGAAAGAAGAGGTGCTTTTTAAAGGTTCTTAATGTCAACACCTGCTTAATAGTGCCACCTTGCCCATCCTCTTTCCCTAAGAGGAGAACATACCCCAGTAGCAGGTATGTTCCCTGCCATTATGGGCTGTGACAAGGTTGTATTTGTGTTCTCACCTCAATAACAACCATTGTGAGGAGGGGCAGATGGTCATATTGGTTTAGTCAGGATAAACATTATGCCAAAGAGAGGCCTTTCTGATGAAAGAACAGTGTCTGGGTGATATTAGAAGTGAGACTATCTCTGAGGAGTTCTGGGTATACACAATGCTGTTTCTAAAAATTCTTCATGTTAAGAGCTCTGTCCTTTTCTCGTGAACAGCAAGTACTGGGTACAAAGGGCTCCCATGTCTTTTTACCTACCCTGTTAGAGAATCTTCCCAGCCTAATTCTGATTCTGTCTGGTTCCAGCTTGTGGAACCAGGGCCTTCTGCATGGCAGTGTGCAGTAGGTACTCAGTAAGAGGTGGATATGTATTAGGTAGGAACTTCCTTCCCCTCTTGCTTCATGTTCCAAGTGGAGGGACCACCATTAGGGTAACACTTCTGCCCTCTCTCCCCAGAGGAGGAGTGATTTATCTGCTTGGTAAATTTAAGATAAGGAGGTGAGCTGGCTCAGCTCTCTCTCCCCCACCCCGCCCCCACTCCCCTCTCTCAGGGCCAGATGCTTGTAAAGCATTATCATCAGCTCTAAACCTATTGGCCCCTGTAGGAGAGGCCTGGATTTTGGGAATTAAGTTCAGTACTGGAAGTGTTAGCAAGCAATTTGGCCAAATCTAAGCCATGCTTATTGTTTTATCAGTAGTAAAGCTGACATTTTAACCTCTATCTGCCTGACTCCTTGGGGTTCCTCTCAATTAATAATTCAGGCAGGGAACAGGGATGTCACTTATTAGCTCCCTAAATCCCAACAGATCAAGTTCCCAACTGGAAGACAAGGCCTTCCCAATGTGGTTCACCCATCTCGCCAGGCTTAGCCCACACTACCACCTGCCTTCCTTTTTATCCTTGAAGAACATCAGGGTGCTAGTCATTCTTTTGTACCCCTTGCTATTTTATGTTTTTATGCCTTTTTTTAAGTTATTTTTTTCTGTCTGCATCCTCATTCGCCTCCACTCCACTGCCCCATCAGCTAATGCATATCCACTGATCTGTCCTAATGCCTCATTTCAGAGAACACGTCCAGGAAGTCTTCCCTGATTGTCACCTTCCCACCATTCCTTACTCAGTTTGGGTCTCCCATAGGAATAAAGCTCTGAGATGAACACACTTACCATATTGTTTTAAAATCCCTCTCTCACCAATAGATTGTGAGCATATTGAGTAGATACTAAGTGTTCTTCATTCAGAAACTTTCACAGAAGACATGCACAGTAAATGTGTGTTAAATCAATGCATGAATTAGTCAAGAGTAGGCGACACCCAGTGCTGAGACCAGGCTGAACTGGGAAAGGTATTTACACCAAGGCAGAGGTGAGGAGCAGAATCAAGGTTATAGCCAAGGAGACAGGGCAAACTGTGTAGTCCACAGATCAAGGACAAAGTAAGCAGAGGTAAATACAAATGGATAGCAGAAAGAAGAAGCTGAAAAGGAAAATGGTGCATGGAATGGTTAAGGATAAATGATATAGAACTAAAACTGTGAGGGACAAATGAGCCCTAATGTCAGATGCATGGTCTAGTGAGGAATGGAAGCTTAAAGCAAGGATTTGGTGACAGTGGAGTGTGGAAAATAATCATAGGAGTGAGAAGAAGGAGGTGTGGATCCTAGTCCCAGCTTTACTACTAAAAACTTGGGTGATCTTGGACAAATCTTTTCCTTTTCCTAGGAGGAAGTTTTCTCATCTACAAACTTAAATTGCATGTCTTACGTCACTTCTAAGTTCCCTCCCAGCTTGAACGTATCATGATCCTCCAACTACCATTCCACAGTATGATGGGGGAAAATTCTTCTGTTACATAAATAATATGTAATTTTTATAAATATATAAAACATATTTTACATGTAAATATAATATTGAATCTCCATTTTATTCTTTCTATTTCATCAGCCAAGGATGTTTCTTCTGTATTAACCTCAGTTCTTCTTCTGAAATCAAGCAGATTAAACTTCATTATTTTTGAGATCCTTTCTAGATATAAAATGTTTGTTGTTCTGTAATTTTCTTTGTTCATTGAACACTCTTTGTTCCTCTTTGTGCTTGGCACTGTGGCACTCTCTGTTCTGAATAAATCTATAATCCAGTTGAAACAACAACATCTTCAAAGTGATTAAGAGAAAAACCTAAGTTGTGTAACTTAGTGCTAAATTGTGTGTTATAGACTCTAATGAATTGACAGAAATGAGGGAGATGAAGGGTAGCTGAAGATATTGAGGATATAAGGAAGATTTCCTGGAGGAAGTGGGTCTTCCAGGATAGGAAAAAAGACAGAGATGAAAGGATGGATGGATGGATGGATGGATGGATGGATGGATGGATGGAATAGGAAATAGTATATTCTTTTCTTTCTTTTTTTCTTTTTTTTTATTTTTGAGACAGGCTCTTGCTCTGACACCCAGGCGGGAGTGCAGTGGCACCATCTCAGCTCACTGCAACCTCTGTCTCCTGGGCTCAGGCAATTCTCCCATCTCAGCCTCCTGAGTAGCTATCATGTTGGCTAATTTTTGTATTTTTAGTAGAGGCAGGGTTTCTCCATGTTGTCCATGCTGGTCCTTGAACTCCTGGGCTCAAGTGATCTGCCTGCTCTGGCCTCCCAAAGTGCTGAGACTACAAGCGTATGCCACTGCACCTGGGCATAATAGGATATTCTTTTTTCTTTTTCCAAAAAAAAGTCTTTATGTTCCTTTACTGGAGCAAGATTCCTGATCAGTATACAGTGATGTATTTACTAAACAGAGACCTGTGCAGAAATTACATACTATCCATCTAGATAGGTTGTGACACTTTTGCCTATTGATGGAATAGTTCCATTCATCAAGTTCTATACATCAAAAACCTTTTGAATTTCACCAGACTGTCCATTAATTCACCTCTGAAAAAGTGGCATTTAATTTCAGCTACTGTATTTTACAGCATTAAAAAGCTTATGCATTAAGGTACTTCTCTGCACAATAGCATTGAGCAGACAGAGCTGAGTCCATTATTCCACCCAGATTCACATAGTCACATTTGAGAGCTTTATACCAGAGAGTAGGGAAAGTTACTGCTAACCACCACAGACTTCTTACTCTGAGAGCCTGTCTTCTTGGCCACATTTTATATAGCCAATGAAGACGTGCCAGCAACTGTCCCATGTATAACTTGGCATTAGAGCACCAGGTCTGTTGGATGGTGGTGGCAGGCACTATTATTTTATATCCAGGTAAAAGGCCAATTTTAAAAACTACCACTTGGAGATAAAAATCAAGGGCACAATATACTCAGAAAGTATTGAGCAATCCGGTATCTCAAATGATGTGAATAATTTCAGAAAACAATGGCAAATTTTACCCATGTTTCCCAGCTATGGAGATATTAGTACATTGATTCTAATCCCGTTACTCAGTTCACATAACCCTGAGGTCATCCTCCAAAGTGCATATCAAAAAATATGAAGTTAGAGTGACAAAGTTTGAAAGTGATGTTATACAAGTCAAACTTGGAAGGTCATTGGAAGCATACCTATGCTGAGAGAAAAGCATCAAATCTTTTGTGTACACATTTAGTTTTACTGTAACAAAGCAACTTGCACACTTTTAATGTTTGAAACTGAGCATCATCTTTCCTTTCCAGTGAAACAAAAAGAAAATTTAAAAATAAATGGAACAAAATTACAATAGAGAATGTCAATTCCAAATAAGATCCTACAGGTTCTGCTGATTCTCCCATTGAGTGGCAGGGCTCAAGTCATCATTAGGAGAGAATTTATTTTAAAAGTGTCATCTTAAACAGCAAGGATATCTGTCAAATGTCACAATTAAACATGCCAAAGGAGAAGCCATGTTGTCAAAATGCCCACTTAACCCACCCAAACATCTCAAACCCACCCTTTGCTGACGTTTTATAACCCCATTTTTTAAAGTTTCTTTTTTTTTAAACAAGAGAAAGTAGACAGATATATGTTGGTAAATGCTAACTGTCCATATTCACATAGAGACACAGTGTACTCTCTGAGCCCAACATACAGAGAAGGGAAGAAAAAAGCTAGAATTATACGCACTACTACACAGCGGCCTAGCACCCTCCAGCTTCCAGCAGAGCGAAGGGAGCAGGTTTTTCTTTTTTCCCACAGAGCTCAGTAGTGTTGATTCCATACAGTTTTTATTCAGATAGTAAGCAATAAAAATGAATTTCGAACAGAAAGAGGTAGAGACTCTTCCCATTGTATTCTGCTCAAGGTATTTCCCCTAAAATAAGTTGAGAAAAGAGATCTCAAGAACAGGGCGACTGAGCACAGGAGGAAAAAAAAAAAAAACCACTGCAACTTGCTCCCAGGGACTGGAGAAAATTTTTAAAAGAGAAGGTTGGAATCCATCAGTGTTCTATTAGTCATCTTCTCCTTCATCCTCCTCTCCTTCCTTCCCTTCATCATCATTTTCATCTTCTTCACCTTCATCCTCACCCCCTTCTTCATCAATATCTTCTAATCCTTCCTCATCTTCATCATCATCATCATCATCTTCTGCTCCTTCTCCTTCTTCGTCATCCATATCGGGAACCAAGTAGTACTGTAATGGTTTTGGCCAGATATCATCTGTGATGACCTCTCCTAACTCATCAGCCCCTACATCAGAATGGTCAGTAAACCAGGTAAAGAAGCTCTCTGGTTCTTCATGCTGTCTCTTTCTGCTGGCTTTCTTCTGCATTTGACTTGAACGTTTCATCAAATCCTTTCCAGATTTCCATTTGATTTCGGTGGAATTTGAAGATAGATCACCACTCTCATTCAGATGGAATTCTTTGGAGAGAACTTTACTTTCAAAGTAAGGATTTTCATCCACTCTGAACGCACCTGATGTTGTCTGATCTGAGAAGCTAAGCAGGGTCAGGCCTGGTTAGTACTTGGGTGAAAATAGGATATTCTTAATAAGAGGTATAGCCCAAGCAAAGGTAAAAATATAGAACAATTGTGCTTGTGTATGGGCTCCTTATGGAAACCTGCTCTTCTAGAATTAGGAGAGTGGGGAGGGATGGAAGCTAATATTTGTTGTGCTCCTACTTAAGCTAGGTGCTTGCAGCTCATATGTTTTGGGGTGTCTGCTCTCCTGAAGGCCCTCTCTCTAGGAATCATCCCCATACAGGGCTGAAACGGTGGGCCTGGAGCCATGTTTATGTCATTTGTCCAGTCTCACATCCTGGTCACAAATCACTGGACCATGGATGAACACTGGATCTAAGCTCAGTTGATCCAGTTCTTCTCCCAGGAACATGGCACTAGGACACAGAAAAACTAACCCGGAGTACTTCCTATGGAAAGGCTGGAGTGTAGAAAGGTCCAGAGTCGGAAATAGTGAGAGGTAGAAGGGAACTGAAGAAAGCTGAGATCAGTCTGCACTGTGTAGAGAAGGAAAAATGTGCACAGAGAAACAGACAGGATGCTGTAAGATAGATTCAGTAGCTCCTGGGAGATGGCACATGTGCCTGGATTCCAACAATTCAGTTCCTGGTTTCTCTCCTGAGGATGCTATATTTCATTTCTTATTCCTTGATTTCAGTTGAATTAGTTTAAGTGCTTTCCTGTTCCTTACGATAAAAATAGCCTTGGCCAAGACAGTTTGTTCACATTTTTTCAGATTATCCTCTTAACAATTCATTGAAATAGATATCACTTCCACTTTATTAATATGGATATCAAGGCTTAGAGCAGCAGTGTGACTTGCCTATATGCATTCAGTTGATAATGGTTGAGCTGAGAGTCAAACCCAGGCCTGTCTGGCTCTAAACACTTTACACTTCTCCCTAAGGGACCTTGGCCAGTGTTCGAATCAACAGTTGATCCCAAAACACTTTCTCTGTAACTGCACAAGACACCCTCACTTCTGATGCTGTGTCTATTCAAGGCCCATTTGATAACTTTTAGTCATTCTGAGATTCTCCTGTGGACGTTCAAGCCCAGAAAGCTTATTTAATACATGAATTCAGAATTTGTAAGAAGTCGGATGCTGTATTTATGACTCTTACTGAGTCAAATTCAATGCAATCCTATCCTTAAAAAATATCCAGATTCTAGTGAATAAAGAGAAACTGGTCAAAATTAGTAGAATTTTTCCAAATCAAGAAAATTAAGAATGTCTTTAATTTGGGGGCCAGCTAAGTAATTTATTCATCCTAAACAATACTCACTGAATGGTTGATATGCCTCTTATATTTTAATAACCCATTACAAATACACCTTCTTTGTGCAGTCTATATTCTAGTCATAGTCAACTCTTACAATCCTTTCAAATACCATGCTACTCGAACCTCTATGCCATAATATGTGTGAAAATTCATTTCCCTTCCCCTATCCATCTGGAACACTTTCACTCTTTAGGATTCTGCTGAAGGTGTCACCTCCTCCACAAAACTGTTCAGTAACTCTTAGCCTCATGCAGGTGAGTAGATCTTTCCACTACGTCCTCAGGAAACCCCAACCTTAACTCTCATCACTGCATTGTAATTGTCTCTTTGCAGTTGAGGTGACATGTTCTTCTCACTCCCATGCCAGGCTACTCTTCTTTCCTTTCTAATTGCCACTTCCTCCTCAACTCTCACCTAACAGACGAATTGCTAATCTAATGAACTTGAGATATTGATTAGGCTACATTTCATTAGTGAGTAAGGTTGCCATGGTCAAGACCACTTTATCCTTCCTGTAGAAACTCAGGACTTTCCTACCCTTCCCCTGCCATCAAAGAAGGTCTGGGATGTGACTCAGGCAACCTCCTTTTCCTTCCATTTTTCTTCTGTACAGTTGGTAAAATAAGAGATCATGTAGCCATGTGTGTGATGGAGGTGAGGCAGCTCTGCCCCACAGGCCCAGCCATTTTCTGCACACCTTTGTGCCAGCATCTTCACCTGTGCATGCCTAGGTAAGCCAGGTGGGTTATGTACTACCAGCTATGCTATCTTTTTGGAGGGAAAGAAATGGGAAATCCTACTTCAGTTTCCCAGCTGAAGTCAAGTGGTCCAGCTCTGGGTACCAGGGAAGCCCTAATTTGCATGAGTGGTGATGAGGTCATTAGTACCTGCCCATCGGTTAACAAAGTGGAACTTGCTTTTCGTTTAGATCTGTTTCCTTGTACACTCTAGACTGTTGTAGTCAGCATTCTGGGCTAGGAGACTCGGAGCAGAGCTTGGCACTCAAACTACATCCCACAAACCCCACTACACACTTTTTAGTGAAATATTCTAACCCAGTGGGCTTTGACCCTGGCTACACATTAGAATCACCTTCTATACCAGAAATCCAGATGACTCTAACACATGGCTAAATTTGAGAGCCCTTGCAAAAGAAAGCTTCACGGTCTCCCCCATCCTACCATAACCGAGGACATGAGTTCTGCTATGAGGTGGTGGAAGGAAGCTTCAGGCATCAGTAGATTTGAATAGAGCTCAGAGTGAACTTGAGTTCACCTCTCTGTGCCATAGACCCATCATCTATAAAATAAGAGGATTCACTGAGAACTCTTGACATTTGGGGAGCCATAGACACCTTTGAAACTTTCATGAAAGCTATGTGCATCTCCTCAGAAAAATGAATATTTGCCCACATTCACACATTCACATTCAGCTTCTGGGGTGCTTCGATGCCCTGACACCCTGGCCTGCAGGATCATTGAGATCCTGTCCAGCTTTCAGCTCCAAAGGCCAATCTCTGTAATGTGCTAGAGAGGACCACTGGGCTGGCCAGACTTCATTCCTTTTTCAATCTTGTTCAAAATACATGTGCTTTGAACACCAGCACCAGCAAAATGCCCATGCTGTGAGAAGCAGGGGGCATCTGATAACTAAGGGAATAGTTATCAGTGAGTGATTTATTAGTCAAATATTTATTGAGATTTTCAAGGCACCAGGCTCTAGGGATATCGTTGTGAGAAAACACACACACACACAAACCCCACATTCATGATAAGGGTATATTCTGATGGGGGTTTTTAGCTTTCATCTCACACTTAGTACAGGACATATGTTCACTGAGTAGAATTCACCCATTCTACTTAAAAATCTCTCTTTGTCTCTCTCTGTCTCTTTCTTTTTCTAATGGCTGAAAGTGCATCATTGACTTTCTAAAAGACAATGCAGAATTTCCTTTGAAACTGGGCAAAAGACCCTGTCCCTTGGTCTGCTCTGACCCTCCCTTTCCTGTGTCCTTCCACCCAGAGCAAGGACTCCTTGAGGCTAAGGACATGTCCACTTGGGGCCTGCTCTCCACCCTTTCACACCATGCTCTTGTCATCTGTGACCCCATACTCCCTGCCCAAATGTCCCTGAATCTGTTCCTACAGCTTGTGCAGGCTTCTTCTTCAGATGTCTCTTCCCCAGGCTGGGCCACACTGCTGGTTTATGTGTCCCTGGACCCAAGGGGTGGCCACAGGGCAGCAGTTTGCTGGGGATGTGAAGGAGCTTGCATGTGCAGGATGGCATATCCACACAAATGCAGGTGAGGCTCATTGCAGAGAGCCAGAACTGGGAAGACAGGGCCACAGGCTGGGGCTGGGGAACTGCCTCTCTCCAGGCCATCGTTTTACAGCTCTGAAACTGAGAATTCTAAATTCAAACCTGGCCTTCCAGGGTACTATAAAAGTATATTTGTCTAAGTAGGTGGATAAAGACATATTTTAGTGAACAGTCTCTTAGCCTGAATGACAACTTTAGAGTATTTTTGTAGATGGTATTTGGGCCTCCATTTGTACACTTCTTCCAGGCTCCACAAATATTAGCGGGAGAGTCTAAGGAAATAGGAATGTGGTATGGACCCACCCAAGCTGCTTTGGCTCCTGACAGCTTTCCTTCATAGTCCCTTATACCAACCAAAGTAATAATAGCTAATATTTTTTTTAAAAACTCTTATTGAAGTATAATATACATATATTAAAATGCACAATCATAGAATAAATACATCCATGTAACAGCCAACTGGATCAAAACAGAACATTACCAGCATCTCTTACACACCCTTACAATAACCACTCCCTCCATCCTTCTCAAAGGTGACCAGTATTCTGTATTACTTTGCCTATTTTTGAACTTTACATAAATGGAGTCACATCATATATATTCTTTTGCATCTGGCTTCTTTCCCTCAATATTATGTTTATGATTATCCACTTTATTGCATGTAGAAATAGTTCATTCACTTTCATTGCTATATAGTGTTCTATTGAATCAATTTACCACTTTTCATTTACTTATTTGGTTGCTGATATACATTTGGATTGTTTTCATTTGCTAATAAGAATGATGCTGCTATATTTATTCTTGTACATGTCTTTTGGTATCCATATACCTTCCTTTATGCTGAGTATATATTCCTAGAAGTGAGACTGCAGGATTTTAGGGTGTGTAAATACATTCAGCTTTACTGCACTGCAAAAAATTTTCCCAAGAGGTTATATGGAAAGATTTTTAAATTTTCTTTTATAGATAGAATGCTTTTCAGATTTCTCACTCTCTCATATGTCAGTTTTGTTAAGGTTTGATTTCCTAGGGATTTAATCATTTTCTTTAAATTTCCAAATTTAAAAATAGACATGTTGTTTCTAACAGTCTCCAATTTATTCTTAATGCCCATAGGACCTATAATAATATTTCCTTTTTATTTCTAAAATCCGTCTTTTTTATTTTCCTGTTTTTATTTTTTTGCAAGTGATTTATTGATGTTATGAGTCATTTCAAAAAGTAACTTTTGGTTTTGTTGATTTTCTTTACTGTACATTTGTTTTCAATTTTATTAATTTCTACTTTTATATATATTACTTTTTTCCTTCTACCTTCTATAGGTTTTACTTGCTGGATATTTTTCTAACTTCCTAAGAGATAAATAATTGAGTTTCAGCCTTTCTTCTTTTCCATCATACGCATTTTAAGCTATACATATTCTTTAAGCACTGCTTTAGCTGTGACCACAGGTTTTGATACGTCATATTTTCATAACAATTCCATTCTAAGTACTTTCTGATTTCCAATGTGATTTTATTGTTAATTATTTAGAAGTATATTGCTTAATTTCCAAATATTTAGAGATACTGTAGTGGCCCATCGTTATTTATTTCAAGCTCAATTCCACTGTGGTCAGAAAGCATGTTTATTTCAATCCCTTAAAACGTTTTGAGATTTACTTTAAGGCCCAGTACATGGTCAATTTTGGTAAATGTCCATGTGCACTTGGAAACAGTCTGTATTCTGCAGTTGTCAGGTGTAGCGCTCTATATATATCAACTAGGCCATGTTTTATAATCATGCTGACTTCTTTGCCTGCTTGTTCTATCAGTTACTGAGAAAGATATATTAAAATCTCCAACTATGCTTCTGGATTTGTCTGTTTCTCTTTTTAACTCTGTCTTTATTGCTTCATATATTCTGAGGTATTGTTAATAGGTTCACATACACTTAGAATATTTCCACTTTCCTGTAGATTGACCTTTTAATCATTTTAAAACACTTCTCTTTATCTCTTATAATTCTTCTTGCCTTAAAGTCTACTTTATCTGATGTTAATATAACTATACAGCTTTCTTTTGGTTGGCATTACATGATATACCTTCTTTTATCCTATTACTTTCAATTTTCTGTATCTTAGTATTTAAAGTGTATGTTGTAAAAAGAATATAGTTTTATTTCATTTTTTATCCAGTTTGACAATCTTTGGCTTTAAATTGAAGTATTAAGTCTTTTTGCAAATCATGGAATTATCTACATATTTGGGTTAATTTTGTTATATCACTATTTGTTTTCTCTTTATTTCATCTGTTCTATGTTCCCTTTTTGTACTTTTTTTTGGCCTTATTTTGGATTAATTACGTATTTTAATAATTCCATCTACCATGAACAAGGTTTTACCTATTGTTACTATTCTTTTCAGTGATTGCCCTGAAGACAACTGCACAGATAGACTCAGCCAAGTCTAATATCAGTGAATAAAATTTGCCAATTCCTGGACAATTCAAGGAACATGAATACTTCATTTATCACCCTCCCACCTTTGATGCTGTTATTGTCATATATTTTAATTCTAAAAATATTTTAAACCACATAAGACATTAATATTGCTGTTTTATATTCAATATTAATTTGGATATACCCACATATTTATGCTTTCCATTAATCTTTGTTCTTTCCTGTATTTCCATGCTTTCACAGTGTATCATTTACTTCCAACCTCAAGAACTCCCTTCAGTATTTTTTTAGGGAGCATCTGCTGATGATGAATTCTCTCATATTTTACTTGTCTGTAAATATCTTCATTTTACTTTTATTTTAAAGGTTATTATCAGTGGGTACAGAAGTGTGAGTCATAACTACTACCTTTCATCACTTCAAAGATATCACTCACTTATCGTCTTCCTTTCTTTGTGTGTGTGCGACGGAGTCCCGTTCTGTCATCCAGGCTGGAGTGCAGTGGCATGCTCTCGGCTCGCTGCAACCTCTGCCTCCCAGGTTCAAGAGATTCTCCTGCCTCAGCCTCCTGAGTAGCTGGGATTACAGGCACCTGCCATCACACCCGGCTAATTTTTGTATTTTCAGTAGAGACAGGATTTCACCATGTTGGCTAGGCTGGTCTCAAACTCCTGGCATCAGATGATCCACCCACCTCGCCCTCCCAAAGTGCTGGGATTACAGCCGTGAGCAACCACACATGGCCACCTAGTTATAGTTAACCCCCCCCTTTTTTTTTTTTGAGAAGTCATATCAAATTATTGTTTCTTCTTTAAAGGTAATATGTATTGTTTTCAGTTGACTTTAAGATGATATGTTCTTTGATTTTTGAGTAGTTTCACTACCATGTACCTATGTGTGATTTCCTTTCTATTCATTCTCTTTGGAGTTCATAAAACTTCTTGAATCTATGATGCATATCAGTTTTGGAAATTTTTCAGCCTCTGTCTCTTCATACATCACTTCTCCCCCACTCTATTGATCAGTACTGATCAGTTTTGGAAAATTTTCAGCCTCTATGTCTTCATACATTGTTTCTCCCTCATTCTATTCCTCTTGTTCTTCTGGGGCTCCAACTACTTATTTGTTCAAACTTTCACTCTGTCCCACATGTTTCTTAGGTTCTTGTCCATATTTTCCATTCTTTTGTCACTCCATGCTTTAGTCCAGATGTTTTCTTCTGACAAATTATTCAGTTCACTAATCCTATCTCAGCTCTTTCTAATCTAATGATAACTTCATATGTCAAGTTTTTTATTTTGGATATTGTATTTTTCAGTTCTGGAATTTTCATATCATTTTCAATAGTTCTATATTCTATGTTGAAAATTACCACACCACCATCTAATTTCTTTAATACGTTTATGGCAGTTATTTTAAAGTCATTTTAACTCCAGTATCTTTATTTTCTATTGGTCTCTTTGTACTGTCTGGGTTTCTCTTCCTCATGGTTGCTGGACATCTTGTCTTATCTCCAAGTGAATGCGGTAATTTTAGATTTAATATGAGATATTATATATCAGGCTCTTGGTTATGTTATCTTCCTCCAAAGATTATTAACTTTTGCTTCTGGCAGGTAACTAGGTAAAGGCAGATCAGCTCACCTTAATTAAGTCAATGAATGAACAGATTCAAAACTGGGCTTTAGTCTTTATGAGGGTTGTTGTATTTCTAGTTAATCCATATTTCTAGACTATAACCTTGAAAGTTCCACCTGAAAACATTGAGTAAACATCATGGTTCCTTTTTCTTGACCCTAAACTCCAATTTTTACGTCCTTTATCTCCATAAGTTTGCCAATAGAAATGCTCAACTCTTCACCTTTCAATCTTTTCTGTCCAGATTCTGGGTATCTAAGGTAATCCTTGTCAACTAGCAGATGCCTTGTGGGGAAAAGCAACACAGAATGTCAGGTTCACAGCTCTTTGCTTCCCTTCTCTCTGTGATCTTAGGCTCTTAAGTCCTCCCAGCCTTCGCAGTTCTCCAATGTCTTTAAAATTATTTTTTTATTTGTATTTATTATTTTTTGTTTTTGAGATGGAGTCTTGCTCTGTCACCCAGGTTGGAGTGCAGTAGCACGATCTTGGCTCACTTTAAGCTCCATCTCCCAGATTCAAGTGATTCTCCTGCCTCAGCCTCCCTGGTGGCTGGGATTACAGGTGTGTGCCACCACACCCAGCTAATTTTTATATTTTTAGTAGAGACGGGGTTTCACCATGTTGGTCAGGTTGGTCTCTAACTCCTGACCTCAAGTGATCCGTCTGCCTCGGCCTCCCAAAGTGCTGGGATTACAGGCGTGAGCCACTGAGCCTGGCCTAAAATTATTTTTAAAAATTTCATCCAGTTTTTCTATTTGTCCTTAGTGGGAAAGTTGGTCTGAAGCAAGATAGCTATTACGAAAATTTTGATAGCTAACATTTATGAAGAGATTAATATGTTTCAGACACCATTCTACACACTTTATGTGTATATACTCACTTCACAACAATTCTAAGATGTAAGTTCTCTTATTTTCCCTGCTTTACAGACAGAAGAAATGGATCACAGAGTGATGAGTAGTTTGTCCAGGGTCATGTAGTGTAAGTGATACATCCAGGATTTGAAGCCAGGCAACCAGGGTTTAGGACCCTACACTTAGCCATAGAGATCTAAACCTCTTAATTCTCAGCTGTCCTGTATGCATTTGGGATCATGAGGTATACCTAATGCCTCATATTAAATACGCATTTTACTTGAGTGAATCTGAGTGGGTTTCTGTAACCTGCACTCAGATGATTTCTGACCAAGCTCTTTGGACAAGCTGCCTCTCCCACCAAAATGCTTCATTAGCACAAAAGTGCATATTACTAATATCCTTTCCCCAAATGGGTCTTATTTTTCTTCCCAGAGCTTCTCATTTGTCATTATCCTCATGATCTCATTTACTTCACTTGTTTTTAAAAGGGCACTCACTGGGTAATTCCCTCACACCCATGGTTCCAGCAAGCCTGTCTATGAGAAGTAAAGGATATATTCAAGCTAAAAGTAGGCAGCCTCAGTGAAGGAACAAAGTCCTCCAGCAAGGTTAAAATTCCACCAGTCTTGTGTTTCAAGACCCAAAGCACAGCTTGAACAGGAGAGGTAATTGAGCTAGCTGCTGAGAGGCAGCAGCCATGTCCCCCCAACTCATTAATCTGCCTCCCTCTGCTATGAAAGGGACCCAGGGCTTCGATTTTAGCAGTGTGAGGAAGCACACCATTTTCATGCATCGTTCCATAAAATTCCCCTCCTGGGGCTCTTATCTAAAAAAATAAATAAAAACACTCAAGAGAACAGTCTCTGCAGCATCACATCACTTTTTATTTAGCAATCTTACTTTATAAAATTCAACCAGCTGTTTATTTTTTCTACTACTGGGCAAACTTGGTACCCAGTGGTGGTTTATTTGGGGTCCATTTTGGCCCACACCAAGGTCTAGAGTTGGGGGAAGTCCAAAGGAGGGTGTTTGTCTTGGGGGGAATTGGAGGTAAGAAAAAACAGCCTTTTCAGGGAAAATGGCCTTTCAGTCATGATGGAAACATTTTCTCTTTATCAGGACAGAATGGGGAAAAGGATAATAGAAATTCATCTTATCCAGTGGATATGCTGCTGCCTAGCATTCAGAGAGAAATCTAAAAACTTACTAAGAGCACCAAAAAGAGCTTAGGTTGCTCATCTCAGAGGATTCCAACAGGAACTCCCATCTCCTCTGTTAAGATAATGATGATGATCATGATCATGATGATGGTTCATTTTATTGGCTATCATGTGTGAGATGACTTATATACCTTATCTCTGAGCAACATGAAAGGCAGGTATTTGTATCCTATTTTACAGATGAGAAAATGAGGTTAGAAAAGTTGTACAATTTGCCCAAAGTTTCTCTGCAAATGGTGAAGCTGGGATTCTAACCTAAAGCCCATGCTCTTCTCAAAACACCACCATATCTTCTGACTTCTCTGTATTGTCACACCAAAGTGATAATGAATTTTTTTTTTTTTTTTTTGAGACAGAGTCTCGCTCTGTCGCCCAGGCTGGAGTGCAGTGGCATGATCTTGGCTCACTGCAACCTCTGCCTCCCGGGTTCAAGCAATTCTCCTGCCTCAGACTCCCAAATACCTAGGACCACAGGAGCCCGCCACCACGCCTGGCTATTTTTTTGTATTTTTTTAGTAGAGACGGGGTTTCACCATGTTAGCCAGGATGGTCTCCATCTCCTGACCTTGTGATCTGCCCGCCTCAGCCTCCCAAAGTGTTGGGATTACGGACGTGAGCCACCATGCCTGGCCAGTAATGAATATTTTAAAATAAGCTCAAATCTGTTTGAGTTCATTGTAGATTCTGGATATTAGCCCTTTGTCAGATGAGTAGGTTGCAAAAATTTTCTCCCATTCTGTAGGTTGCCTGTTCACTCTGATGGTGGTTTCTTTTGCTGTGCAGAAGCTCTTTAGGTTAATTAGATCCCATTTGTCAATTTTGGCTTTTGTTGCCATTGCTTTTGGTGTTTTAGACATGAAGTCCTTGCCCGTGCCTATGTCCTGAATGGTATTGCCTAGGTTTTCTTCTAGGGTTTTTATGGTTTTAGGTCTAACATGTAAGTCTTTAATCCATCTTGAATTAATTTTTGTATAAGGTGTAAGGAAGAGATCCAGTTTCAGCTTTCTACATATGGCTAGCCAGTTTTCCCAGCACCATTTATTAAATAGGGTCCAAACACCGCATGTTCTCACTCATAGGTGGGAATTGAACAATGAGAACACATGGACACAGGAAGGGGAACATCACACACTGGGAACTGTTGTGGGGTGGGGGGAGGGGGGAGGGATAGCATTAGGAGATATACCTAATGTTAAATGACGAGTTAATGGGTGCAGCACACCAATATGGCACATGTATACATATGTAACAAACCTGCACGTTGTGCACATGTACCCTAAAACTTAAAGTATAATAATAATAAAATAAAATAAAATAAAATAAGGTCAAATCTACGTTGTGACAGAATAATTACTCTCCCACAAAGAAACAAAAATACCGTAAAACCATTAAAGATTATTTTACAGTAATGAGTGGGAAAGTTCCTAGCTCCAGGAAAAGACAACTAACACTGAACAAAGGTTCCAAATATCCAACCTTCTAAATAGACCCACAAACAACTGAGCCAGACATTCACCCAGGACTTCTAAAAAGCAGCAGAACTGGTTCTATATCAAGAGGAAAGATGTTGTGGGAGGTCTGGGTAACTAGTCAGAGGCCTAGTGAGTCCTGCCGTATTTGGGGTCAGAGCCCTTTCCTTCTACAGTGGATGGGAGGGGTGCTTCTCCACCTCCTAGCACAACAGTTCTCAAACTTTTTAGTCACAAGACCCTTTTACATGTTTAAAAATTATTGACAGCTCCAGGGAGCTTTTGTTTACAGCATCTGTGAACATTTATGATATTAGAAATTAAAACTAGAACTTTAAAAATATTTACTTACTAATTTATTTAAAAATAATAAAAATCCATTACATGTTAACATAAGTAAGATTTTAATGTGAATAACTGTATTTTCCAAACAAAAAATTAATGAGAATAGCAGCATTGTTTTACAGTGTTAAAAACCTCCTTACTGGTGAAACCCTATCTCTACTAAAAATACAAAAATTAGCCAGGCGTGGTGGCATGCGCCTGTAATCCCAGCTAGTTGGGAGGCTGAGGCAGGAGAATCTCTTGAACTCAGGAGGCAGAGGTTGCAGTGAGCCGATGGCACCATTGCACTCCAGCCTGGGCAACAAGAGTTAAACTCCATCTCAAAAAAAAAAGAAAAAAGAAAAAAAAAACTCTACTGTCCACTTTAATCCAAAATTGCTAGATTCTTATATCTACTACTTCATTTTATCTGTTGTATTTACTTTGATTGAAGAATATGAAAAACACTGACCTCACACAGATGTGTAATCGGAAAAAAACGAATATTTTAATAGCCGTTAATGTAACTATGGATATACTTCTTTGATATTACACAAAAATTTAACAAATGGTTATTTCTTAAGCATTACTCAAATGTGGAATCTGAAACCATGTTAATCATTTCTGGTCTTTGCTATTAATATGTTGAAATCCATTGGTCTTTCTTATACTCAGAATGGGTCTTTTTTCCCATTTTTTTTTAACATCATCCATTGGTAATATTTGGAAATATTAATTATTTGAGTTATGCAGATTTCCTAAATTGATACATTTCATTACACTGGTCAGAAACCATATTCATTGTCACCTATGATGTCATTAGAAACGTGTTAAGTATGGGAAGCTATCAAGCTTATGGTTGCAGACGCAAATTTTGAAAAATTCTAACTTCTGCTTGAAAACTCATTGTTTTTTCAAGTGACAACAATACTGTCAGTTACTTTTTTGGAAGCGACAGGCTCTCTTTGTACAGTTTCAAGGAAATAGCTGCCAAACTCTTAGTTGATAGAGCAATAATTTGTTTTTTCAATATTGTTTCAAGTAAAAATGGTGTTCCATGAAAGAAGGAGCTAGTTCAGCTTACAACTCAGTTGCAAAGTGTTTTTTCTTAGGACAGCCATGATACTTTTGTATGCAGCAGAAGTGCTTCATGTGTATTTCCCATTCCATCACAAGGAATATTATTTTAAAGATGTATACCAGCCAGGCGCCGTGGCTCACACCGTAATCCCAGCATTTTGGGAGGCTGAGGTGGACAGATCATGAGGTCAAGAGATCGAGACCATCCTGGCCAACATGGTGAAACCCATCTCTACTAAAAATAAAAAAACTAGTTGGATGTGGTGGTGCACATTGTAGTCCCAGCTACTCGGGAGGCTGAGGCAAGAGAATTGCTTGAACCTGGGAGGCGGAGGTTGCAGTGAGCTGGGATCGAGCCACAGCACTCCAGCCTGGCAACAGAGTGAAACTCCATCAAAAAAAAAAAAAAAGTATACCCAAGGGTCCAGATTTACAAAATTTAATAATTTTTACTGCTTCATCAAAGCATTCTCTTTTTTTGTTTGTTTGTTTGTTTTGTTTTTGAGACGGACTCTTTGTCACCCAGGCTGGAGTGCAGTGGCACGATCTTGGCTCACTGCAAGCTCTACCTCCTGGGTTCAAGCGATTCTCCTGCCTCAGCCTTTCTAGTAGCTGGGATTATAGACATCCACCACCACACCCAGCTAATTTTTGTTTTTTAGTAGAGGTGGGGTTTCTGCCATGTTGACCAGGCTGGTCTCAAACTCCTGACCTCAGGTGATATGCCCCCCTCGGCCTCCCAAAGTGCTGGGATTACAGGCATGAACATTCTTAATGGAAACTGGAATTCTTTTTTCCTACTGGTGAGTGTGTGGTGGTGAAGAACCCAATGGCTGCTAGTTTATTTGAGTGCCACTGCCTTCATTAATGCTGAGGTGCTAGCAGTTTCATCTACCATTATTGTACCCTCAGTGCAAAAGTCAACACAGTGAGAAAGGCAAATATTTTATTATGAAAGTAATTTTAACCTTGTGAATCCCCTGAAAGGGTCTTGAAGACCCCCAGGAGTTCATGACCACACTATAAGAACAGCTGTCCCATCAAATTGAAGGAAGATGAAGCTTCAAGAAAATCACTGAGGGGGTTGCTTGCAAGAAGTGGAGACTGGCAACCTCTCTGGATGCTTGTGGAACTGCCGAGTCAGTAGGCAAACCCTGGGCTGCCATCACGGGTGAAGGGATTCTTGGGTGAACTTGGCATGCCTACCCTGGAATCTGGGGGGACCACAACATAGGATGGTGCGTTTTTACTGTTCATTAAGATGGCGGGCTGAGGGCAAGAATAGGGGCTGAGGAACAAGGAAAAAGGGTAATTTGTCCACTCAGATGAGGTGCCCTTTTACAGCCTGCACAAGGCATAATGTGTACCAGTGGCAGCTCCAGGTTGGGAGCATGCATGCACCCAAGGACTTCCTACCTGGAGATTTCTAAAATCATGAGGCTAGCTGGAGTAGCCCCCAATAGTATGGAGAGATGGGATGGAACTGTGGATAATGTGTGTCTTGGTCCTCTTGGATTGCCATAACAAAAATACCATGGACTGGGTGGTTTATAAACAACAGAAATCTATTCCTCATGGTTCTGGAGGCTGGGAAGTCCAAGATCACAGCAGATTTGGTGTCTCGTACGGGTCTGCTTCCTGGTTCATAGATGACTGTCTTCTCACTGGGTCCTTACGTGGTGGAAAGGGTAAGACAGTTCTGTGGGGCCTCTTTTATAAGGGCACAAATTCCATTCATAATCACTTAGTAAAGGCCCCACCTCGTTATACCACCATATTGGGGATTAGGACTTCAACAAAGGATTTTTGGGGGACACAGATATTCCATCTATTGCCTTGTGCCTAGGAAGAAAATGAGGCATCTTCTACCCAGCCTAGTTCCCCGCAGCCATTTGAGAATGTTAAAGAGGATGTCAGAGATTCCCAGGGCTTCATGCAAGGTAGCAGAGGGCTAAAGGAAGGGGCAGGGGACATGAAGATGTCCAAAGTTGATAAGAGGGATGCCCGACAAGGTAAAGGATCATTGAGAGAGATTAGAGGGGTCAGGGACATCTGGGGCAGCAGGGGCCAGGATGAAGCTCAATATTACCTCTAGAAAATCATGCATGTCATCAACACAGAGAGGACCACATCAAACAGAGGAGACCAAGGGCATCTCCTCACCCTCTGCCAGCAGATAATTCATCTCTTCTTCCTAACTCTCAATTGCCTGCAAGGATAGACCCAGGGAGGGGAGGGGAAAGGGAGTGAGCTAGTACTGCTTATGTCCTCCCCTGTTTTCCCCATTCCCACAACACAATGCCCAGAGACACAAGAAGGAAGAGCAGCAGCTCACAATCCCCTTGGTCGAGTTGGGACAGCCCGGGAGTTTGAAATGGACATTCAGAACCATAGGCTTAAACTAGACCGAAATGAGTTTCAATTGCCTGATGTGTCAAGAAAATAATTGGATCAGTTTATGCTCTTGATAAGGGATCTGCTACCCCGTGAGGAAGATTTAATACAATATAACTAGAGGTAGTGAATGAAATAAATGAAATTGTTATGTGTTTATTTCCCCAAACAGCTGAGGCCACAAATCAATCACATTTAAACAACTAAACTGGCTGTAAAGCACAATGACCAAGATTCCTTTCAGCCACCTCCCTAAAGTATCCATGGAAGTAAAAATAAATGTTGTCTCTATTTCTGCCCATTATTGGCTAGAAAGGCTCCATGGAGTAATGAAGGGAACATTGGGTAGAGTGAAGATACACAGCTTCTATCTTCCCAGAAACCTCTATCCATTGTCACTGTATCTCCACAACCCATCTGACACCAGTGGACTGCTAATTGCATTACTTTGCTTGTCCTCTGGCCACAGAGGTGGACATGTAGTTAAGCCTTGGCCAAACATGACTCCCCATCTCCTTGTTTACAACAATTAGTGTATTGCGCAGACTAAGATCAAAGCAGGCCAATCAGAGTGCCATCAAGTGAATTAATCTATGGTTGCTAGGACAAGAAGTTGTTTTCTGTTTTTTTCTAAAATCATGGTGCTCTAAGGATGAACTAAGCCTGTTGCTGGTAAGGACCCTCTTTAGTGGATAAAGGTGAAGAGCTGAGAAGAAAATAGGGCTGAGGGTTAGAGAGACAGATGGTGATGTTGTCATTGGACCCCCTGGGTCCACCTTGGACTGAAACTCTGAAAGATGCCCCTTGGAATTCAAGTTCTGGGCCTATTGCTCTTTTGTAAAATTTTTTCCTGAGACAGGGTCTTGCTCTGTTGTCCAGGCTGGAGTGCAGTGGTATGATCATGGCTTACTGCAGCTTTGACCTCCTGAGCTCAAGTGACCTTCCCTCCTCAGCCTCCCAGGTGGCTGGGACTACAGCTGCGTGCCACTACACCTGGCTAATTTAAAAAAAAAAAAATTTATAGAAACGGGGTCTCCCTGTGTTGCTCAGGCTGGTCTCAAACTCCTGGGCTGAAGCAATCCTCTTGCCTTGGCCTCCAGCAATCCTCCTGCCTTGCCCTCCCAAAGTGCTGGGATTACAGGCATGAGCCCCTGTGCCTGACCTATTGCTCTTTTTGATTAAGCTAAGCAAACTTGGGGTTTTATTGTTCTTTATGATCAAAAACGGTGTGAATACATGGGACTCTAGATTCAGCTATTTCAGTTACATAATAGTGTGGGCAACTTATTAAACTTTATTAATTTTTTAATTTATTTACTCGTTCACTTATCCAATAAATATTTATTGAACATATACTAAGTAAATTTAGCACCAAAGAAGAAAGATGAAACTATTTGATTCCTGTCTTTAAGGAGCTCACAGTCTTTTGGAGACAAAAAAAATGACCACAAAACAAGGAAAAATTGTTTTAAAATTCAAGAGGAGTACAGAGAAAGCATATAAACATAAATCTGTCTGGAAATTTCAGGCAAGGCTTTGAGTTTGAGACTCGCTGCCAGAGAGACAAGGGCATTCCAGATAGAGAAGAGCACCTTCAAGGCATGGAAGCAGGAGAGGGGTGGGTATAGGATAGCTCTAGCATAGTGTGGGAGACAGGGAGAGGCGGACTGTAAGTCAAGAGAGGCGGACAGGGTCAGATCAGAAACTACATCAGGCAAAAAGGTTTTGCCTAAGTCATGGAGAGCCACTGAAGGATTTGCAGTAGGAGAGAAAGATTAGATAGGATTTGAAAGATTAAAAAACCCAAACAAACAACACAATTCCAGATGATTGAAACAGGGCAAGATTGGAGACAAAGGGAACTAAAAGATGAAGTGGTGGTAAGAGTAGGAGGTTGAAGAAGGTAGCTGTTGAAATCGTTTGTGTGAGATGGTGAGTGGGCGGGCTAGGTCATATATCTAAGTGGTGAGTAGATATTCTAATTGAATAGCCAGAACATGGTGGCTCTTTGGATGTGGATAAGCAGGGAGAGGATTATATGTTACTTAATGGGTTTATAATAAGAACAGTTCTTACATTTCTGAGATTCTCAACCTTTTGGGAGTCATAGATCCCTTTGAGAATTTTATGAAAGCATAAAATTGTCTTCTCATAAATATGTCTTCCCATAAATATAAATGTATATAAATATGTCTTCTCATAAATATAAACATGCATAATAATAATAATAGCTACCATTTGCTAAACACTTACTATGTTCCAATCACTGTTCCAGATACTTTATTTATTTAATTGTCATAGCAAACCTATGATTTAGTACTTTTTTTAATCCCCATTTTATGGTTAATGAACTTGGAGAGGTTAAATAATTTGCCCAAGTCACACAGTAAACAGCAAGGCCAGAATTTGAACCAGGTTGTCCAACTCAAGCTCTGTGATTTAATGACTATGTTTCACCAGCCCTCATACACAGGTACCTGTATTAGTCCATTTTCACACTGCTGATAAAGACATACCCGAGATAAAGACATACCCAAGACTGGGCCATATACAAAAGAAAGAGCTTTAATGGACTTACAGTTCTGCATAGCTGGGGAGGCCTCACAATCACAGCAGAAGGCAAGGAGGAGCAAGTCTTGTCTTACATGGATGGTGGCAGGCAGAGGGCTTGTGCAGGGAAACTCTGTTTTTAAAACCATCAGATCTCATGAGACTCATTAACTATCATGATAATAGCACAGGAAAGACCTGCCCTCATAATTCATCACCTCCCACTGGGTTCCTCCCACTACACATGGGAATTATGGGAGTTAAAATTCAAGATGAGATTTGGGTGGGGACACAGCCAAACCATATCAGTACCTATGTTATGCCTACAGTTCAGGGCGTCAGAGATTCCTCCACCCAAAGCCCATCCACTGCCCCTTAAAAGTCCAGATCTGGCAATAAGAACACCTACAATAAATGAAAGCCATTTGTCAACTCTAGGGAGTGAGATCAGCGTAAGGGATTCTCATCAATGATTTTGGGTACCCTCAAACCTACCTCACATCACTGTGGTTGAAAGAGACCAGCTTTATGGCCTAACCCAGTGATACTATGTCTCTCCCTAAGGCAGCATTTGAAAACTTTTTTTTGTTAGATTCCTCATGAAATGTTAATAACAGATATACTGTTTATCAGTTTATGTTCTCTCTCTGTGTGTATATATATATGTGCTTTATACATAAAAAATAAGGTTTTTTTCAGTCTCTCCTCCCATTTAGAGTCAACTTTCCCCTGGTTAGGGGTGTCATGTTCCCACTGACATACACACTCTAACCCTAAACACCCACCTATTAAAACTGTTTTCAATAACTCTCTGTCTTAGCCTACTAAAAAGAGACTTATCTCCCTTGATGGCTTGAAGAAGCTGCTCTGCTGTGAGAGGACTTATGGAGACTGTCTTTTGATAAGAAAAACCTGCAGGCAGTCTCGGAACTGACAGTAATTCCCAGCCAATAGCCAGCAAGAGAACAGGACCTCAGTTCTACAATCCCAGGGAAATGGATTCTGCCACCAACCTGAGGGAAGAAAGGAGGAAAGGGTGGGGAGGAGGGAGAAGGGAAGGAAGGGAAGGAGAGAAGGAGGAAGAAAAGAGAAGAAAAAAAAGAAAGAAGTAAAATTGAAGGGGAAACTAGATTGGATGTTAATTAATATATATTGTAGGACAAAGAGAAATAGAAAATTGCCATTTTGCTACAAACTTTGAGGAGATGCCAAAACCACTGAGTGAAAAGTTATTGAGAAATTGGTTATTTATACTATCTCAAAGGATCACTCCATGAATTATTTAGTAATTACAAAAGGTTAAAAGGAACCTCTACAATGGGAAAATCTGGCAATATCACCTTAATCAAGTGATCAGAATTACCATCACTAATAATGAAACAAACAGATATCCTGTATCTACAGAAGTGATGTTCTGGAGACTTGATCGTTTATGCAGTATTCCTGTCTCTTAAACCAGAATCTAATCATAAGGAAACAATCAGACCGTTCTGCAGAACAACTGTCCTGGACTCCAAAACCTCTCAATGACATGAAAGACCAAATAAGAAGGAGAAATAAAAAGTAGCACCTTTCTGGATTAAAGGAGACACAGTGGACATACAAACATAGCAACTAAAAGCAATAAAACAATTGGAGATCAGGTTCGAATCCTGGATCAACAAAAACATAAAACCTACTACAGACATTTTGGGGCATCTTCAGGAAATTTGAATTTTTGTTACTATGCAACATCATTGCAGCAATATTAATGGCTCAAGTGCGATACCTGCCCGAGAATGTCCTCATTCTTAGGAGATTCATGCTGAGTAGTTAGAAGCAAAGTGTTGTGGTATTTGCAACTTCTTTTCAAATGATTCAGTCAAAAGAAGTGTGTGTGTGTGTGTGTGTGTGTGTGTGTGTGTGTGTGTGTGTGTGTACATACATGGAAAAAAGCAAATGTAGCAACAATTGATAGGTGTGATGGTCAGTATGAAGTGTCAACTTGATTGGATTGAAGGATGCAAAGTATTGTTTCTGGTGTGTCTGTGAGGGTGTTGCCAGAGGAGATTAACATTTGAGTCAGTGGACTGGGAAAGGAAGACCTACCCTTAATGTGGGTGGGCACCATCCAATCGGCTACCAGCATGGCTAGAAAAAGCAGACGGAAGAAGGTGGAGTAAGCTGGCTTGCTGAGTCTTCAGATTTTCATCTTTCTCCCATGCTGGATGCTTCCTGCCCTTGGACATCAGGCTGCACGTTCTTCGGCCTTTGGACCCTTAGACTTAAACCAGTGGTTTGCCTTTAGCCACAGATTGAAGGCAGCACTGTTGGCTTCCCTACTTTTGAGGCTTTGGGACTCGGACTGAGCCACTACTGACTTCCTTGCCCTTCAGCTTGCAGAAGTCGTGGGTCTTTGCCTTGTGGTCATGTGACCCAATTCTCCCTAATAAAATCCCTTTGATAAATATATATATCCTATTAGTTCTGTCCCTCTGGAAAGCCCTGACTAATACAATAGTTTAGATGGAGGGCGAAGTTCGTTGACTGTTCTTTAAATTTTCTGTAGTTTTGAATTTTTTCAAAATAAAATTTGGATACAAACAAAACAGTTTCCAAATTGTACAACCACTTGTATTGGTGAATCCCAAAGTCTTCCAGTGATAAGCATGTCACTTCGCACACATTATCTCAGCTAACGCTTACCAAATTTAAAAGTTGTTCAATGAATGAATTCATCATTTATCAGGTACTTGCATGAATGATGAATGAATTATTATGCTAACTTTCTAGCTGTAGAAAACTGAGGCTCAGTGATGCCAATATTTCTAAGGTCTCACTGTTAAACAGTGACAGAGCCAAACCTCCCCCATCATGGCCCCATGACTCCTCCCCAATAGACAAACTTCCCACACAGACCAGACTCCACCACCTCGTCATGGGTGCATATGAGATGCCCTGTCCAGAAGCTGGTGCTCCTGGAAGGTTCTAGAAATCAACAGGGAGCAGCATTTACAGTCTGCGTTTGAAACATGTTGACTGCCTGGGAAGCCCTGTCATCCATTCTTTGGGCTTATTTGCACCTTCTGTTAACATCTTTTGCCCCTTTGCAGTAATTCAGGTTGTAAATTTTAACAAGCATAGCCTTGGCCAGGTGCAGTGGCTCACGCCTGTAATCCCAGCACTTTGGGAGGCCGAGGCAGGCGGATCACAAGGTCAGGAGATCGAGACCATCCTGACTAACACAGTGAAACCCCGTCTCTACTAAAAATACAAAAAACTAGCCAGGCATGGTGGCAGGTGCCTGTAGTCCCAGCTACTCAGGAGGCTGAGGCAGGAGAATGGCATGAACCCGGGAGGTGGAGCTTGCAGTAAGCTGAGATTGCACCACTGAACTCGAGCCTGGGCAACAGAGCAAGACTCCGTCTCAAAAAAAAAAAAAAAAAAAAAGAAGCATAGCTTTTTGTACACATAACAAAGGATTTTGTTGCCTGTTACTGCTACCCAAAGCAGTCCAGAAATTTTCTCCAGTGGTCTATAGCAAGGGCATATCTGTACTACTCTGTAGGTTGCCAAAGGTATCCTTTAATACATTTTAATCTCACTGGGTATTTGAATAAACTAAGGCCAAGTAGGTAAAGTGACTTGGCCAAGTTGTTGTAATAAACTTGGGGACAAATACTATTTCCCAGAACTGTGGGTCGTAGTTCCACTAGACCCTTGCTTCCCAACTGACAGACAGAAGGAACACCAAAGAGACTTATTAAAAATACAGAGTCCCAGTCCCCATTTTTTGAAATTGTGATTCAGTAGCTCTTGACAAGGCCTGGGAATCTGCATTTTGAAAAAATGCCCCAGGTGAATGTGATGTTGGAATTCACCAGACTCCACTTTGAGAAACATCACTCTAAACTCTCCACTCCATGCTGACAAGGAGCAGGTCTTCTCATATCTGTTTCTCTAGTGGCAAATAGAGTGCCTGGCACATGAGAAGTGCCTATGGCATTTCAACAAGTATTTGTTGAGCTCCTGTGAGATGGTAGGTTCTATTCCAGGAATTTGGGGTATGTCAGTGGAGAGACAAAGATAAAAAAATCCTTGCCCTCAAGGAGCTTAAATTCCTGCAAAGTGTAGAGAACAACAAACCAAAAATGTTTCAATAAATAAATAATATATTATGTTAGCAAATGATAAGAATGATGGGGAAGAGAATAGCATGGGGAGGATCAGGAGTTTGGATCAGTGCTGTTTACAGTTTCATCTGGTGGTTTTGGTGAAGGTGGGTTTCATAGAGAAGACGACCTTTGAGCAGTGGCCTGAGGGAAGGGCGGAATGGACCACGCAGGCTTCCAAGGGGAAAGTGTTCCAAGCAGAGTGATCAATGAGTGCAAAAGTCCCTAAGAATGGAGTATGCCTCACGTGTTCAAAGCAGCGAGGAGGGCTGTGTGGCTGGAGCGGAATGAGGCAGGAAGGAGGTAGTTGGAGGTGAGGTCAGAGAGGTTATTAGCTGGGGGTGAGGGGGTGGGAAGTATTGGCGATGGGGAGGGGAGAGGTCGTGAAATACCTTTAGGTTTCTATGACGACTTTGGCTTTTACTCCAAATGAAATAGGAGCCATTGCAAGGTTTCGAGTAGAAAAGTGATGTAACCAGATTCACATTTTAGAAGGATACTTCTGGCTCTAGCATTAGTGGGGCAAGGGAGTAAGCTTGAAAAGCAGTGAGGAAGATATTTTAATATTCAGGCCAGAGATGATCATGGCATGAACCATGATGACAGTAGAAGAGTGGTAAAGGCTTGGAGGGTTCTGGGCTTATTTTGGAGAGGGAAGCAGCAGGGTTTCCTGGTGGACTCGATGTGGAGTGGAGAGAGGGAAGTCAAGGATGACTCCAGGTTTTCTGGCCTGAGCAACTGGAAGGACTGAGTTGTCATTCACTGAGATGGAGAAGAATGCAGGTGGGGTGGGTGTGGGGGAGGCTCACAAGTCAGCTTAGGACATATGAAGATCAGGGTATCTATTGACATCCAAGTGTAGGTGGTTGGCTATATGAGTGGGTACCAAAGAGAGCTCTAAGCTGGAGTTATGTACTTGGGAGTCATTGGCATAGAGTTGGTCTTTAAAGCCATGAGACAGGACAAGGTCACTTCAGAAGCAAAGGTAGAGAGAGAAGAGGACCAACGGCTGAGGCCTTCCTTATGTCAAATAAAAAAGGAGGAACCAACAAAGGAGACTGTGAAAGGGCAGAAGGGAAAACCAGAAGAGCATGGCATCTGAGAAGCCAAGGGAAGAAACTCTTTCAGGGGAAGAGAGACTAGAATGCAGTGTCAACTGTGTCAGATGCTGTGTTCTAGTCAAGTAAGATAGACTTTGCACTGAGAATGGACCATTGGCTTTAGGAATGTGGAGGTCATTGGTAACCTTGAGAAGAGCAGTTCAGCAGCAGAGTAAGGCCAAAGGCCAGCCAGAGTAGAGAATGACACTGGTTACTACAGCAAATATAAACAGCTCTGTGGAGGGGTCTATTAGTTTTCTATTGCTGTAGAACAACTTAGCACAAACTTAGTGGCTTAAAATACATGCAGTTATCATCCTACATTTTCCATGCATTGGGATTCTGGGCAGAGGTTAGCTGGGCCCTCTGCTTGGGGTGTCACCAGGTGAAATCAATGTGTCTGCTAGGGTGGATTCTCATCTGAGGCTCAGGGTTCTCTTCCAAGCCCATTCAGTTGTTGGCACAGTTGAGGTCCTTGCAGCAGTCATTTTTTTGCAGGCTGGCAGCCAGGGGTCACTTTCAGCTCCTAGAGGTGACCCTCAGGCCTTTGCCATGTACCCCCCTTCATAGACCCTCTCACAGACTAGCAGTTTGCTTGGTATTGGCCGAAAAGAGAGCATATCTGACACTTCATCTTCTCATAAAGGTCTCACCTGATTAGGTCAGGCCCACCCAGGATCATCTCCCTTTTGATAAACTCAAAGTTAGCTGATTAGTAACCCAATCAGAGGTGTAGCATTTCATCATATTCACTGGCCCCTCCCATACTCAAGGAGAGGGGACTATACAAGGTGTGTACATGACAAGTGGAAGAAATCCTGGGGCTATCTTAGAATTCTGCCTACCACAAGTGGTTTTGCTGCTAGGAAAATGAGGTGTTAGAGTCTGGGAGTGGTGCCTCACACCTGTAATCCCAGCACTTTGGGAAGCCAAAGTGGGCAGATCACCTGAGGTCAGGAGTTCAAGACCAGCCTGGTCAACATGGTGAAACCCCATCTCTACTAAAAATACAAACATTAGCCAAGTGTGGTGGCAGGTGCCTGCAATTCCAGCTACTCGGGAGACTGAGGCAAGAGAATCGCTTGAACCCAGGAGGTGGAGGCTGCAGTGAGTGGAGATCGCACCACTGCACTCCAGCCTGGGAGACACAACGAAACTCTATCTCAAAATAAACAGGAAAGGAAAAAAAAGAGAATGGGGTGGTAAGGGAAAATGGGTGTGGTAGGTGGTCTCCAAGATGCCCCCAATGATCCCTGCCTCCTGCTATTCATGCTTTCCCTTGAGTGTAAGTTCACTTATTTTTTTTTTGCTATAACTTTAAAAAATATGGTAAAATATACTTAACATAAAATTTACCATTTTAACAAGTTTTAAGTGTTCAGTTCAGTTGCATTAACTACATTTGCCTTGTTATGCAACCATCACCACTATCCATCCCTTAAACTTTTTCATTTTCCCAAGCTGAAACTCTGTTCCTATTAAACAATAACTCCCCATTTCTCCCCCCAGCCCCTGGTAACCACCCTTCTACTTTTTTTCTGTCTCTGAATTTATTCCAGATGGCTATAAGTAGAATCATACAATATTTGCCGTCTTGTGCCTGGTTTATTTCACTTAGTATAATGTCTTCAAGGGTCATCCATGTTGTAGCATATGTCAGAATTTCATTCCTTTTTATGGCTGAATAATATTCCAGTGTATCTGTATACTATATTTTGTTTATCCATTCATCTGTCAGTGAACACTTCAGTTGTTTGTACCTGTTGGCTATTGTGGATGCTATTATAAACATGAGTATACAAATATCTGTTTGAGTTCCTGCTTTCAGTTCTTTTGTGTGTATACTCAGAAGTGGAATTGCTGAGTTACGTGATAATGTTTGGAAGAACCACAGTACTATTTTCCACTGTACCATTTTACATTCTCAGCAGCAGTGTGCAAGGGTTCCAACTTCTCCTAGCCTGACTTACTGACTTCTGACAAAGAGAATAAGACAGAAATGATGAGATTGGACAGGTTGTCAAAAAGCTTTTCTTGGGTACTCTTTTGGTTTGCTGGCTCTGGAGGAAGCAAACTGCCAGGTTGTGAGCTGCCCAGTGGAGAAGCTCAAGTGGCAAGGAACTAATGTATCTAGCCAATAGCCACCAAGCACCTGAGCCCTCCCCACAGTTGTGTGTGTGTGTGTGTGTGTGTGTGTGTGTGTGTGCTTAGCAGTGAATCACCTCCCCATCAAGCCTTGATATACTGCAGCCCTAGTTGACAGCCTTGTGAGAGACATTCAACCAGGGCTTGAGCTGCTAAATTTTGGGTATACATAGCATAGATAACTAATGCAGTGGGGCTGGATAAAAATGTATTAAGAAGAAAGAAAGAAAACAGGTTTGTATGCTGCTGTCAGTGATCTTGTAGAGGAAAAATTCCAGGACAGAGAGGAGAGAATTGCTGAGGGGATACCCTTTGGTAGACAAGAGGGCATAAGATCTGGCAAACGAGAAGAGGGATTGACTTTAGATAGAAGCAGAAGCTCATCTACACAGTGAGAGAGTGGATTCACCGGAGAAATCCATATGAAGTCTGTGGTCAGGAATTTAAAGTAACACCAGCAGGAAGTGGTGTGATTTTTCTCTAGCCACTTTCAGCTGCACAGGTTTGAGTATAGAGTAGGTAGGACTGCATTTAACCAGGGCTTTGTTTTGCCAAGAGAGGATGGCAAAGCCGGAGGGGGACAAAGGAGTTGGAGATATTCACAAGGCAGTTATTTTAATGGTTGACCATGAATAGCGACATGGCAGGATTGAGCAACTGGGGGTCCCAATGAGGACAAAGGATTGTTGGAGTTGGGGTACTTGAGACCATAGTGTTTAGAAGGTGGACACAAGAAATCAAGATTAGTGATGGGGTGAAGTTATAGGGTGTGGCCCTGGGACACAGTGACTGAGAGAAGGTAGAGGAGAAGGTCATTAGAGGAAAGAAGTTCAAGGAACTGAAACACTAGTGTGTCAGGTGCTGGGGAGGGATCATCTTTAATATTATCACTATAGAGATCACCTATATTGAAATTACAACATTGAGGGTTAGTAGGAATAAATGCATTAATAAGTAAAGAGGCTATTGAACATGTGTGTTATATCTGTGAAGTCAGTTTTTAAAATCTAGGATGAAAATAGCAAAAAACAAATCTTGATCATGGTGAACATGTGTTTACTTCTTATTTTCTGCTAGGCACTATTATGAGTGCTGTATGTGCATCAACTCATTTGTTTAATCCTCAACAAACCTGTGAGGTAGGTACTGTCATCGTTCCCATTTTATAGATGAGCAAACTGGCAGAGAGAGGCTTAAGTAATTTGCCCCAAATCACATTGCTGATAAGTGGAAGAGCTGAGATTTGAGTCCTAGAGTCTAGTTCTGGGGTCCTTACTTTTAATCACTAAACTCTCCTGCTTCCCTTTCATCCCTTCATCAATTTGCTCTTCTCTAGAAAGTTCTCAAGGCACTAGGGTCAGGGCCATGTAACTTGTCACTTAATTATATTTCATCTTGAATTAATCATCATGCTTTCTTGTGTATCAGTCTTCCTTCCACAACTAAGAGCAAAGAAACATCTGTAATCCTCACTCTCTTCCTCCCCTGATCCCAGTTCTTGCACACACACTCACAAATATGCACACACACTCACAAATATACACGCACGCACACACACACACACACACACACACTTGCACCTCCCTCTGCCAAGCATAGAGCTGGACACACAGTTGAGTGCCTTCCCAGTGAGGGTAGAATAGGGCAGTGATCATGAATGAGCTCTGGGGCCATTTCCTGGGCCCAAGTCCTGGCTCTGCAGCCCCATATTGGCTATGTGACCTTGGGCAAGCTCCTTTGCTTTGCTGGGTCTTAATTTCTCAATTGTAAAATGGGAACTTTAATCGCCCCTTCCTTGTAGAGCCTGTGAAGAGACTGAGTGGGAATTACCTAACCCTAAGCAAGTGCTCAATAGAAGTTATTATTGTTATCATTATTAACCTCCCTAATCTCCCATCACTCTCCTACTTCCAGCTCATTGTCTTTCTGGTAATTCCTTGAATATATTAAGTGATTCCCTGCCTCCTGGCCTTTACATTTGTTATGTCCTCTGCCTGAATCATTCTTGCTCTATATTTGGACAAGATAAGCTTCTTTGATTCAGATCTCTGCTCAAATGTCAACTCCTCAAGAGACAGCCTAATCTCATGGTCTCATCTAAAGCTCACATGTGCACGTGCATGCACACACACACGCACACATTTTACTCTTTTATTATCTGCACAGCACTCACCACTATCTGGAATTATTAAAAATATTAATTGCTTATTGTCTGTCTCCCTCCCTAAAATATAAACTCCAGGAGGGCAAGAACTTTGTATTCCTTGTTCATGGCCATAATCCAGCGCCAGGCATAAAAAAACACTCAATAAATCTTTTTTGAACGAATGTTGAACGAGTAGCCATGACTGCTTATAATAAAGATCACTATTAACTGAGTGTTTACTCTGTGCAAGGCATTGCATTAAGTCCTGGATATGAATTGCTTCATTTAACCTTCACCAATAGCCTAAGAAATACCTATGATGGTTCTCAAATTTACAGAAGACACACTTGAGGAACAGAGCAGGTAAGTGACATACTGAAGATCACACCATAGGTAAATGCAGGAGCTGGGCTTCAAATCCGTGATTCTTGGGCAAAGCCTGCAGTCCTGACCACTGCGCATTTCAGGTAAAAGTCTTCTCCTCTCTTCCGGCCATAACTTTTCCCTCTCATATTCCAACCCAGCTGCTGTATCTGGCACTCAGACAGGCTGCCTTCAGGTCCACCAGGGAATATTCTGGAAAAGACCCAACTCAGCTCCTTGGAAAGGAGCCCCAGCTGGGCTGGGAGTGTCGGGTCTGTGAGGCCCCTGCTGGCTCACCTGCTGCCTGCTGGCAAATCCACATGTCCGTGATTGATTCTGAGGGGAAGCCACCAGGTGTGGGAGTTGCTGAGCCAAGATCTCAACAGGCTCCTCACCCTTCACAGCCTACGCCTGCTGGCCCCCTACCTTCTAACTGTAACAGAATATGTGGTATTTCCACAAGAGGCCAACCTGTCTCTCTACCCCTTGCCTCAGAATATTCTGCTCTCCTACTGTCTTACCCTTCCTGCCTCCTTGTCCTCAAGCAAACTCCTGCTTATGCTTCAAGACCCAGCTCAATGGTCACCTCTTCCATGAAGCCACCTCTGATCTTCCCCAGGCTGACTGGACTACCCTCCTCTGTTTCCTGCCTCTGCACTGTACTGCAGAGCAACTAAGCAGGTGGGCTTGGAGCCAGGTTATTAGATTCACACATTTTCTCCTTTGCTAGTAAGCTGTGTGACCTCAGCAAATCAAAGTCCCCAGGCCAAAGTTTTCCCATTTGTAAAATAGGGACAATAATAGCACTTACCTCATAGTATTGGTGTGAGGCTCAAATGAGATAACCCACGGAAAGTGCACGTGCCTGGTACATAGTGAACCCTCAAAAATATTAGCAATGATCATTATTAACTCTACCTTTCTTAGAGAACCTGTATGCCACTTTAGACTAATCTTGGGACATTATCTTGTACTCCTGAGCTTTGCACTGTGCTTGGAACATACTAGTTGCTCCATAAAGGTTTGTGGAATGGACCTGGCAACTTTTTAGGAAGCATGAATTAAGGGAAGAGAGGAGAATGCATTTCTCTCTCTCTCTGTCTGTCTCTCTCTCTCTCTCTCTGTCTGTCTGTCTCTCTCGACAGGGTCAGAGTCTTGTTGGGGTAAAATAGTAGGATGGGGATGAGGTGGCAAACAGCTCAACCAAAGCCTGTGGCTTCTGTGCTTACACTCAGCTTGTAGCCTCACTTTCCTTCATCCTCTTAATCATTGTATTTACAATGGGAAAATCTTTTTGGAAGATGGTTGCTGCAGGCATCTCAAAAAACCTAGGACCCAGAGAAAATTCTTGGCCCCTCTTCACCGGGCTCATATGCTCAGATTATTTCCTGAGGATTTCCTGAGGATCTATGTAACCAGATCCTTTATTGCTCTGGTGCTGGGGGACAGCAACAACATAACCTTATAGGCTAATGCTGGGGAGATCAGGTTTCTTTTCAACTTCCCGTGCATTTGGTGGGCACGGCCTTATCGAGTGATGAATGATTCCATGACTCAAAGTGCCACATTACAGAGGGGTTCCCTGGGTGTAGAAAGGTGATCCCTCTGCCATACCCCTCTCCTCATCTTTCTTTCTATAAGGGTCCAGTGCCCTGATGACAAGGGAGTACCTCCTTCCTACCATTTCCTCCCATTTCCTCTCTCCATTTTCCCTGCCTGTCCTCATATTTACTTCTACTTGATAAGAGTCATGCTTTCAAAAGAATTTCTATAATAAATATCCTACGTTAACATAGCACATTAATGCATTTCTATTCTTTTAAAAATAATCTTTTTATTAAATAAGTAATGCATGATCATTATAAAAGATGTCGAAAATGCAGGGGCATTTAAGAGTACTTAAATCAACTGTAACCTCATAGCCCCAAGATAAACCACAAAAAAAAGTTTGCACATTTCCTTCTTGACTGCATGTGTGCTTATGTATACATTTGTACTTACTTAATGCCACCCTACATATTAAACACAGATGCACACAAAACACTTTGCATTTATTCAGATCTTGTGGCTTTCCATGACATATTCCCATGATTTCTTTTTTTCCTGGCCACCATCATAAAAAGGAAAGCAGATGTTATTGTCCTGGGATTCTGGATACAGGAAAACTAAGACCCAAAAAAGGAACACCCTTTCTCAAGGTCTTGCAGCTTGCTGGCACAGTTGGGATTGGAGCCCAGGTCTCTTGGGTCACAGCCAAGTCTTCTTTCCACTGGCCTGAAAGAAAAAATAGTCTGCCCCGGCAGTACCAAGGAGAAGAATCTTAAGTACCAGTGCCAAATTGTAAAATCTAGAATCAGAGTTCTTAGATTGTTTACACTTTTACCCAAAGTCCAAAGCTAGCAAATCCTGAAGTGCTTCCATGAAGCAAATTGGAAAATGTCCTGTGGTCACTGAGGGAGGTGAGAGACATCTTACGTGGCCTTGATTTTGATACTCTCCTACCCCTGCTGACCCTCTCTTAGCCAGGGTTTTAAGTTGCAAACCAAAACATGACTTACCCCTAATATATGCAGAAAATTAATTTATCCAAGGATATCAGGTACATCACAGAATCTCCAGAAAGGCTAGAGAATCAAATATGGTAGCCACATTGCCAGAAACAACCAAACCTAAGGACAACCATCAAATATTTGACAACTTCATGACACAGGCTCCAAGTAATCAGAGGAGTGGAAGGTGGTAGATAACCTCTGCAACTGTTCTGGAACATACTTGCTCAACATCAGCCTTGCCCAAATATACCTCAGAAACACGCCAGTAGGAAATGGTATTAGTCAGGTTTCTTCTGTAGTAGGGCCATATAGCAAATTATTCTCCAATCTCAACAATGAGCATTTTATTCTCTGTTCTTGGATCTGTTGTGGCTTGGCTAATCTTGGCTGGGCTCAGCTGAGCAAACTGGAGTTTGGTTTAGAGTTCAGGTCAGTTTCAGTTCTGTTTCAGGTGTCTTCCTTCTAAGACCCAGATTGAAGCGGCAATGGTTACATGGAACGTAGTCTTCTCATGGTGAGGAAAGAGGCTCAAGTGGGCTGACGGAAACTCACCATGCTTCTTAAGGCCTCTCTGAGATGCTGTCCCTTTCATCTACTGTCCATGGCTCAAACCAAGTCACACAACCAAGCCCTCAGTCAACGGGTCTAGAATGTAGACTCTGTCTTCTGCCATGGGAGGCACTGCAAAGTCACATGGTTAAAGGCATAGATTCTATTACAGGGAGAACACGAAGAGTGCAGACAGTTATTCAGTCTACCATAGCCCTATGGGTGCCACCCTTGGGCATAGCTTCTTCAGTTTACACCACCAACACTGAGCCCTGCTACTACTGGAACCTCTGTTCCTACTGTCTCTTATAAATGGAGGTGTTTGCCACCATTTTCATTAGAATGGATTCTACCCAGAAGCCGCTTTTCCACTTCACTTGTTTCTAGTTCATTATCTAGAGCAGATACAGCCTCTTGACTGTGTCTTGGCTACCAAGGAGGCTCAAAAATCAAGTTTCTGGCTTCTCTCTAGGCGGGGATGGGCGAGTTCATTTATTAAGGGGGGAGTTGGTTCATTCAGTGAGAAATCTCTCCCACATAGGAAGTGTGGTCAGGGTATCAGGTGACCAGAAAGGATGGCAGATGCCCACTGCACCCACCTTCACAGCAGACCTCTGGGAACAGGGAGACCTAGCACAGCCCATAACTCAGCCGTGTGTCTACCACTGTCCTCTTGCTGTCTCCTTGCTCTCACCTCCCTGACTCCCCTGCTCCCTGAATTTATCTTCTCCCACTCATAACATCTGCCCTGCCTCCTTTACTCTGATGACTGTCACAGAGATTGCTGGACCCACCCAACACACATTGTCCCCTTCTTCCTTTAAGTAAAGAACTCTTAAGCTTTAGCTGGGTGTAAGGACAACCACCTGAAGACTACACGTTCCACTTTCCATGCAGTGAGGTGTGGCTCTGTGCCTATCTTGGGGCCAATGGATGTAGTGGAAGGGAAGTGTGAACAAAGGCAGGACCATATTCTTAAAAGGAAGTTGCTTGCATTTCATTTCCTACTTTTCCAATCCCATAGACTGGAATGTAGATGGGTGAGCTGCATCAATCCTGCAGGAAGGGCAGCAGCCATGGAGATTGTGAAACAGCAAGATAGAAGGACCCAGGTGTCTGAGGGACCTTGGAGAGCAGAACCGCCTACTCCCCTGGACTGTCAACTCTGATTTATATTAGTACATAAGAGAGAAATGAACTTCTATCCATTGAAGCCACTAAAATTTTGGTCACTATAAAAAATAAAACCAGCTGAACCAATATTCTAGCAAAAACAGAGACACACCCAGTCTTTCTTTGGTGTGAGGGTAGATAAGATTAACTTACTAGCTTTGGAGACAGGCATGTCTAAAGTTTGAATCCTGACTCTGCTAATTCTTAGCTTTGTGACTTTGGGCATATTATTGCAACCTCTGAATCCTCATCTGTTTTCATCTGTAAAATGGGATTATTCTATCTACTCATAGGATAGTAGTATGGTTTACTTTTTTAGATCGGATATAAAGCCCTTAGTACAGTTGTTGGCATTTAACTGTTCAAATAAAAGACATGTATTACTATTATTTGGGAGTAGTTTGGACTTTGGTTGCAAACATACATCTCATATATGTGACAGCCAAAGGCTTAGATTCAACAAAATTTTCATTCACTAACTGGAATAGTTATTAATTCCTACTGTGTATAGGACAGGTGATCCTATACACATCCTAGGTGATGTGGAGGAGATAAAAAGATAAATAAGATAAAAAGATAAAGATAAATAAGGAACAATTCTGCATTCAGGTATCTTACAATTTAGTGAGAAAGGAGAAAACAGAAATGACCCACTACTCCATGGCTAAATAAAATAAATGTGAAAGATAAAGTGCAGACAAAATGTCGGGCAAGAAGAGGTTATACCTAAACCCAACTAGGGTAGGATTACCAGATTAAAATGTGGGACATCAAGTTAAATTTTAAAAACAACAGGTAATTTTTCAGTATAAGTATGCTCTATGAAATATTTAGGACATACTTATAGAAAAGATTATTCATTGTGTATCTGAAATTCAAATGTAACTGGGCATTCTCTATTTCATTTGCTAAATCTGACAACTCAAAACTTGGAAGCACTAAAGGAGACTTCAGGGACGAATTGGCATATGAACTGTGTCTTAAGGATAATGAGCAGGATTTCAGTAGCTGGATTATTTAAGGCTATTCCAGGCTGAGAAGACAAGAAGAATAAAGGATGAAAGGTTGAAAATGTCTGGCATATCTTGGTAACTATGCATCACAGTCTGGTGATTCATCTAACTTGGCCATCATCTTGGTGGATCTAGCTAATGCTGAGCCTAGAGTCAGATACAGAAAAACGTGCCGCCATGTTGCAAAATGCAAAAACTAGGATCTGGGATCTTTAGCATTGTGTCTATCTAACAGTACATGTCCCAAATTCTGAAAGCACAATTAAGCCAGAAAGTGGAGAATTTAAAGAAGGAATGTGTAGTGTGATAGGGACATTCGATTCTAGGAAAAATAGGAATCACTGCCCAGGTCTTCTTTCTCTGCGAGACAACTATAAGACACACTACTTATAGGTTCTGGCAGCTTACAAGGACCCTAGTCTGTCCCCTCGCCCACAGGGATGGGCCCCAGGCAGCCATGTATGTTCTATGAGGCCCATGTCACCTTACCCAAAGATGATTGGGCCAATTGTGAGTATGTGACTCAGACTGAGCCAGCTGGACTCCATTTCCTGGGTGTTTGGAGTTAAGACTAGAAAATTCTAGTTCATTCTGAATCCATTGCTTGCATGGAGGAGTTGCAGTTATTAATAATTGCTGACAGTTAGAGCAAAGTCTTGTCCCTGCATTGGCTCAGGAACTCTGCTTGCTGAGGGCGATGAGACGGGAAGCGTGGAGACTCTTCTAAGTTTGCTGATTGAAAGTTGGAAAGGTTCTTTGCCGTGTTCTAAAAACTGATATGGTGTCATACTGTAAAATGTACAAACAGCCCAATAATTGAGCTTTAGCTGGGTGCATGGACAACCACCCAGCTAAACCATTTCTTTTTGTTCTTCATTCATTATCCTTTAGCTGGTGTCAGGTTTGGCCTGAGCACCAAGGGCCCAAGGTCAGGGCATGGCTGCCACCTGCTCTCTGGATCCCATGCTGGCCCCTTCTCCATATATATTGTCTGGAACCTCAGTAAAGTTGTATCCTGATCCCTAGGATTTTTCTGCTCTGTGCCTGCTCTAAGCTCTGAGGGCTGCTGTTTGCATTACTGATAAGGAGGCAGCGAATCTGAAAGATCAGCACTGTGTGCCTGCCTCTAATACTTCATTCAAGCATGGGCTTGCAAGACCGTAGACCACACCCAGTCTCATGATTCGAGCTTGGTGAGCTTGGGATTTAATGAGACTCATCTTGGGCTTGAACTGGTTTTGCTTTGGTCTTTTGGAATTCCCACAGAAAAGGATTCATCAGACCTATCAGGTGAGCTCTCTCTGAATAAAATGAAAATTAATTGCCTACCGTGTCTTGCGCTCATGAATCAGGAAATGAGTCAGGGGGAAAATGCTAAGGAGTTAAAGCTGAAGAATGGTTTCTCTAACCTTATTGCCTACATGTGGCTTTGAGCCCTATCAGCTTCAGTGCTAACTGTGGAAGGAGGATGCTTTGAATGAAGAAACAGGAAAAGACTCGTTTCCTGGGGCAGGGGGCAGGGGTATAAAGTGTAGGGGATGTGGTATCTTTCCCCTGACACTCTCAGGCATCCCATTGAAACTGGATCCCATTTCAAAAGTCCTCATTAAATACCTCATTCCAGTATTGTTTACAGTAGAAATACCAAAGTGGGGAGGATGTAACCAATCTTCAAATAACCTGAGGTGCTGGACAGAAATGATTTTCACAGCTGGAGCATAGGAAGATGGAATCACACAAAAGCAAAAAGTAGTAAGCCTGTTACATTCCCAGCTCAACCAGACTCGCCAAGGTTACCCAGGCTCCAGGGAAGTCCTCAATGATCAGCTCACCTCAAATTTAGTCCTTGCCCAACTGGCAAAACCTGAGAGTGGATTTGTGATTAAAAGGGTAAAGTATCTTCTTGCCAATAATAATGATCTTTGTTGCGAGGAAAAAGCCCCAGTTCTCTGAACCAAAGTAATCTTTCACCAATGCTCATGTTTAATCTCTTTCTGGAATGACAGTAATTGTTAATATACTTCTTATTTTGTGTGTGAGATTAATCTGATGTTTCATTCCTCATGCCAGGCTCGGGGGAACCATTGTAATTTTCCACTTTGTAAAGCTTTCCCTCACGTTTTGTCCCACTTGAAGGCAGCTGTTCTCAATTTTGAGTATCTTTTGAATGACATGGGCATTCCTTGGACTATTATGGATGGCTTTTTAGAAAAAGATATCAGCAATTGACTTTAGCTACACCAGCGAAACAATTTTATCATGTGAGGTTACATTTCTTTCTTCCCAGGGCCAATGCTCAGTGTTTTATAGACATGACCACTAGTCTCGCTCTTAATCAACTACCTATGATCTGCCCATACATTAGACAGTAAAGCCTTCTAAATTATCAATAAATCACTAAAACAGAGCAATGCAGAAATAAACCACATATATTTTATTCATTCATGCGTTTTCACAAGAGCTTTATGAGAAACTGGCGTGGAGAGACTCCCAGAAAGAAAGAACTGCTGGATATCAAGAGGCAAACTTCCCCAACTTTGGTAGTGCCTTAAAGAGTAAAAAGAGGCTTCTAAAAGCTCAGCTAGTAGGTAGATAGCGACTTTACCTGATTGTGCACATCAGGAACTGGACTGAAGACAGATTTGGGTTCATATTCTGCCTCCACCACTTACTATGCGATTTGAGACAAGTTACTTAATCTTCCTTTGCCTCAGTTTCCCCATCTATAAAAGGACAATAATAAAGGCACCCACCTGATAGAGCTGTTATACAGTTAAATGAGATACTAATACTAATATTAGCAGCTAATTTTTTGGGGGGACAAGGTCTGCATTGCCCAGGCTGAAGTGCAGTGGTGTGATCACAGATTACTGCAGCCTCAACCTCCTGGGCTCAAGCAATCCTCCCACCTCAGTCTCCTGAGTAGCCAGGACTACAGGAATGCACCACTATTCCTGGCTAATTTTTTGTTTTTTATAGAGTTGAGGGTCTCACTTTGTTGCCCAGGCTAGTCTCGAGCTCCTGAGCTCCAGTGATCCACCTGCCTTGGCTTCCCAAAGTGCTGGGATTAGAGGCGTGCCCAGCCTGAAGCTAACTCTTTCAACCAGGAAATATGAACCACTTTAGGTCTTTCAATCTAGGGGAATTTAATACAGGAAATGGGTTATTCAAGACACAGCAGAGATGAGAAAGCAAACTGATGCTCATAAGGCAGCTTCGAGATTAGAAGTAGTGGGAAACAGTTCCTAGGGTTGGAGGAACAGCAGCAGGCTGCCCTGTGGGAGCTGAAACCACATCAGGATCTGAGCTGGAGCCATGGAGGAGATGCCACAGGATGCAGAGAGAAGGGGGACAATATTCTGCCTCTATCCAAATTCTGTCTTCTGGTCTTCCACTGGTCTTCCTCCAAATGGCTGACCCTTCCTGGGAGTTACAGGGAGCCCAGGGAATGTAGTTTCTTGAAATACAGAGCAGAGCAAGGGAAGGTCCAGGACTGATCTGAGTGCAAACAGGCAGTTAACCAGCAAAGCTGACACTCATTGAGCCCTTACCATAAGCCAGGTACTGGGCTAAGTTTTACATGGGTTAATTCATTTAAACCTGTTAGCAAGTGGTAGAACTAGGGTTTGAAGTGCCCAATATATGTTATATCAATTACTGAAGTAATCAGTGTGCAACCTAAAGGAAACAATGGCTTTGGGTGCATCCCCCAAATTAAAAACAAATTGAAGGGAGGAAGCATGTCTTATTCATCTTTAAATCTCCAGCACATGGCATGGTACACTGCCCTTAGTGGTCACTCAATTCATATGTGTTAAGCTAAGTGAAATTAACAGCAGTAAAGTCAGTGAAGTGGGTTCAAGTAAAGGACTGTCTCCCACCCTTGCTACTGACTTCCAAGATGAGTTCATAAAAGATTCCTGCCTGGCTCTTTATCTTAAGATAGCTTTGGAGTCCTGAGCCACCATGTAGAGCCCATCATGTCCCCCTTGAAGCCCATGCTGAAAGATCACATGGCCAGACTACAGAGAGAGAGAAAGATGCCCTAGGAATACCCAAACCCAGGCACCAGACTTGTGAATGCAGAAGCCTCTGAGAGGAGGCCAGAGCTGGCCCCAGCCCCAGCCTGACCACAGCTACAGAAACTAGCTGGAGCCAGGAGTCCCACTTGGCTGCTTCTGAATTGATGACCCACAGATAAGAGATGTGTATATTGCCACTTTAAGGCACCAAGTTTTGGTGTGATTTGTTATGCAGTGATAGATAATTAATATACAACTATAATATGACAATATAAAATGGGAAAAAATCCATTAAAAAGACAGGAATAATATGTCCCAAAATATTAACAGTGAGTGATAGGATTGTGGGTGTGTGTGCATGCGTGCGTTTTTTCCTTCTCTTTTCTGAATTTTTTTGAATGATCAACTATTTCCTTGAAAAACTGAAAAACTACATTTTGTATTGAAAAACTCTTAACTGTGACTTTTTTTTGGCATCCAGCCTCCTACAGCCAAGCTCAAGGCTTCCCACCAGGGATTCCTGAGGATCACAGGCAGGTACATGAAACTGAATACAGCTGAAGCCTTAAGGGGAACCATAGCCCATCTCGCCCAGCCCCCAGCTGCTCTAAATCCATATGCGCACCCATGAGATTGTTGTTGTCCAGCTTTTCTGTGAATTAAACCTCTCCATGACAGGGGATTTATCCCATCCAGAGCCAGTTCTTTCCATCTTCAGGCTTCGCTGACAGAAAGTCTTTCCTCCTAATGAACTGAAAAGTGTCTCCCTGGAGCTTCTACTCATTGGTCTTGCTCATGAAAGATTCATGAAGTCTTCATCGAGTGCCTACTATGAGCCATTGTTCTAGGCCCTGGGTACAACTGAGAACAAGATAGATCAAGTGCTTATGCCCAAGGAGCTTAGATTCCAAAAGGGAAGATACACAATATTTTAAAAACTATATAAATTTAAAGACATTGTAGTAACTACTATGAAGAAAATAAATCAAGGTGAGATGATTTAATTTTTTTGCTTTTTAAATTTTTTTTTTTTTTTTTTTTTTTTTTTTTTTTTTTTTTTTTAGAGATTAGTCTCATTATGTTGCCCAGGCTAAAGTGCAGTGGCTATTCACAAGCAGGATCATCGCACACTACAGCTTTGAATTCCTGGGATCAAGCAATCCTCCTGCTTCAGCCTCCTGAGCAGTTGGGACTACAGCCATGCCTCATGGCATCTGGCTACAGCAAGAGGATTGAGAGCATGATTTTAACATGTGTGGTCAGGGAATGCCACCCTGGGGAGGTAACTTTAAGTAGAGATCTGACTGAGTGAGAGAGGGCACTTTGTGAATATCTGGGGAAAAGAACATTTCGGATAGAGGGGCATCAAGGATGGAGTCCAGAAGCTGGCAAATCCGAGAAAGAGTGTGAAGGCCATGATGGCTGGAGAATGGTAGAAACGGGTGAGAAAGGAAGGAAAATGAAGTCAGGGAAGAATGAAAAAGTCAATCATACAGACCTAGAGGGCCATGTTAAGAACTTTAGATTTTATTCCAAGCGTGATGGGGAACCACTGGAGGGTTTTGCTCACTGGGGTGACAGAAGTTGATTGATGTTTTCAAAGCATCACACTGGCTGCTGCGTGAGAACAGAAGGAGGGTGGGGAACACAGTGCGTAGGGAGACCTCCAGTTGTTGTCCAGGCAGAAAATGGGTGAGAAGTGGTTGGATTCTGGATATATTTTAAAGGCAGAACCAGCAGGACATGTTGGATTAGATGTGCATGTGAAAATGAAAGGGGAGTCAGAGATAAGCCTAAGCTTCTTTTTAAATCAGCAACTTTACATTAACAAATATTTGTGTAATAATACGGTGGGGACACACCTTTGAATAAAACAGCTGGTTGGTAGCCGGATGTGGTGGTGCGCATCTGTGCTACTCAGGAGGCTGAGGCACGAGAATCGCTTGAACCTGGGAGGCAGAGGTTGCAGTGAGCTGCGATCGTGCCACTGCACTCCAGCCTGGGTGACAGAGTGAGACTCTGTGTGAAACAAACAAACCACAACAACAACAAACAGCTGGTTGATATATGTTTTCAAAAGAGACAAACATATTTAACATATTAGCATTTAATACATTAAATACACTGTAGTTAGGCTAAATGTTAAAATGTACATCCTTGGGAACCCAGAGGAGGGGCAGTAAGGGCTTCCTAGAGGAGAAAGCCCTCCGTGAGTTGTGGGTGAGAAAGGCAGGCAAACATCTTCCCAGCAGGTGGCCCAGCCTGGCTGAGGCCCAGAGGTAGGAAACTGAGGAAGGTGTTGCGGAAAATGCTAAATGCTTGGATATTACTGAGCTTAGTGTGCAAGATGGAAAGGAAATGAGTATAGGAAAACCCACAGTGACCAAGCTCTAGGGCGGAGTGGTCATTCTAAGGAGCATGGGTTTTACCCTGAAGACAGTGAAAGCCATGACTGGGTATGGAACCAAGGAGCTCTGTGATGCTGTGGTCCTCAGAAAGATCATTTTGGCCACCAAAGTGCGGAGACAGAGATGAGATTGCAGTCTGGTATGAAAATCATAATAGTAATCCAGGTTAAAAAATGCTAAAACATTGAACTAACACAAGAGAGGCAAAGAAAGAAAATGTGCCCAGAAATAGGAGGTCAAGCAGACAGGTCTTCATGACTGATTGGATGTGGGGATGACCGAGTGTGATCTAGGGTGGTTCCAGTTCCTGTGAAATGGAAAGTAGGGGGAAAGGCAATGGGTGCTTCTGCACATGTGGAGTTTGTGCTACTGATGGACACGCCAAGTGGCTTAGTCCTGCAGGCAGTTAGATATAGAAGTCTGAAGCTCAAGGGAAAGGTCAGGGCTGGAAAGAAAGATACATCCATGTCATTCTGTCCCCGGGGGTTCTATAAGTCAAGTCTGATTTGCTTTCTACATGGAGGCCCTTTAAATATTTCAGGACAGCCATGACGTTCTTCAACTCCACCCTACTGAGCTGCCTTGAGGCAAAAACTCTTGGTTCCTCCCATCAGCGCTCATATTGTGGGTAGTCAAGCAGAGTGGCTGGAAGTCTCACTACTCAGTGTGGTCCGTGGTTCTGCAGCGTCACCCAGGACCTGTAAGAAGTGCAGAGGCTCGGCCCCACCCCGGACCTACTGAACCAGAGTCTGCGTTCTAACAGAACCCCTTGGCGATTTGTGCGAAGCGCTGGTTTAAAGTAGACTGGATTCACACTGCAAGGTTTGCATCCTGGTCCTGATGCTTATTAGCTGTGTGGAGGCAGATCATTTAACTGCTCCATGCCTCAGCTTCTTTCTTTATCAAATGGCAATAATTTTAGGACTTACCCCGTAAGGATGTTATAAAGGCTTAAATGAAACAAGCTAGGCAGGTAAAGCACTTCTGTCAAGCATTTGGTAAGCATGAGGTTATTATTGATGACAAGGCTCCAGCCCCCTTCCTAGCTAACCAGCTTCCTCTAGATAGCCTACAATTTGTCTACACCCCTTTTAAAGCGGAGCACCCAGAGCTGAGCACCTCTGCTGGGTGTGATCTGGCCAGCCCTGGGTAAGTTGAACTAGTTCATTCCAGATGTTCCATTTTTATAGCTGCTGCCTTCAGGTCCCATAGAATAGAGTCAATAGCATATAATGGCAAAAAAAATGAGCTAGATACCTAGACTACCTGTGCTTGCATCCTATCCCTACAATGTATGCTGGGTGGCCTTGCACAAGTCACTTAACCTCTTTGTGCCTATTTCCTCATCTATAAAATAAGGATAAAACTAGTACCTACCTTACAGGGTTATTGTGAAGTTTGGATGATGTAAGGCACTTAGATTAGGACCTGGGACATATAAAGTATTTATTAACTGTGATAATCAATAAAATCCCCGTGTAATGCATCTTGCAAAATAATGGCATTTTAAAGGTTCAGAAAGGTTAATATACATCCAAGCCACAGCATCTGGAAAGGTATATACTTAAGACCGGTTCAGAAACCAGGCCCCTTGCCCCACATCTGTGTCCTCTCCTCATGCCGGTATATTGTGGGCTATGGGGATGGTGTCGCCATTGTGGGGTTGAACCACTTGGCCTACACAGCTGTACACAGCACATCTGCCCTCTATGTGTTCAGGGCATCAGGATCCTGCTGCCTTCATGCAGGCTATGGAGGGAGAGGGAGGCTTGCCGTCTACACTCACAGAATCTTAATATCTTTGGATTTTGCTTCAGGTCAGTAACGAGTTCTGTAACTATGACTTAAATGTGGCGTTAATTTCAGCGAGAAATAATTTTGATTTTTCCTCCTCCCTCACTTCCTTAAGCCTTTAAAAACTGTTGATGGCAGGGATTTTTGTCCAGGAACCTGGTGCTGAATGTATTAACTTCTTTACCTTTTCCTGTCAATGTTGGCAGAATGGCAAAGAAATAATCACCTTTTTCTGGTCTGGTGATGGGCTGAGGTTTTGTTTGTTTTTGATTTGCTGAGTGGCCACCAGGAGCGGGGGTTATGCTAGGGCAGTGAAACCACCAGGACTGAAACTGACAACGGGATCATAAATATCAACCTCTAGTGAGCATCACAGCTGTCATTCCTAACCCTCCCCAGGAAGCTGATTCAGTATAGGCTCCAGGAGCTGGCATTTGAATACGTACCCCAAAGGCTTCTCCTGAAGAACATTCACTCTGAGAAACACCGCCGTATAATGTAGATTAAGGTAATAGTCATTGGAGTTAGATAAGGGCCAGGTTTCCTTGTGAGATCATAACTTTGCTAAGCTTTGGATCCCCTTAGCATGGGCTAATAATTTGAAACAGCTCACCAAGTTGCTTTGAGGATTAAATGAGACAAAGCATATAAAACGTTTAAACACTGTGCCTCAATAGTCTGTGAACTCAATGAAAGAAAACTCACTGTTCTTGAAGAGTAGTATAGACTTTTGGTTTGATTGCAAACACTGGGACCAAACAGATCTGGTCTCCCATCCTGTTCTACCATTTACAAAACGTGTGACCTTGGTTTCCCATACTATTAAAAAAATGAGACTAATATAGTTCCTCCCTCATGGAGTTATAAATGCAAAGACATGGATCGAATGCTCAATACAGTGCCTGGTGTAATGAGTAGTACTGTTCACCAATATTTTTGGCTCTCCTTCTGGGTACCTGATGGAATTGTACCTTTCCAATTTAAAGTTAGGTATGACTACGTGACTTGCTTTGACCCATGAAATGTGAGCAGAAACAATGTGTCACTTCTGAGCAGAAGTTTTAAGAGACAGTGTGCAATCAACCACATTCCCCTTGTTCTACTGGGGGAGAGTGTGGAGTACAAGTCCTAATGGAGCCTCTGTTTATCTGGATCCTGAGAGTCTATGTGGAGCAGAGGCTGCCTGGTGACTCCAATGGGCATGTAGAATTAGCAGGCAAAAAAAGAACATTTGTTATGTTAAGCCACAGGGATTTTGAGGTCATCTGTGACCATAGCATAACCTAGTCTATCCTACCTAGTACACCTGCTGCACAGGATCTTCCCAAGCCCTTATCAACTATGAATGTTATAATCTTTGTCCTTGAGTGGCTTACAACTCAGGTAGAGCACAAGCAAGACTACAAAAAATGAATACTAAAGAATAAGCCTTCACTGCCTATGAGAGTGCTAAATAACTGGAAATTTTCAATATAGTATATATTCTAGAAGGAAGTGAAGAGAGACTGTGGCCTGCAATAATTAGAAAAGGTCTGGTTTTATATTAAACCCAAATTTACTAAGACTTTTAATTTTTATTCTATCTAAAGTAAAAAGAAATTTAATTCCTGATGTGTCTTGTCATATAACCTAGACCTTGAGTTCTTGGGAAGAATCTTCAATTGAATATTTAAGCAATTATAACAACCAGGACCTCCCAAAGTGTACCCTGCTTTCATTAAATCTCAATTTCCAAGACATATGTCTTCTCTTTTAGCTTTTCATTAAAGAAAAAAAAAAAGAAAGAAAGGAGGGAGGGAAGAAAGTACAGTGAATGGCTATGGGATAAATTGGTGTTTTGTTCTTTCTTACAAAAGGCATTCCTCCTCTTTCTTCCTGCCTGGCTTGAAGCATTCTTGGCTCTCATCTGCTGTCCAAGTCACTAGAATCCAAGGAGGTCTAGGCAGTGGGATTGAGATGAGAAGGCTGCAGTGGGGAAAGCTGTGACAGGGACCACAGCTTCAGCAGCAGGTACCAGTACAGGGCACCAAGAGACCACGTGAGAGCAGCCAGAGACCAGAGCCTCAGAACAGAGCCAGGTCTGTGAACCTAGTGGGGTGAGCAGTACCCACTGTGCGAGGCCACTGAGCATGTGCAAAGACCTCTCCCCTGCTGCCGCGAGGCTACCTCAGCTCTTCCTTGTGCCCAAATGCCTTCTTAGGAGAGAGGTGTAGGAGGAGGAAAAACAGCCCCATAGAAGTTTGAACTTTGAATGGATGAAGTAAACTGAGACTTTCCCCGGAGAATGGGGACTCCAGAGGAAGATGAAATCAGTTTTAGAAAACTAAAGTACTATTTTTGTTTACCTGAATAAAATTTGACACCACCACATATTGAATTATAACCACATGCAATGAAATTGCAATGATTGTACTATCCATATTTGAACAAGCATGAAAAAAAATGAACCCACAGACAGTGAGGCCCCTTCTTTGCAAGCCATTAAAACAGCATTCATTAATTTAGTGGTTCTCAAAATTTACGTGTGCATCAGAAATACCTGGAAAGCTTTTTCTCTAGTGAGAACAAATCTTCTCTAGTGAGAAATTATATCACTGTTTGTGAGCAGAATACCAATTACTGGACCCACATTCAGAGTTTCTAACTCAGTGGATCTGGGGTGGGGGCTTAGAATCTGCATTTCCTTTTTTTTTTTTTTTTTTTTTTTTTTTGACATGGTCTCACACTGTCACCAAGGCTGGAGTGCAGTGGCACGATCTCAAGTGATCCTCCTGCCTCAGCCTCCCGAATAGCTGGGACCACAGGCACCCACTACCACATCTGGCTAATTTTTGTATTTTTAGTAGAGATGGAGTTTCACCATGTTCCCAGGCTGATCTCAAACTCCCAGAACCTGCATTTCTAACCAGCTGTCAGGTGATGCTGATGCTGCTGGTCCAGGGACTTTAAGAACCACTGCACTAATTCATCCAAGTCCAGTGTTCAGCTAGCTCTTCTTTTCTATGGTTTCTCCAGTTGATATTAAATACTAGCTGATGAAACTATAGAACACAGCTGTAGCTATTTCGTTATTGTTATCATCATCATTTCTTCTTCATCTTCATCCCCACTGACATTTACTAAGCAGTTACTATGAGCCAAGCACTGTACTAAGTACCTTATACAGCTGATCTCATTTCATCTTCATAAATACTATTATTCTCATTTTCCAGGTGAAGGAACTAAGCTTTGAGAAGTCAGAAAACTTACTATTCGAAGTGATCGAGCCCCCAAGTGGCACAGCTGGATCTCACTGAGCAGTCTGACCCAGAGCACAATTCCTAAACCACTGATACTTCAGTCTTTCACTTGAACAATGCTCTTTAGAATGGGGTGATTGAGGGGTATGGTGTCTCAGAACTGATAAAAACAAACATACACAAAACCGCACTGAATATATAAAAACTGTGTTAGTCGTCCTTAAGCCATCTCAGATTGGGGAACATTTCTGGCCCTGTTTCTCCATAACTTCTACACCTGCCACTGTGTCACTGACTTTTATTTTTTTCTTTTTTATAGTCTCACTCTGTTGCCCTGGTGGGAGAACAGTGGTGAGATCACAACTCACTGCAGCCTCGAACTCCTGGGTTTAAGCAATCCTCCCACCTCAGACTGTTGAGTAGCTGGGACTACAGATGCCCACCACTACACACCTGGCTGATTTTTTTTAAACATTTGTAGAGACGTGGTCTTGCTATATTGACCAGGTTGGTCTTGAACTTCTGGCCTCAAACAATGTTCCCCTCTTGGCCTCCCTAAGTGCTTGGATTATAGGCATAAGCCACAATTCCCAGCCTCCATTTCACTGGTTTTTAAAACTCTCTTCCCTCTTCTGAGCCAAAAAGTTTCTATTTATTTCCTATCAGAGTTTAGCTCTCTGTTTTCTGGTCACTTTCTCAACTATCCCCCTGGTGGGGGTGGGGGGCAAAGGGAGGGGTTCTTGCCTGAGCACCTAATTAAATTGAATTTTGCTAAACAAAAAAAAAAAAAATCTTCTCTAGTGAGAAATTATATCACTGTTTGTGAGCAGAAGCAGCTGTCAGCAATTATGTTTTAAATAGTAGGGCTTACTTTTCTATTCGATATGTGTGGTTTATAAAAACTCGCCTGTATGGAGAAGCAAGGCCTGTGATAATCTTGAACAGGAACAGCCCATGTCCAAGTCCACCTTTTGCAATCTGTATTAGATCCAAAGACTGTTTTCATAGTCTCCCCTCATTCCAGCCCCCTGGTGTGCCAGATATGGGGGCTAGCAGCGACCACTTGTTAGGTGGCCCCAGCAGTATGAGCAAACCTCAGATCCAAACTTTCAAAGAATGAATTGGGTCCATGAATCCCATTAGTCAGCTGCCAGGAATGTGCTCTCTATGTTTTCTCCACAAGAATTTCCAATCTGGGTGTCGCACGGAGCAGGGCAAGGTCGTCTTCAGGGTCCATCTGTGCAGGAGAGCATTGTTCTTGTTCTCCTGGAGGCCTGGCTCAGCTCTGCTTCCTGGGGACAAAAGCGGGGAATCCTGGATGGAAACTCCACTACTTCCTCCTCTCTCTGCCCCTCCTCCTCCTTCCTCCCCCTCCTCCTCCCGGGATGGGGGGATGGGTGGTTGGGAATGGCACATCCTACTGGGCCCAACTCTTTACAGGGTGAGGAGGCGTCTTCCCAAGGATCAGCTGGATCACAGCTCACCACAGCCTCCAACACCTGGGCTCAAGCTATCCTCCCACCTCAGCCTCGAGAGTAGCTGGGACTACAGATGCACACCACCACGTTTGGCTAATTTGTTTTGTTTGTTTGTTTGTTTGTTCTGTTTTGTTTTTTGAGACAGAGTCTCGCTCTGTCACCCAGGCTGGAGTGCAATGGTGCGATCTTGGCTCACCGCAGCCTCCATCTCCCGGGTTCAAGCGATTCTCCTGCCTCAGCCTCCCAAGTAGGTGGGATTACAGGCATGTGCCACCACGCCCAGTTAATTTTTTGTAAGTTTAGTAGACACGGGGTTTCACCATGTTAGCCAGGATAGTCTTGATCTCCTGAGCTCATGATCCGCCTGCCTCAGCCTCCCAAAGTGCTGGGATTTCAGACGTGAGCCACTGCGCTTGGCCAATTTTTTTTGTTTTTGAGACTGAGTCTTGCTCTGTCGCCCAGGCTGGAGTGTAGTGGCACGATCTCGGCTCACTGCAACCTCCGCCTCCCAGGTTTAAGCAATTCTCCTGTCTTAGCCTCCCGAGTAGCTGGGATTACAGGCGTGCACCACCACGCCCGGCTCATTTTTTGTATTTTAGTAGAGAACAGGTTTCACCATGTTAGGCTGGTCTTGATCTCCAGTGGTCAAGGCTGTAGGGATTTCAGATGTATGGAGGTCATGGTCCCAGCACAAGGAGCTTATAAGGAGATGGAGAGATTTGGGAGAAAAACCTAAGAGCCTCAACACGGGGGGAAACTGAAAACCAGGAACAGCTGTGGGGAGGCCAGGCACGTGGCTTCCACCTGGAATCCCAGCACTTTGGGAGGCCGAGGTGGGTGGTTTACCTGAGGTCAGGAGTTTGAGACCAGCCTGGCCAACATGGTGAAACCCCATCTCTACTAAAAACACAAAAAATTAGCCGGGCATGGTGGCAAGCACCTATAATCCCAGCCATTTGAGAGGCTGAGGCAGGAGAATTGCTTAAACATGGAAGGCGGAGGTTGCAGTCAGCCGAGATTGCACCACTGCACTCCAGCCTGGCAGGAGTGAGGTTCTGTCTCAAAATAAATAAATAAATAAATAAATAAACAAACAAACAAAGATTCCACCATCCCCAAATAACCACTGTTATTTTATGTACGTATGTATAGAGTTTTATATACATTCAGTATTTCATAAATATCAGATATTTATGTGTATCACCCAGATTTTTCCTATATTTAAATATATGATATTCAAAATACAATTGCATCATACTGTAGGTACTGTTTCACGATCCCCTTTTTTCCCTGCTTCATAATAAATTGTGGATCTCTTTCCAAGTCAATCAATAGACATCTAAGTCATTATTCCTGGTGGTACATTATATGGCAGACTATTATAATTTATTTAACAGGTTCCCTCTTGTGGAACTCCTGAGTTCAGCAAGAACTGGACTAGTCCACTTCAACTTGACTACAGTCCTCTTCCCTCTCCACTCCTCACCCCCAGAGACTAACTAACATATGGCATTTTTCTCCCCACAGCTGTTCCTGGTTTTCAGTTTCCCCCCATGTTGAGGCTCTTAGGCTTTTCTCCTGAATCTCTCCATCTCCTTATAAGCTCCTTGTGCTGGGACCGTGACCTCCGTACATCTGGAATTTCTACAGCCTTGACACCACTGCCTGCCCACGGACTGATTCATGGACAGGCAGGCCGCCACCCAGGATAAAGGAAGATTTGCTCCTTTTTTTTTTTTTTTTTTTTTTTGAGACAGAGTTTCATTCTTGCTGCCACGCTGGAGCCTCTCAAGTAGCTGGGAATAGAGGCGTGCACCACGATGCCCAGCTAATTTTTGTACTTTTTAGTAGAGACGGGGTTTCACCATGTTGGCCAGGCTGGTCTCGAACCCCTGACCTCAGGTGATCCTCCCGCCTTGGCCTCCCAAAGTGCTGGGATTACAGGTGTGAGCCATCGCGCCCAGCCGAGATTTGCTCTAAATCACTCTTCTCCGCATCAAGGGTTCTCCCACCTGTGCTTATCCTCCCTGCTTCCCTCACACACATTCTAATACTCTCTCACTTTCACCCCGTCTTATATTCTCCTTAAGCTTGCTTCGTTAGCCGACACACATTCTAGAAATCTTCCTCTTTTTCTTTATCCTCTTAATCTTTTCTTCTTTTCTTGCCCTCCCAACATACGGTTCACACCCCCATATCACACCCCTCAAACTCTCCATATCCATGTCCCCTTACACTCACACCCCCTACACACACGCACCCCTATAACTAGATATCCATCCCACATACACTAGGACCCTCTGTGTCTCTCCCTGCCTCTTCACTGAGGAAACCCAGCCTTTGTAAAATCAGGCTGAGCAGGCCAGCTGAAGACTGCCCATCTGATTGCAATGCTATTGAGGGATGAATATGTCCAGGCTCTAGAGCTCATGGAATTCCTTCAACCCCTCAAGCAGCATTGAATTTGAGCTGCACAAAGAAGAAAGAAAAAGAGAAAAAGCAAGGTATATGTTATCCTAGATTCTCATGGTGCTAACAGGAACAGGAATTTCAGATGCATTAACACTTTACATCAATTAACAGAGACAAAATGGAGGGGTATCTTCAGGGTGTCAGGAAGATTCATGGGAAGCCTGGAGTGTCTAGGAGGTTTCTTGGGAGAGTTTCTTTCAGTTTTCAAATGAGCATCACTGTGCTTTATCTAAGGTGGAAGGATTTTTTGGGGCTTTGATTCACGTCACCTTCAACAAGTTTCCTCCTGGCGCAGTGGCTCACGCCTGTAATCCCAACACTTTGGGAGGTTGAGGCCAGTGGATCACTTGAGCTCAGGAGTTTGAGACCAGCCTGGGCAACATGGTGAAACCCCGTTTCTACTAAAAATACAAAAATTAGCCAGGTGTGATGGTGCACATTTGTAATCCCAGCTACTAGGGGGGCTGAGGGAGCAGAATCGCTTGAACCCGGGAGGCAGAGGTTGCAGTGAACTGAGATGGCACGACTGCACTCCAGCCCGGATGACAGAGCAGAGACTCCATCTCAAACAACAACAACAACAACAAAAACAATTTTCCAGGGGAAACTTAGGAGCTTCCATATCTTTCCAGATGTGTTGTTCATTTTCTTGCCATTGCCCTCAACTGAGAAAATGGCAAAAAAAAAAAAAAAAAAAAAAAAAGAGAGAAAAAGAGGCTTAAGGTGGGAAGGTGGACTTACGTCTATGTGGCAGGGTAAAACCAAGACACACAGGTCCGACCTCTGCTACTAGCTACTTGTGTGACCTTGGACAAGTCACTTGCTTTGAATCTGTTTCCTCATCAATAAAATCACAAAGGCTTTTCTAGCTCCAGATTTCTATGTGAATAATGATTTTGCTTTAGGGAGCAGAGAGAAAACATTAAAAGGAAGAGAACTTGCAAAAAGCAAGAGACAACACTCTATTTCTCAGTCTGACCACTGCTGGCTGAATACTGATTCAAAATAAAACTCAGAATTGTAAAGAACAGAACTGTTCCTAGGGAGATTATGATGCAGCCTGTTAACCACTTCAGAGATGATTTCCCCCTTTTTTCCTTTAATGAATACAGAGTTACCCTGATCCAAATAACACATCAATATTAATTACTTTCTAACATCAGCACAATGGGATATGAGCAGTAGTGACATGTGTAACTGTAGCATCATTTTCTTTTCTTTTCTTTTCTTTTTTTTTTTTTTTTGAGATGGAGTCTTGCTCTGTTGCCCAGGCTGGAGTGCAATGGCATGATCTTGGCTCACTGCAACCTCTGCATCCCCCGGGTTCAGTAGATTCTCCTGCCTCAGCCTCTGGAGTAGCTGGGATTACAGGCACGTGCCACCACACCTGGCTAATTTTTGTATTTTTCATAGAGACGGAGTTTCTCCATGTTGGCCAGACTGGTCTTAAACTCCCGACCTCAAGTGATCCGCCCACCCCGGCCTCCCAAAGTGCTGGGATTACAGCTGTGCACCACCCCCGCCGCCCCGCCGCCCGCCTCCCAAATCCCCAACCCCCACGGCGCCTGGCCTCTTTGACATTATTTTCTTAAATATGCCTGTCCTTAACTCTTTCTCCCACTTTTCACCAGCTGATCGCAGGTGACAACTGGAGTTCCCTAGCAAGCCACATCATGAGTGGCAGAGCCTTCCTGCAGCCCTGGACCACTCAGCTATAGACTTTCACATGAGAGAGAAAAACAATCCTCCGCAGTTTAAGCAGCTGTGTTTTGAGTCTTTCTGTGAGAGGAAATTAACCGTTAGTCTAACCAATATGGAAATCTTCCTATAAGGATCTAAGAAGTTAGAAAGTAATTAATACTATCATCAGGAAAAAAGTTAGAAACAGCAATGGGATTGTATTGAAAGAAGACAGGCTAAGGAGCCTGGCAGACCTGGATTTGAATCCCAGCTCTGTTGCTTACCAGTTCTGTAATTTTTTTTGTTTTTGGTTTTGTTTTTTGGTTTTTTTGTTTTTTGTTTTTTGTTTTTGAGACAATGTCTCCCTCTGTCACCCAGGCTGGAGTGCAGTGGGCTGATCTCGGCTCACAGCAACCTCTGGGTTCAAGTGATTCTCCCATCTCAGCCTCCCAACTAGCTGGTACTACAGGTGCACACCACCATGCCTGGCTAATTTTTTGTATTAACGGATCATTTACCCTGTGTCTGTTTGCTCATCTATAAAATAGCAAAATGCTATCTGGTTTAGTTGTGAAGAAGAGATCAAGATGGAAAAGTGCCTGACTACTCAGTAGATGGCAGTTGTGGTTATTATTCAAAATGCATCATTGAAAGAATCAATTCAAGGAGGACTTAAGCAGTAGGACTCAAGGAGGAGAGGCATTTTTATTATTTTCATGTGTGGGGCAATAGCTCTCAACTTCAGAGCCTCCAGCATTCCCAAGTTCCAACCAATGTGAGAGAGAAGGTGGTTAGCAAAATGACTAAAAGCCCAAAGGGGAACCAAAAACAGAAATACCTTAACATAAAGGAGTGACTTTCGCGGGACTGGGATCAGGAGACATTTCTTTCTGGTCCTAGAGTCAAGAAGAATTGTGCCTAATGGACACTGTAAATTTTATAGCTGAGCAAGTCTCCCTCTTGGCCTTGACTGCTGAAAAACTCAAAGCCAAATTTGACTCCTGGAAAATGCAAAGGTGTTACACCTAGCTGGTAAGACAAGCTCTTTTCTGTTTGCTTAATTCCTGACTTCATCTTACATCTCTAACCTGAATGATTTTTTTTCTCTTTCTTGCTTCTTCCAATTTGTGTTCTCTCCTGGTATATTATGAATTCCTATAAGACTCTTAAATTTTTTCTTGGAGCAAAGAATGAATGAATGGATGGATGGGTAAATGAGGGAATAACATCCTCACAGATGGTCAGTCCAATTGCCTAATCTTGATATTTGCAGTGATTAGAAGCTCCCCATCTGATAAAATAGTCCATTTCAGCTTCATTATTAGAATATTCTGGCTTACACAGTTGATATCTGCTTCCTTATAGGAAATAATAATATTATTCATAACAAGAGGAATTTTTTGTTTTTTTGTTTGTGTTTGCTTGTTTTTTAGAGGCAGGGTCTCACTCTCACCCAGGCTGCAATGCAGGGGCACAGTCACAGCTCACTGCAGCCTCAAATTCCTTGGGGACTACTCAAGCAATCCTCCTGTCTCACCCTCCCAAGTAGCTGGGACTACAGGTGCAGCCACTTTGAAAAACAGTCTACCTTTTGCTCAAAAGGTTAAACATAGAGTTATTGTATAATCCGTCAATTCTACTCCTAGGTGTATACCCAAGATAAATGAAAACATATGTCCACAAAAAACCCACTTTGTACACAAATGTTTATCGCAACATTATTCACAATAGTAAAACAACCCAAATGCACAACTGAAGAATGGATAATGAAATGAGGTATCTTCATGCAATGGAATATTTTTCAGCAATAAAGAGAAATGAAATACGATACATACTACAAAATGGATGAAACTTGAAAACTTGAGGTTAAGTGAAAGAATCCAGTCACAAAAGACCACATACTATATTATTCTATCTGTATGAAATACCAAGAATAGACAAATAGATAGACACAGAAAGTAGTTTAGTGGTTACCTAGGTCTGCGGTTGGAGTGGGGTGCCAGATGTTGGGGGAAAATATAGAGCAACTGCTAATGGATATGGAGGTTCTTTTAGGGGTGATGAAATTGCAAAATTGATTGTGGTGATGGTTGCACAACTTTGTGACTATACTAAAAACAATCGATTTGTATATTTTAATTAGGTCAGTTGTATGCTATATGAATCATATCTCAATAAAGATGTTATTTTTAAAATGAGGTGCAGGTGTTGTATCAATCATTGTTCTTGATTGCAAACAAAGGAATCTATGGTTAATAGCTGTGAACAGAAGTTCTCATGAGGAAAAGGAATTTGGAGGAAAGAAACTTTATACCAGTGAACAGTTTGCAAACCAGGGAGCAAACTGTTTAAAATGAAGATGCATTTCAGAGAACGAAGGGAGGATCTGCATTTTATAGTGAAAGTTCCCACCCAGGTTCCCAATCAGGTCTGTTTTACGCATTTGAAGAAGTCAAGCTAACTTAGTTCTGATTGGTCTATATAGCTGAGTCCTGATTGGTTGATATAGCTGAGACCTGATTGATTGATTCAGGTGAGCTCTGATTGGTTGGTTCAGATGAGCTCTGAAAGTCCCAAAGTTAAATAGAGGTGTGGGTTTTCATGACAGAGTATGTGTGTGACTTCTAGTCAGCAAATGGTTGCTTGGTTCTATTTAAAATTTAGGCCCAGTTAGCCACTTGGGGATCCACTGGAAGGATTGACTCTTTTGGGTTCACACTTGTTTACATAGCTTAAGCAGAAAAGAGAATTTATTAAGGATATTAGGAATCTCATAGACTCTCCCAGTGGCTTAGGGTGTCAGTCCTCAAATGCCACCCTTGGGGACTCCTCCAGTACAGCCACTACTCACCCATACTCTATAGCTCTCACCAAACAGGCTCGAGTGGATGCCTGTGTCTGTATAACCTTACTGCTACATGCCAAGATCTGATTATCCTCATCACCACAGCTCAAATGAAGCTTCCTCAGGATGCCCTCTCCCGAATAGAAATCCAGAGGGAAACCATCTGATTGATTGGCTGAGCCTTAGTCACATGCGTGAACCTACCCTGCTAAGGAAGCTGGAAAAGTGAGATCTGGCTTCTGCATCAGTAGGGTAGGTTGCATTTGAGAAATACTCCAATCACAAGAAGGACGTTTCTTTTTATATTCTTTTCCACCTTTCCATTGGATAAGGTGAGTTTGCATTTGAGTTTTCTTCTGCTGGTTTAAAGGTTAGATATTCCATTTTTGTTCTTACGATAGTTGCCATTAACTTAAGACCCATTTGTAGGTTTCTTAATACAATAGTATGCTATAGACAACTTGTGCACATCTTACTCAGCATTCATTGTAGTCTGTATTTCTTAGTAGCTGGAATTCTGTCATAGCAGGAGAATATTTACACTACAGAAATTGTCAAGTGCTATCCCTGTGGCTGGAATTGGTTCCTTCCAGTGGGTTATTGGTCTCGCTGACTTCAAGAATGAAGCTGCAGACCCTTGCAGTGAGTGTTACAGTTCTTAAAGATGGTATGTCCAGAGTTTCTTCCTTCAGATGTTCAGATGTGTCCGGAGTTTCTTCCTTCCAGTGGGTTCGTGGTCTTGCTGACTTCAGGAATGAAGCCACAGACCCTCACAGTGAGTGTTACAGCTCTTAAAGGTGGTGTGTCTGGAGTTTGTTCCTTCAGATGTGTCTGGAGTTTCTTCCTTCCGGTGGGTTCGTGGTCTCGCAGACTTCAGGAATGAAGCTGCAGACCCTTGTGGTGAGTGTTACAGCTCATAAAGGTAGTGCAGACCCAAAGAGTGAGCAGCAGCAAGATTTATTCTGAAGAGCGAAAGAACAAAGCTTCCACAGTGTGGAAGGGGACCTGAGCAGGTTGCCGCTGCTGGCTCAGGTGGCCAGCTTTTATTCCCTTATTTGGCCCCACCCACGTCCTGCTGATCGGTCCATTTTACAGAGTGCTGATTGGTCCGTTTTTACAGAGTGCTGATTGGTGCATTTACAAACCTTTAGATAGACACAGAGCACTGATTGGTGCATTTTTACAGAGTGCTGATTGGTGCATTTACAAACCTTTAGCTAGACACAGAACACTGATTGGTGCCTTTTTACAGAGTGCTGATTGGTGCGTTTACAAACCTTTAGCTAGACAGAAAAGTTCTCCAAGTCCCCACTCAACCCAGGAAGTCCAGCTGGCTTCACCTCTCAATCCCCCCTCTAAACAGGACACCACAACTGCCGTTAGGAATTGGGCAATGACTGCTCTAGCTACTTCCTGCTGGATGGGGCGAAGAAGGGGCCCTACAACACCACAGTTGTAGTGTCCTCCAGAGGGGAACTCTTTAGGCCAGTGAAAGGGCCAGCGGGTCGGTCCAGGGGTCCTCGGTAGAAGTTGTTAGTTGAGCTCATTGAAGGTTCCATTTGTAAGACCATCTGTAGCTTGATGGCCTCGATTCTAGAGGAAACAAATTTGACAAGTAGGTTAAAAATACAGGGCCTGAGGGTGAGTAATAGCAAGATGGCTGCCACGGGACCTAGAAAGGGGAGAAGCCATGTTGCCCAACTCCAGAGGTTGGTATAAGAGTTTGAAAGGCGTCTGATTTCAGAAGACTTTTCCTGTAAACGCTGGGCGGCATCTCGTACTATCCCTGACTGGTTAGTGTAAAAACAACACTCTTCCCCTAAGAAGGTGCAGAGTCCTCCTTTCTCAGCAGTGAGGAGGTCTAGGCCTCGGCGGTTTTGGGGAGTCACTGCTGCCAAAGAGTCTATTTGGGATTGTAGAGTAAGGATTGATTTCGTTATTTCTTGCAAACTGTCTGAGAAATCCTTTGAGAGTGTGTGGTAGCAGGATAATGAAGTAGGTAAACTGGCTATTCCGGTTCCTGTAGCAGTAGCCATTCCTAACCCTCTAAGTAGGGGTATTAATTGTTTGGCTCTGCGCTGATGGACTTGAGCTTTGAGGAGTACTGATAGGGTCTGATTTCCTGGGGGCAATGTTAATGTTGGGACTTAGAAAGACTAAGGTGCAGGTGCCTGTCCAGTTAGTGGTGAGGCAGATATAGGTCGACGTTCCACATAAGAATATACCTTGGCTGGGTAGACAGAACTGGTTGTGTATGTTAAAAAGGTGTGTGAGTTTGTTGTTTTCATTTTCCCATACTCCTAGAGTACTTGCCAAGGTAGCCCCGGTGAGCGGCTGGAAAGGGGTGTTGGGAGCACACTGAGTGGCTCCCTGTGTTCTATTCTCCCATTGGAGAAAAAATCATTTTGTATCTACTAGGAACCATTCGAGAAAGCGATTGAAAGAGGGGATGAGAAGGCATTCACTAGTGGTGGGGGCGCTGCTGCAGGGAGTCCAGGGGTGAATGGTTATGCAGGGAGTATATTAGCCATTACAAAACCTGGACTGTTTGTTAATCAGGGAGGAGGTGGTGATTTTAGGGGTCCCTGAGAAGCAGACAAGCCATCTGAATGGAGCTGTTTGGGTGACTCGGAAGTTATAATGATCAGTTGGGCCTTGAAGTTGTAGGGTGTAATTACACTGATGGGGTAGTAGGTGCCCAAGAGGCAGGCCTGATAACAGGTTGCATTGGATGCATAAAGGGGCTTGGAAAGTTAAGATGGTATTCGTAGTTACAGGGCCGTATATGGGCTTTTCATTGCTTGTGTAATAGATGAGGTTGGAAATGTAAGAACGTAAAAGTTGGATTGTATGTCCTGTTAGGGTATTCTTGGTCCTATCAGAGGTGGGGAGGTCGGCTAATGATTGCATATTTAGAAGTTGGAAAGGGTCTCTTCCTTCATAACGAGGGTGGTAGGTTAAGTTGGTAAAGACCCAATTTCTTGTGGGAATGGGAGTGGCAACATAAGCAGAAGTTGATAGAGAGATACAAAGCCAACAGTCGTTTGCCAGGGAAGGATTGCACTGGTTTAACAGAGAGTGGGTTAAGTTGAGAGTCTTGTAGAGGTAATTAGGAGCTAGTGGAAGGGGAGGGGTGATTGTATGAGGTATCCAAGGAAGCAGGAGGGATAGATAGGCAAAGAGTAAATAGGAAGGTAAAGAGGGGGCTCTGGAAGACGAGATCATTTTGTCCAGTCTGAGATAAAGGTAGGAGTAAATTGCTGTCAGAAGGAAGGAAGATAGAAAGAAGGTTGATGTGATTAGGATTTTCATCCCAGCAGGAGCTACAGTACATAGTCCTATTGCAAAGAGTAAGGTTAGTATGCTGCTTAATAATATGATGAAATAGTAAAAGGGTTCCATTAAAGGGGCAAGGAGAGGTGTTGAAGATAAAGATTATGTCGGTTTTCACTTATCTTTTTTAAAGAGGAAGGGGTTTTTCCTCAGGATCAGCAGTAGGAGCCTTTTTAGTCTGGGATGTTTCCTTCCGAAATAGGAGAGGCAAGTCCTCCAACGGTTCGCAGGTGTATTGAGGCTGGTCTGGCTGACCTTGGGACTCCTGAGCTGACAGTCCCACAGGTTCCTCAGGGGGTGCCCAAAATTTAATTTGGGTGCAGTGAATCCAAGATTCCACTCCTGCCATCTTAATATCTGTAGCAAAGTCTCCCAATTACAACTGAGGAGGTGGGAGAATTATCTGGTTACAGGCTGTACCAGGATTCCTCAGATGGTAACAGACCTTGAGGACAGCTGTCTGGGACAGGAGATTAATACTGAGAAAGCCATGCCGGTGTCCAGGAAGAAGTCAATTTCCTGGCCCTCAATGGTTAAATGCACCCGGGGCTCAGTGAGGGTGATGACATGAGCTGGCACTTGCCCCGGGCACCCTCAGTCCTGTTGTTGGATCATCTGGTTTGAGGCTTCTGATCCAGAGAACTTTGCCCTCTGGGGCAGTGTGCCTTCCAGTGACTGCCTTGGCATAGTGGACATGGATAAGGGGGCGGCTTGTTTCTCATTGGACAATCTTTTTTAAAGTGTCCTTGTAAACCACACTGATAACAAGCCCTACCAAGTGATTGGCCTGCCTCATTTTCTTTCCTCTCTGAACCACCAAGGTTTGTTTGTCTGAGGGCCATGACTAAGGCTGAGAGCTATGACTAAGGCTGAGGCCTTTCTCTGATCTTGCTTTTCCTTTTGGGCCTGTTCCTCTTGGTCCCTATTGTAGAACACCGAGGTTGTCAGGTTTAATAATGCCTCCAGATTTTGTTCAGGGCCCAGGGCTCACTTTTGGAGCTTTATTCTGATATCTGCAGCTGATTGGGTAATAAACTTATCTTTTTTTTTAATTATACTTTAAGTTCTAGGGTACATGTGTACAACATGCAGATTTGTTACATCTGTATACATGTGCCATGTTGGTGTGCTGCACCCAGTAACTCGTCATTTACATTAGGTATATCTCCTAATGCTATCCCTCCCCCTCCCCCGACCCCATGACAGGCCCCGGTGTGTAATGTTCCCCATCCTGTGTCCAAATGTTCTCATTGTTCAATTCCCACCTATAAGTGAGAACATGCGGTGTTTGGTTTTCTCTCCTTGCAATAGTTTGCTGAGAATAATGGTTTCCAGCTTCATCCATGTCCCTACAAAGGACATGAACTCATCATTTTCTAGGGCTGCATGGTATTCCATGGTGTATATGTGCCACATTTTCTTAATCCAGTCTATCATTGATGGACATTTGAGTTGGTTCCAAGTCTTTGCTATTGTGAATAGTGCTGCGATAAACATACATGTGCATGTGTCTTTATAGAAGCATGATTTATAATCCTTTGGGTATATATCCAGTAATGAGATGGCTGGGTCAAATGGTATTTCTAGTTCTAGATCCTTGAGGAATAGCCACACTGTCTTCCACAGCGGTTGAACTAGTTTACAGTCCCACCAACAGTGTAAAAGTGTTCCTATTTCTCCACATCCTCTCCAGCACCTGTTGTTTCCTGACTTTTTAATGATCACCGTTCTCACTGGTGTGAGATGGTATCTCATTGTGGTTTTGATTTGCATTTCTCTGTTGGCCAGTGATGATTAGCCTTTTTTCATCTGTCTGTTGGCTGCATAAATGTCTTCTTTTGAGAAGTGTCTGTTCATATCCTTTGCCCACTTTTTCATGGGTTTGTTTGATTTTTTCCTGGAAATTTGTTTAAGTTCTTTTTAGATTCTGGATATTAGCCCTTTGTCAGATGGGTAGATGGTAAAAATTTTCTCCCATTCTGTAGGTTGCCTGTTCACTCTGATGGTAGTTTCTTTTGCTGTGCAGAAGCTTTTTAGGTTAATTAGATCCCATTTGTCAATTTTGGCTTTTGTTGCCATTGCTTTTGGTGCCATTGCTTTTGGTGTTTTAGTCATGAAGTCCTTGCCCATGCCTATGTCCTGAATGGTATTGCCTAGGTTTTCTTCTAGGGTTTTTATGGTTTTAAGTCTAACATTTAAGTCTTTAATCCATCTTGAATTAGTTTTTGTATAAGGTGTAAGGAAAGGATCCAGTTTCAGCTTTCTACATATGGCTAGCCAGTTTTCCCAGCACCATTTATTAAGTAGGGAATCCTTTCCCCGTTTCTTGTTTTTGTCAGGTTTGTCAAAGATCAGAAGGTTGTAGATGTGTGGTATTATTTCTAAGGGCTCTGTTCTGTTCCATTGGTCTATATCTCTCTTTTGGTACCAGTACAATGCTGTTTTGGTTACTGTAGCCTTGTAGTATAGTTTGAAGTCAGGTAGCATGAAGCCTCCAGCTTTGTTCTTTTGGCTTAGGATTGTCTTGGCAATGTAGGCTCTTTTTTGGTTCCATATGAACTTAAGTAGTTTTTTCCAATTCTGTGAATAAAGTCATTGGTAGCTTGATGGAGATGGCATTGAATCTGTAAATGACCTTGGGCAGTATGGCCATTTTCACGATATTGATTTAATAAATTTATCTTTTAGAATCAATTGACCCTCAAGTGAGTTGGGTGACAGGGGAGTATATTTTCTTAAGGCCTCCTGTAGCCACTCAAGGAAGGCAGAAGGATTTTCTTCCTTTCCCTGAGTTATGGTAGACATCATTGAATAATTCATGGGCTTTTTCCTAATTCTCCTAATTCTCCTTAGTCCTTCTAGAACACAGGTCAACAGATGTTTAAGACTCCAGTCCCCATGATCTGAGTAGAGGTCCCAGTGGGGATCCATACTAGGACAGCTTGCTGAACGGTAGGGAATTTGTCCCTTTCTTCGGCTGTCATTCTGTCATTTACTTGACTAAGATACCAGGTATCTCCAAACTCTCAGGCTAAAGCTAAAGCTGCATTCTTTTCATTAAAGGCCAGGGTTTGATCTAACAATAGCATGACATCTCTCCAAGTGAAATCAAAGGTTTGCTCTAGACCCTGTAGGACATCTATGTACCTATCAGGATCATCTGAAAACTTCCCCTGGTCTGCCTTGATCTGCTTTAAATCAGAGAGGGAGAAGGGGACATGTACCCAGGTTGCGCCAAATTCTCCTCCCCCTATAGCATGAAGGGGACATAACTGATAGCCCAGAGGGTTTTGTGGTCCTTTGGAGATGTCTTTGTTTATTTCCTTCTGGGTGGGGAAGATTAGAGGAGGCTTATCATTAATAGGAAGGGGAGCTATAGGGAGGCTAGGATATGGGGGTAAGCTGAGAGGTCCTCCTGTGGGATGTAAATTGCAAGCTTTGCATAGTTGTGGATTCTACTTCAATGAAAAGAAAGCGTGGACATAAGGTATTTCACCCCATTTGCCTTCCCTCTTACAGAAAAGATCAAGCTGCAGGATAGTATTATAATTTATACTTCCCTCAGGTGGCCATTTTTCCCCATAAGAGAGAGAATATTGGGGCCAGGCTGTACTGCAGAAAAAATGAGCCACCTCTTTTTCAGGGTTTGCGGGTCAAATTGGTCCCAGTGGCTTAGGATGCATTTCAAGGGTGGGCCTGTTGATGCCTGAGTGTTTCCCATCTGAAAGAAAAAAACGCCCATGGTTTTGGTTTGTTTGGTTTCTCCCCCTGACTAAGAACCCGCAACAGTCCCTGGACCCTGCTGATCGGAATAGTTGCACTCACCGATGAAGCAGCAGAAACACCTCTTGCCCAAGAACCCGCAACGGTCCCTGGACCCTGCTGATCGGAATAGTTGCGCTCACTGACGCAGCAGCAGAAACGCTAGTTTTCCTCCTAGACCACAAGGAGGACTGAGGAAGGTCGGATTTAGTGGCCCTTACCCACACATTCTCAAAAACCTGTTAGAGTCCTAAGCATTCTCCTGTTAGTACTGGGACCTTACCCATGTCCTATAAAGATGTTATGCCCCAAAAATGAAGTGGAGGGCCATACTCTGAGGGAGGAAAGGGACCTCCAGAGTTGGAAGAGTGATGCCTTTTGTCCTCACTTATATGAATAGGAAAGATACCATTTCTGAAGCTCCCCATATCCTAGCTTCAGGAATAGCTTTTGTTAGGCCTGCTAGTCTGAGGAGGGATCCTAAAATTCCAGATAGTCCCCCGCCCCAATGGGGCTTTGGGCAAAAATTATATCTTTCTGTTTGGCAAGCCCAGGTGCCTAAAGAAGGTAACAGAGTCCTGAGGTTTATACTAGAAATCATTCTTATAGGAGAAACTAGAAAAGCACCAGAGACAGGGAGTGGTTTTTAGAAGTGGGACTAGCCTTGGAGAAGAGAGGCAAGAGGAAGTTTGTCTGAGAGGCGTTAGGACCCAGAAGGCAAGGGTCAGGATAGATAGGATAGATGGGCGAGTCTTGCTTGGGCGACATGACTTTGAGAGTTCTGCTCATGGCCGCAGGGTCAACCAACTTGCTGTCAGGAACCCGGAGCTGAATAGCTTTCCTCTTTGTTGACCCTTGGCTCAGCCCAGAAGTACAAGAAAAGTGGAAACTGGTTCCAGGCAAACCAACACTCCCAACTCTGGAGAGTCAGGGTTTGTTAGAGAGTGCTTTCCCAGAAAGCCTGACACCCGTGTGTTTAGTCTGGCGGCTGTGCTAGTCACTTTTAACTGGCCGACAGATGCACGGTATTTAGCCCCCGAATTCTGAGGAAAAATAGGACAGAATAGCAAGCGAAAGGGGTCCAATGGTGCTCACCACTTGGCGATAGTCAATAGTCCCTTTGTGGTTGCCAAAATGTGTCTGGAATTGGTTCCTTCTGGTGGGTTCTTGGTCTCGCTGACTTCAAGAATGAAGCCGCGGAACCTCACAGTGAGTGTTACAGTTCTTAAAGATGATGTGTCTGGAGTTGGTTTCTTCAGATGTTCAGATGTGTCTGGAGTTTCTTCCTTCCAGTAGGTTCGTGGTCTCACTGACTTCAGGAATGAAGCCGCAGACCCTCTTGGTGAGTGTTACAGCTCATAAAGGTAGTGTGGACACAAAGAGTGAGCAGCAGCAAGATTTATTATGAAGAGCAAAAGAACAAAGCTTCCATAGTGTGGAAGGGGACCCAAGGGGGTTGCTGCTGCTGGCTCGGGTGGCCAGCTTTTATTCCCTTATTTGGCCCCACCCATGTCCTGCTGATTGGTCCATTTTACAGAGTGCTGATTGGTGTGCTGATTGGCGCATTTACAAACCTTTAGATAGAGTGCTGATTGGTGCATTTTTACAGAGTGCTGATTGGTGCATTTACAAACCTTTAGCTAGACACAGAGCGCTGATTGGTGCGTTTTTACAGAGTGCTGATTGGTGCATTTACAAACCTTTAGCTAGACACAGAGCCCTGATTGGTGCGTTTTCACAGAGTGCTGACTGGTGCGTTTACAAACCTTTATCTAGACAGAAAAGTTCTCCAAGTCCCCACTCGACCCAGGAAGTCCAGCTGGCTTCACCTCTCATCCCCCCTTCAGAGAACCAATTGTTAGACATTCATCAGCATATTACTGTCTTAATCACTATTGATAACTAATTTGTCCCTGAAACAAGACAAGTATTTTAGTACAGACCTACCCAATGTGGGATCCATGGGCCTATGGTGACCTACAAGCATTTACTATAATTCTGCAATAAGTAAAGAAATTTAGAGTAATTTACAGCAATTTGAAATTACAGTGATACCCAAATGTGTGATTTTATATTTCACAAAAACATCAGTCCAGGATGGGTTGGAAATTTGAAACTCATCCATCACCACTGGTTGTTTGTGAAGTACTGCTTTAGCGCACTGTCATGATTCTTTGTTCACCTCCCACCTCCTAAGACAGGTGGTGACATTGTCTTTCCAGATATTATAATAAAAGTCCTGTTAACTGGTTGTGGATGGATTCCTCATCACCTTCTTAACTCATGGGCTTTAAAAATTGATTTGATACCTTCAGTCGGGTTCCACTGTTCTAACTTCTCCTTGGCAGCCTCCTCTTCCAATTGAAGTAGCATCAAAAGGCTTAGAAGAAGTGCAAGAGTTTAAAAACAAAAAAATATTAATTTTATATTCTAAATATTAATGGTTACTCTAAAAATAAATGTTAATATATCTTAGTTTGAAACTTTCACATTCTATTTTGCTAACATTGTTGGCCTCAAAGAAAAGCCAGTTCAAGGTTTTTACAAAATAATAAAACAGAAGCTTTTAAAAGTGAAATAGAACATATAGGAAATAATAGTGTAATGTAATAGAATTCATCATCATTAAGGGAATAATGGCTGGAAGTTAAAAAATAGAAAATTTAATATGTTTTCTCCTAGTACTTTGCTTTCTGACATTATGCAAATGTAATTTTCCTGGGTCTTATTTGGCTATCTATTGAAATAAAAATGATGGATAAATCCTGATCCTAAAAAAAAAATTTAAAAAAATTAATTAATTAATTAATTAAAATTTTAAAAAATAAAAACAAACAGACTCATACAGATTATAAAATATCCCTTCCTCTCTTTATCTTTCCCATTTTTAAAACCAAGAAGGCTATGCACAGACTTATATTGGTGGTTATCTTTGGATGGTAAGATAATGAGAATTTGTGTTCTTTTGCATATATGAATTTTCTATATTTTCTACAATCAATTGTGTATTATGTTATCAAGAGAAAAACAAGTCCATGCCCTCATATCCTGGGTTTTATGGACTTGCAATGGATTTTCCTTCTTATATCCTGGTTCCCTTCAGAGGAAATGCTGAATTTTATGTATAATTCCTGGAAAGTCTCAGGACACTGTCATAAAACTGTTGTCTTAACATTCTCAGATATTTAAAGCCATATTAGAACTTGTCCACAAACACTGAGCTGTTACGTGAGTTGTGGTTTGTCTCCTCTCCACCAATTTTCCGCTAAATCCTGCAGTTCCTACCTTTATTGAGAAATTATTTTAATCTTGAAGATTGGTTTGCTGGAACATCATCACTAGTATTCCTACAGGAGGATACGATACATGTATTCAACTCTGAGTTCTCCATATGTAAAGCAGGGGTCTTTCTGGGCTTATCCTAAGTATCTTAAACATGAGAACTATGAGAACTATTTTGGTTTGTGGTCAGAATCTAAGTATTGCAAGACAGTAATACATGCCTCGCATTTCTACAGAAAAATTTTATATCCAGGGGAAGTTTAACACATATAACATCATCTCATCCTATTCTTAAGTAAGATCCTTAAAGTAATTGTAATTAGAGAAATTGAAATTAAATCCACAATGTAATGCAGTTTTTACCTATAAATTACAATATATTCATTTAATGCTATTATCCAATCCTGGAAAACATATAGGGAAACTGGCACTGTCATATACTACTGACAGGAGCATAAATTGGCATAATGTTTCTGGAAAGCAATTTATCTCTCTGTATCAAAAGTATCAAAAATGCATGCACCAGGCCGGACGCAGTGGCTCACGCCTGTAATCCCAGCCCTTTGGCATGCCGAGGCGGGCAGATCATTTTAGGTCAGGAGTTTGAGACCAACCTGACCAACATGGTGAAACCTCATCTCTACTAAAAAATTTAAAAAAAAAAAAAAGATACAAAAAAATTGGCCAGGCATGGTGGCGCATGTCTGTAGTCCCAGCTACTTGGGAGGCTGAGGCAGGAGAATAGCTTGAACCTGGGAGGCAGAGGTTGCAGTGAGCCGAGATTGCACCACTGCACTCCAGCCTGGGTGACTAAGTGAGACTCTGTCTCAAAAAATAAAATAAAAATGCATGCATAGACAGAACATCTGAGTAGAGCAGAAAGATGAGGAAGGCAAATCTCTCCCCCTTCCCCCAAACACCTGCAGTGACAAAACTGGACAAAGTTATTCAAAAATAAGTATTTCAGGGCTCTGGAAGTTGACCAAAGGCAAACAGAAAATTTAAAAATATATACTCATGAAAAGCTGCTGAACTTTGGGTGAAAAGAGAAGGAGTCTACTATATTATTGTCTGGAAATATTCCCATCCTGCCAGCCAACTTGTGACCCAGTAGTGTGGGGCAATCTGTGCATATCAGTAGCTTTGATACTAGAAAGGATTTGATTTGGGGTTGAGGGAGGAAAATCTGTGCCCAGGAGTATTGTCAGTAAAAGTAGCAAACAAATAGGGAATAGTACTGATAGTTTGAAGTTGCATTGCTAGTTGGGCTGAAAGACAGAATGGGGAACTATCCAGAAATTTGACAAGAAGATCCTGGAAATGATAGAATCATAGAAACTTGACATAGAAGCTCTCCACACATCCCTAGCTAACTGGGACACTGCATGCATTGATCTGTAGATCCAAGAAGTTCAATAATGCCTAAGTAGGATAAGTGCAAATAGACTCTCACCTAGACACATAACAATCAAACTATTAAAAGCCAAAAACAAAGACAAAATCAAAAACAGCAAGAGGAAAAATGACTTACCACCTAACAGGGAAACAGCAGTATGATTAGTAACTGACTTCTCATCAGAAACAATAGACGGCACAAGGCAGTGGAACAACATGTTGGAAGTGCTGAAAGAATTCTGTCAAGAAAGAATTCTAGCTGGGCTCAGTGGCTCATGCCTGTAGTCCTAGCTACTAGGAAGGCTGATGCAGGAGGACTGCTTGAGCCCATGGGTTTGAGATTGCAGCAAGCTATGATCATGCCACTGCACTCCAGCCTGGGCAACAGAGCAAGACTCTATCTTAAAAAAAAATTATATATCCAACAGAGCTATTCTTCAAAGACAAAGGCAAAATAATGTTATTTGCAGTTGAACAAAAATTGAGCAGTGTTGCTAGGAGACTTGCCTTATAGTAAATACCAAAATAAGTTCTTCAGGCTGAAATAAAATGGCATCAGATGATAACCAGGATGGACAGAAAGAGGCAAATGGTAAATATGTGGGCAAATATAAAAGACTGTATAAATGTTTTGTCTCTTCTCATTCTTTAGTGTCTTTTAAAAGATATAATATTGTCTAAAGAAACAATTACTACACTATATTATTTGGTTTTCAATACATATCGATGTAATACATATGACAAAAATAGCACAAAGTAGAGTGAATAAAATGGAAACATATTGGAACAAAGTTGCCATATTTTACTCAAATGAAGTCAGGAATAGCCTCAAGTAAAATGTGAAAAGCAAATGGAGATGCATATTGTAATTCCTAAAGCAATCACCAGGAAAATAACTAAAAATATATAGACTTTACAAAATATAATCCCATTAGGTAAATACAAATCAAAACCACAATGAAATACCACCTCATACCCCACAGGGGGGTTATAATTTATAGAAAACAGAAAATAGGCTGGGTGCGGTGGCTCACACCTGTAATCCCAGCACTTTGGGAGGCTAAGGCAGGTAGGTCACCTGAGGTCAGGAGTTTGAGACCAACCTGACTAACATAGTGAAACCTCATCTCTACTAAAACTACAAAATTAGCTGAGCATGATGGTGCATGCCTATAATCCCAGCTACTTAGGAGGCTGAGGCAGGAGAATTGCTTGAAACTAGGAGACAGAAGTTGCAGTGAGCCGAGATCGCGCCATTGCACTCTAGCCAGAGCAACAAGAGTGAACCTCTGTCTCAAAAAAAAAAAAAAAAAAGCAGAAAATAATAAGTTTTGGCAAAGATGTCATGTTTTTGGAACCTTCGTGCATTGCTGGTGAGAATGTAAAATGGTACACACACTATGGAAAGCAATTTGGTGGTTTCTCAAGTTAAACATGGAATTACCATATAACACGGCAATTCCAGTCTTATGTCTACACTGAAAATAAATCAAAACAGAGACTCAAAGATGTGCTTGGGCACAAATGCTCATAGCAGCACTATTCGCAATAGCCAAAAGATGGAAACAACCCAAATGTCCATTAACAGATGAAAGAATAAGCAAAATATGATATAGACATACAATGGTACATTATAAAAAGGAAGAACTGATACATACCCACAATATGGATGAACCTCTAAAACGTCATACTAAGTGAAAAAATTCACACACAAAAGGTTTCATGCTGTATGATTCCATGTATATGAAATATACAGAATAGATAAACCCATAGAGACAGAAAACAGATGGATGCAAGGAGCTGGGGGTTGGATGCAGGAAATGAGGGGTGACTGCTTAATTGGTATGGGGTTTTCTTTTGGAGTGTTATGTTTTGGAAGCAGATGGGATGGTGGCTGCACAACCAAGTGAATGTACTAAATGTCACTGAATTGTATATTTTTAAATGATTAATTTTATGTTATGTGAATTTCATCTCAATTTTAAAAACCTTGATCCTATACATTGAAAATCCTAAGGAATCTACCAAATTTTAAAAACCCTACTAAAACTAATAAAACTATATAATTTTAGCAGGCTGCAGGAAATAAAATCAATATGCAGAAATCAATTGAAAAACAAGAAGTCAATTGTATTTCTATATACTAGCAACAAACAATTTGTACATGAAATTAAGAAAACAACTCCATTCTCAATAGCATCAAAAAGAAAAAACTACCTGGGATTATGAAAAGATAGGCTATAGAATGAAATAAAATATTTTCAAATCATGTATCTAATAAAGGATATGTATTTAGAATATATAAAAAAACTCTTACAACTAACTCTGAAAAACAAAAAATCCAACTTAAAAATTGGTGAAATAGGCCAGGCACCATGGCGCATCCCTGTAATCCCAGCACTTTGGGAGGCTGAGGCAGGAGGGTCACGAGGTCAAGAGACGAAGACCATCCTGGCCAACATGGCGAAACCCTTTCTCTACTAAAAATACCAAAATTAGCTGGGTGTGGTGGTGTGCACCTGTAATCCCAGCTACTCAGGAGGCTGAGGCAGGAGAATTACTTGAACCCAGAAGGCAGAGGTTGCAGTGAGCCAAGATGACACCACTGCACTCCAGCTGGGTGACAGAGCGAGACTCCATCTCAAAAAAAAAAAAAATTGGTGAAATATTTGAATAGATATTTTACTAAAGAAGGTATACAAATAGCTAATATGCATATGTAACAGTGCTCAACATCATTAATCATTATGAAAATCCAAATTAAAACTATAGTGAAATACCACTACACATCTACTAGAATGGTTATAATCCAAAATATTGGTAATATCAAGTCTCTGCAAGGATGTGGAGAAACTGGCACCTGAACACATTGTACCCGGAATGTGGACTGGTACAGCCACTTTGGAAAATAGTATGCAGATTTTTATACAGTTGAAAATAAATTTACCATACAACCTAGTAATTCCATTATTAAGTATTTACCCAAGAGAAGTGAAATATATGTCCATGTCCATACAAAGACTTTTATGTGAATTCTCACAGTAGCATTATTTGAAAGAGCTAAAGGTAGAAACAACCCAAAAGTCATCAACTCATGAATGAATACACAAAATGTGGTCTACCCATTCACTGAAATACTCTTGGGCAGTATGAAGGAACAAGTTGCTAATATGTGCTGCCAGATGAATAACCTCAAAACATTATTTAAGGGAAAGCAGCCGGACACAAAACAGTACTTTTTGTATGATTCCATTTGTATGACATTTCCAGAAAAGACAATTTGTAGAGTGGATCAGCGGTTGCCTGGAGTTAGGCACATCAGCATGAAGAAACTTTTAGGGCTGATGAAAACATTCTCAAACTGAACTGTGGTGGTGGTTGCACAACTCTATAAATGTACTAAGAATTATCGAATTGTACCCTTTTGGTAAATTATAGTTCAATAAGCTGTTAAAAAGGTATGTACTTTTTTGAACCAGTAATTCCACTTCTATGTATTTTAACACTTATAACCATTTATGTGATCAGTTTTAGCTCTAAGGGTGTTTACCACAGACTCATTTATAAATAGAAAACAATTTGAAATAAATGGTTCGACATTGCATAATGATTAAATAAAGTGTGGTATAGCTTTACAGAGGAATATTTTTACATAGGAATATTTACCAAATTATAATATATACAATATTACATATTCTAAAATGATATAAAATATATTTATTAACAATGAAAGATGTTCAAGACATTCTGTTAAGCTAAAAAAGTAAGGCTATAAAATAGTACACAGGGCTAGGTGTGGTGGCTCTCTCCTGTAATCCCAGAACTTTGGGAAGCCGAGGCGGGTGGATCACAAGGTCAGGAGATCGAGACCATCCTGGCTAACACGGTGAAACCTCGTCTCTACTAGAAATACAAAAAAATTAGTCAGGTGTGGTGGCACATGCCTGTAATCCCAGTTACTCGGGAGACTGAGGCAGGAGAATCGCTTAAACCCAGGAGGCAGAGGTTGCAGTGAGCCGAGATTGCACCACTGCACTCCAGCCTGGGCGACAGAGCAAGACTCCATCTCAAAAAAAAAAAAAAAATTGTACACCAAATGATCTCATTTTAGAAATACACACACACAAGTACATGTATAGAAATAAGTCTGGAATGGTATACATCAAAATTATATCTGGATAATGGGGTTGTGAGTGTATTTCTAGTTCTTTTGTATCTTTGTTTGCCTGCATCTTATATTTTTATACAATATGAATATTTATGAAGTAAGAAAAAAATAACATGGGAGGCCAAGGCAGGAGGATTGCTTGAACTCAGGAGTTTGAGGCCAGCCTGGGCAATATAGTGAGACCTCATCTTTACAAAATGCTTAAAATTAAAAAGAAGAAAAAAGTTAAAAGAAAGGTCTGTGAGGTAGGCAGGGCTGATCAGTATGATAAGTAAATGGAGTAATTTGCCCACCTGATTTATCACCTCTGATTTATCACCTCAGCAAGTGAATTTCTGCAGAAAAATCCCTTCCCCCTTCCTTTATGCCATATTCATTAATCGTAACACTTCATACTTGTCATAGTAATTCGTGCATATTTATACTATATGTTATATATAGTGTATAACATAATGTATATTTTTACATATACATATATATTCCTCATTTAGCTTTCACAACAAATCTGAAGTAGTTATTATCTTTATTGTATGAATTGGAAGAAAACCTGAGTCACAGGTTAAGAAACTAGCAAAGTTACATTATTATCCCCATTTTAGAGATTGGAAAACAAGGACTGAGCCTCAGAAAGGCTGGCGTATGGTAAAATCACACAGCTAGAAAGATGCAGAATTGGCACTTAAACTTTCCATTAGAATGACTCATTATTACAATGGCCTATCCAGAATCTTCCATATTGTTTGAATGCTGACTTTCTTTGGAGGTGGAGAAATAACGAGTGTTGGCACAAACAGGTTTATTTCAGGGCTGGTAGCAAGTAACAAAAGTTGAAAGAAATGATGGATCCCTTCCAGTGGTTTGTCCAGGAGGTGCTTGGCCTACTTACTCTCCCCGTGGAGTTTGGTTCTTGGAAAAAGGTGATTTTCTTTCTTTGGATTTAGACCTTAATTTGGATTTGAGTAAATGCAAGCCACAATGCTCTGCCCATGTAAAGGGCCTAATACAATTTGTTCAAGTCCATTTGTTCCTGGATTTCAGGCAAAAACTGCGATGTTAAACATAAAAATATAAAAGCATAAAGTTCTCCTTTTGGAATCCAAATGCTCCAAACATTGAAACACATGTTTGAATATACTGAACATTGTATCATGCCTTTTAGGAACCAGGCACTGCAGATAAGTTTATGTATATTGTGAGCAGCTAGTGGAAGTTACAACGGCCATTGTTGATGCCAAGTGCTAGTCATATGACCTTGAATATGTTATTACTGTAGCTAGGCTTCAGTTTCCTCATCTGTAAAAAAAAAAAAAAAAAAAAAAAAGGCACAAAAATGGTACCTTCCTCACAGGGTTGTTGAAAGGAGGATTTCATAAAATCCCATATACAATGCATTAAGCTCTATGCAAAGCACACAGTAAGCACTCAGTAAAAGTAGATATTATTACTGCTTAGTGTTCTGGGTTTGACAGCTGTAAAAACAACCCTAGCACTTAGCACAGACAGAATTCAAACTCAGATCTGTTGGACTCTGAAGTTGAACTGCATTCTGTAAGAGATTCTGTCTGTTGGACTCTATCCTGCCCCCTCTTAGAATTGTGGATATAGGTATCCCTGACTCTGAAAATTTGACTACTTCAACTAAGTGTATTCTCAGAATATTCCCAAAGACCTCTACAGTAGTTTAAAAAAAAAAATAAAAGGAGTAAGAAATACAGCATTTATATATCAGACCAATTTCAACCTATGTGTGAAGGTGCTACCCACTTGCTGAAGTTGGAAGAGTTAACCAGCTGGTAAGGATTAGAACTACAGATAGTTAAAATCAATGAATTCATTTCACTCAGATTTCCTTCATGGCTATGGGGGTGCTAGGCCTTTTATAATATTATATTTGTGTTTACAATATGTACAATATATAACATGTGTTACATGTGTTACAGTGACAGCAGGGTGATGTTTAACATTTTCAACCTCTGATACGGCATGGGCACTGACTCACCAAGTGGAGTGGACCCTAACTGTAAACTATTGGTATGGCTGTGCATTCCTAGTAGTAAATGTCAGCTCTGCAGAGTCATACCTACAAGAGCAGGGAAGCTTCAAAGCAAGGTAGTATTTGATGATTCAAATTGAAAAAGGAGTTGCATTTCCCTGGGCAAAGAGCCAAAAGAGCATTCTAGGAAATAACAGCATGAACAAAAGAAAGGCAAGGAAAGGGCCAGGAATGGTGGCTCAAGCCTGTGATCCTAGCATTTTTGGAGGCTGAAGTGCAGGAGGATGGCCTGAGGCCAAGAGTTCAAGACCAACCTGGCCAATATAGAAAGACCTTGTATCTAGAAAAATAAAATTTTATTTAAAAAAAAATAGAAAGGCAAGGAGGGAAGAAGCTACGTGATCAATGGACCAGTTTAGCTTGGAAATGGCTCCCTAATGGGGACAGTAGGAGATAACCTGGGAAAGACAGATCAGAGCAACATTCTGAAGGGCCTTGAGTATCACAGTGAATGCTGTGATATTAATAAAGGAATACTGTGATTCCTTTCTATTCTTGGCAATTTGAAGCCTTAGGGTATTTTTAAGCAGGAAACTGATGTGATTACAAATTGATGAGAATCATTAGATATTTTCTAGCCCTTCATCCTTAAAAATGCAAGTGTTAATCCCTGCAAATTGGTCAGCCAATTTTTCCTTGAATACATTCAAGAATAAGCAGCTCATTATTCTTAGTCTAATTCTCTGCTAGAGAAAATACTTTCTCAACTGCTTTGCTAAGAAGGATACACTTTGTTTGTGGTATTTTGTGACTGACTGACTGATGAATGAAGAAATTCGTTTCCATGTACTAGTTCTTCAAAATGACATAGAAGATAACTCCGTTTCCCACACTGAGCCTTCAAAAATTTGAAGTTAGCTACATTCACTCAAAAATCCCCTCCATATAACCAATGTTTGGAAGCAACCTAAGTGTCTATCAATGGACAAATGGATAAAGAAAATGTGGTACATATACACAATGGAGTACTATTCGGCCATTAAAAAAAAATGAGATCCTGTCATTTGCAATGACATGAATGGAACTGGAGGTCATTACATTAAGTGATAAACCAGGCACCGAAAGGCAAGCTTCACACGTTCTCACTTATTTATGGGAGCTAAAAATTAAAATGATTGAACTCATGGAGATAGAAAATAGAGTGATGGTTACCAGAAGCTGGGAAGGGTAGTGAGGGTTTGGGGAGTGGGGGATGGGGATGGTTAATGGGTACAAAAAATAGAAAGAATGAATAAGATCTAGTATTTGATAGCACAACAGGGGGACTATAGTCAATAATTTAACTATATGTTTAAAAGTAACTAAAAGAGTATAATTGAATTGTTTGTAACACAAAAGGTAAATGCTTGAGGTGATGGATACCCCACTTACCTTGATGTGATTATTATACATCATATGCCTGTATCAAGGTATCTCATGTACCCCATAAATATCATAAATATATACACCTACTATGTACCCACAAAAATTAAACATTTAAGAAAATCCCCTCCATGACCTAATTCATAGCACCCTTCACTGTCTTGATTCCTCTCCTCCTGAATACAGTACTTTAGCTGACTGACATCCTTTTTATGCTCAAGGCTACACAATAGACATTCCCTGCAGTCTATCTAGCACATGAGACTATTCCCGTTCTTCATCTGAACATCTTTCTTTATCCTCAGTTTTTGTTAATTACTATTTTTTTAACTTTTTAAGATTTGCTTATTACAAAATTAATAAAATGCTCATTGTAAAATAAGTCAAGTAATACAATATGTGTAAAGTAAAACATATAGCCCTTTCTTCCTCCTAGTTCCACTGCCCAAAGATGACTACCATGAATTCTGTGACTTCTTCCAGACTGTATCCAAATACTAACACAATGTGGTTGCATCATTATTAGAATTTAATTAGGTTCTTAAGTGTCTGGCTGGCCACTGTCTCTGCAGACTCATACACAAATTGCAGTCAGCTAAACCTCCTCCCCTGCCCCACATCCTCAAGTTATCAGAGAGTTTTGCTGGTTCTGTAGACAGAAGCAGTGCTTTATTATTTCTCTTTGTTGAACTTCAACGTATTGGTTTGAGCATTTTGTCCCAACCTCTAGCAGTCTCTTCAACTCTTGCTTTGTATCACCCATAGATTTAATCATTGAATTGAACAGGAGAGACTTACAGAGAGCCCCGTTGGCCCATCCCTGTTTAAAATCTTTCAGCGGCTCCCCACAGTGCCTCTGAGCCTTCCTTTCCTCACCTGTAAAGTTAACAGGTATGATTTCGTGGTCTTTGAGCTCCCTCTCCGATTTAAAAGTCTCAGAAACCATGTGCAGAATGGCATGCCCTGAAAAGCCTCCTTCTAGCAGTAGCTGTAACGCTTTACAACCCCGGGAAAGCCCACATTTCCAAGACACGTTGCAGACTGTAGAGGTGATTATTCTGAGAAGCCGACCAAGGGCAAAGCAAACAGCTTTGATGAAATTATAGTCTTTTGTTTTGAAAGACGGGCTGTGAAAACATTTGCAGCAATTCTAGAGAGGGGCCTAGCTTAGTACTGTTTTCAAGTTTCAAGTCCTGGATACATTTTTTCCTGGAGGGAGAATTTGATCTTAAAAAAAAAAAAAAAAAAAAAAAAAAAAATCAAACCCGGCCAGGCGTGGTGGCTCACGCCTGTAATCCCAGCACTTTGGGAGTCCAAGGCGGGTGGATCACGAGGTCAGGAGACCATCCTGGCCAACATGGTGAAACCCCGTCCCTACTAAAACCACAAAAGTTAGCTGGGCATGGTGGTGCGTGCCTGTAATCCCAGCTACCTGGGAGGCTGAGGCAGGAAAATCACTTGAACCAGGGAGTCAGAGATTGCAGTGAGCCGAGATCGCGCCACTGCACTCCAGCCTGGCAACAGAGCGAGACTCTGTCTCAATAAATAAATAAATAAAAACAACAAAATAAAACTCCCTCATTTAGCTAGGCATGGTGGTGCGTGCCTGTAATCTCAGCTACTCAGGAGGCTGAGGCAGGAGAATCAGTTGAACCCGGGAGGTGGAGGTTGCAGTGAGCCGGGACTACGCCACTGCACTCCAGCCTGGCAACAGAGTGAGACTCTGTCTCAAAAAAAAAAAAAAAAAAAAAAAAGAAAGCTGTGGCTCCCACTTCTACCAAGTTTGGCTGGAAGTTAGAAACTTCTGAAGGTGACTTAATTGCTTGGCTGGGCAATTCTCTTGGATGAGAATCTTAGCCTAACCAGCCTTGTGAGACTTTTCTTGAAATGGAATTCAGTGCTACCTCAAAGAACTTGTCCTCACTTAACCCCCAGAAAAAGGAGAGACCTGCAGAGCAGAGCGAGGAAAATCTTGAAGTGTAATTAATAGTTGAGTACACTTTAATTATTTGGTTGAAATACATTATGGGAATAATTTTCATTTTTAAATGATTTACTTTTTTTCCTCTTCCAATGTAGAGGATAAAAGCAGTCCCTAATTTCTTTTTCTCAAGAGCATATTTTTAGGGTTCTGTTCAGACCAGAAGGCATTGTTATTTCCCTTTACACCATATGTCACAATAGGAAATATTGCAGTACCCAGCCTTGATTGATGTTAGAAAGTAGATGTACAGAAGGACTTTTAGGAAGAGGGGAGGTGATGAAAGGGAAATCCAGTGCATAAGAAGTTACCAAAATAAGTAGAATTAAGCAAAGCTACCAGAAGAGAAGACGTCTGAGTGTCCTTTGGCAAAAGCAAGGATTCTGGAGCCAGACTGCTGAGTTCAGATCACCACATTCCAGCTGCATGACCATAGGCAAGGTCATGCGTACTTACCCTCTATGTGCCTGCTTTTTCATCTATAAACTGGAGACCATAATCATACCTGCTTTATGTGGTTATTGTGAGCATCACATGAGCTAAGACATGTAAAGTGCATAAGAGCAGTGTCTGGCTCATGGTGGGTCTCAATAAAAGTTTTATATACAGTGTGTATGTATTACATATTTATTCATAATACATATTCAAATACGAATGAGACCTTCACAGCCATTAGGATGGCAATTGTATTAGTCAAAGTTTTCCTGCACAACGGGACCAAAGTCTACCTATCTATATCTATCAATCTATCAATCTATGGATCTATCTATCTATCCATCTATCAGCTATCTATTGATCTATCTTAGATAGATATAGATAGGTAGACTTTGGTCCTATTGTACTGGAAAACTTTGACTAATATAATTGCCATCCTAATGGCTGTGAAGGTCTCATTAGTATTTGAATATGTATTAGATAGATCGATAGATGATAGATAGATAGATAGATAGATAGATAGATAGATAGATAGATAGACAGATAATAGATAGTTGTAAGATATATTGAGATTTGTTGTAAGAAATGACCCACATATTGTGCAGGGCCAACGGTGTAGTTCCAGTTAGCAGGCTGTCAAGCTGGAGAACCAGGAAGAGTCGATGTTCCAGTTTGAGGCTAAAAGCCTGCTGGAGAACTCCTACTACTCAGGGGAGGGTTGTCTTGTGTTCTGTTCAGGCCCTCAACTTATTGGATGAAGCCCACCCACATTATGGAGGGCACGCTGCTTTACTCAAAGTTTTACCAGTTTAAGTGTTAACCTCACCCCAAAACACCCTCACAGAAACACCCAGAATAATGTTTGACCAACTATCTAGGCACCATGAACCAGTCAAGTTGATATATAAAATTAAACATCACAGCTATTATTATTTTTTAAAAAAATAGGGAACAACAAGATTTGGCAAGGATGTGGAGAAATTCAGCACTTGTGCGTTGCTGGTGGGAATGTAAAATGGTGCAGCCACTGAGGAAAACAGCATGGCAATTCCTCAAAAATCTACACATAAAATTACATTTGGTGGCCAGGGGTGGTGGCTCAAGCCTGTAATCCCAGCAATTTGGGAGGCCGAGGCAGGTGGATCACTTGATGTCAGGAGTTCGAGACCAGCCTGACCAACATGGTGAAACCCCATATCTACTAAAAATACAAAAATTAGCTGGGTGTGGTGGCACGTGCCTGTAATCCCAGCTACTCGGGAGGCTGAGGCAGGAGAATAGCTTGAACCTGAGAGGCAGAAGTTGCAATGAGCCAAGATCATAACACTGCATTCCAGCCTGGGCAACAGAGCAAGACTCTGTCTCAAAAAGAAAAAAAAAATTACATTTGGTGCAGTAATTCCACTTCGGGTATGTGTGTGTATATATATATATATATGAGTTGAAAAAAGAGACTTAAGTAGATTCTGTACACCAATGTGTATAGCAGCATTAATTACCATAGCCAAAATGTGAAAAAGAACACAAATGCCCATCAGTGTTTGAATGGATAAACAAAATGTGGTTGACACATACAAGGGAATATTATTCAGCCTCAACTCGGAGTGAAATTCTGATACATGTACAATAGAGATGAACCTTGAAGACATTATGCTAAGTGAAATAAACCAGACACAAAAAAGACAAACAATATATGGTTCCACCTATGTAAGTCACCTGGAATAGTTGAATTCATACAGACAGAATGTAGGACAGTGGTTGCCGAGGGTTTCAGGAAGAGGAAAATGGGAAATTATTATTTAATGGGTACACAGTTTCCATATGGATAAAGAAGTTCTGGAGACATATAATGATGATAGTTGCACAACAATGTAAACGTACTTAATGGCATTGAACTTTATACTTAAAAGTAGCTAAAATGGCAATTTATGTTATGTGAATTTTACCACCTTTTTTAAAATGACTCAACAGACACACACATGCACACATGCACACACACACACACACACATATTTTAATTAGACCTAAGCAGCCTGATTCATCTTTACATGTAGCTTAAAAAACTCATCATGATATAATTTCAGGGGCTTTCGAAGTGACTCCTTGTTAAAATATAACCATGAATTCAGCATATTCAAGCTGGAAGGGACCTAATTGACATTACTTAAATGTTTTTTCACCTGACATGCCCTACTTAGTGCTTTACATGTAATAATTCATTTTATCTTCTCGTGATCCAATGGCAAAAGTCCTCATCTTACAGATGAGGAAACTGAGGCACAGAGAGATCAAGTAACCATCAAATGGTCACATAATTAATGATATAAACATGGTCCTTTGGTCCTGGGTCCAGGTCTTTCCCACTCTGTCACTTAGAAATTATTCATTCAGCTGGGGCTTGAAATTCCCCACCCCGCCTGATACCTCCCCACAACACTGAAAGACATCTAGAAATTTTTTCTGTCATTGAGCCTGAAGACAGTTTTACCAGATTCTTTTTGATAAGGAGAGTAGAGAAAAGACTTGAGGAACATAACTATCTGAGGTGGAGACAAGATGATGCCAAGGAAAGAGAGAGAGAGAAAGGAAGAAATTTTAACCCTGCCCTGGTTTGAGTGTGTTCCCCAAAAGTTCATGTGTTAGAACTTTAATTCCTCAATGTGCAATGCTGGAAGGTGGTGCCTAGTGGGAGGTTTTTGGGTCATGGGGACTCTGTCCTCATGAAGGGATTAATGCAGTTCTTATGGGACAAGGTTCATTCTCGAGAGAGTGGGTGGTTATAAAGCAGGTTGCCCATTTATCACCCCTCTCCTTCATGTGCACTTGCCTTGCCTTCTGCTTTGCTACCATGCTACAAAGTAGCACCAGGCCCTCACCAGATGTGGCTGCTTGATCTTGGACTTTCCAGCCTCAAGAACCGTAAGAAATGAATTTCTTTTCTTTATAATTTTCCCAGTCTGTGGTATTCTGTTATAGCGACCCAAAAAGGACCAAGACAGACCAAATTGGGGAGCACCCTAGTTTTGATAAGAACAAACCCTAAAACCAGTCAACCATAATCTTGCTGTGTGAACAAGGGGGAGCCAAGTTTTAAAGGCAAACCAATGTTTGAAAGTCACAGACTTTCCTGTGGAAGGTCTTAGGTGCTTGGGGAGCAATGGGAATAGTATACTGAGTTTCCTGGGCAGATAAAGGACCTCACAGAAACACTGTCCCTGCTCCCTCCCATCTGGGTCCCCAGGAGCCATACCATGTGGAGCAGGCTTGGCATTCAGGTAAACAGCTGCCATTTGCTGTGTAGGGGGTCCTCCTCAGTACCTGGTCATCCTTTCCATTTGGCCTAGCTGACTTTAAGAAGTAGACCAGCAGGGTCCCAGTTTATTTCCTGTGAAAGCCTTACTGGGCCGCATGGGGTGATGTACTGAGACCAGGTTCCATGTACTGAATGGAGAGTACCATTTCTTTTTCCTTGATGATAAGGAATTTCATTTTTAAACTTGGTTTGTAGGAGGTGATTCTTGAGGCTCTCTCAGCCCCAGGCATGGTTTGGGGACTCACGAAATCTTTGTGACCCTGAGGACCTCATGTGATGCTCTGTGGTGCCTGATGGTGCCCATAGGACATACCCCCACTTTGCAGGACTTCTTGCCAGAAAAAATCTGATAAGTCACTGCTTTTTAGACGGTAAGACACCCTCCCTCCCAATTATGTCTACCCCTAACACCCACTCCAATCAGCGGCAGGGTAGCTACCACCTTAGTCCTTCATTCTGACAATAGCCACAGACTTGCAAATCCTGATAATAACAATACCAGCAGTAGTAATAATAATAGCTAATGCTTATATATAATCTAGCACAATTACTGTGTATCAGCAAGATTTCTAAGTGTTTCTCACATTATAACTTAATACAACAATCCTATGAATTAGATAATATTATATCACTCCATTTTATCAGTGGGAAAACTGAGGCACACACCAATGTCCTACACCAAATAAAATGGCAGAGTCTGGAATCCCAACCCAGGTAGCCTGATCCAAATTGCACATTATTCCCTAAAGGATTTTAAACTTGAGAGCCCCCACCTGTGAATACAGAGTCAAAAATTACATGAAATTACTGCAAGGTGCCTGTGAATCCATATGGCAGTCAAGTATAATCTGCAAACAAATATATAATGCTTGAGACATTTATGTACAAATATTTTTCAAATGTACATAGATGTTATTGTGAAGAATAAAAATATCAAATATTGAATACATTGTGGCTCTTACTCATTATGTTGTTTCTCAATCTCAGATATAGAGGAGAAATCAAAGCTCATGGTGATATATCTAATTACTGTCTTCTTTTGCCTTCTTTCGAGACGCTGATAGATTTGCTTTTCTCTAATATTTTAGAGAAACATAAATCAAAAGAATAAACAAGTGCAAATTCTAAACAAAGGTGACTTAAAAAATTGTTTTTATTGAAGCAAAACATGCATACAGAAAAGGGTATATATTGTAAGGGAAGAGCTGGATGAATTTTCATAAATGGAAGCCAGGAGTAGATAGCATGCAGATCAAGAAACAGAACATCACCAGCACTCCTGAAGACTCCTCCTGCTTCTCAATCACTCAACAACCCTCTTCAGGGAGAGCCCTTTAAAGGAGTAGAATCATGTCCCTAAAAAGTTATATTCAAGTCCTAACCCCAAGAATCTCAGAATGTGACCTTATTTGGAAATAGGGTCCTTGCAGATGTAATCAAATCAGGATGAGGCCATATTGCATTGGGGTGGACCCTAATCCAATGACTGGTGTCCTCTTAAGAGGACAAAGACCCAACACACAGAGAGGAGAACGCCATGGGAAGACACAGACACATGCAGGAAGGATGGCCATGTGACATGGAGACTGAGATCGGAGATGCAGCCACACGCTGAGGAGCACCAAGGATTACAGGCGGCAACAGAGGCTGGAAGCAGCAAGGAAGGCCCCTCCCTGGAGCCTGGAGAGGGGGCATGACTCTGCTGACACCTTGATTTTGGAATTCCAGTCTCCAGAACTGTGAGAGAATAAATTCCTGTTGTTTCAAGCCACCAGCTTGTGATAATTTGTTACAGCAGTCCTGGGAACATAATACACTGTTATTCTGACTTTCAACACCATAGAATCATTTTTGCTTGTTTCTGTCCTTTACATAAGCGGAAGCATACAGGGCCTATTCCTTTGTGTTTGCCTTCTTTCACTCACCATTGCTCAGCATCATGTTTGTGAAATTCACTCAGGTTGTTGAGTGCAGTTGTAAATCTCTCATTCTTTTGCTCTTAGTATTCTACGTACAGTAAACAAAAGGACTTATTAACAGGAGATCTACCTACATCACATGTTCTCCTGTCTCACCACGAGTTTGCAATCTACCTTTGAGTAAAGGCAGGGAACCTTGGCAGACTTTGTATAAAAACAATAGTTAGTGTCTTCACATTCCATTAGCTTCCTAGGAGAAAAAAACAATGCTATGAAGTGGTGTCAGAGAGTCTCAGGTCCCATGTACAAGGGTCCCTAAGGGTCTCCCTAAACAGACTCCAAACATTGCAAGGAATCCTATCACAGAATTTGCCTGCTGGTACAGGCCTTTGGCTGGAAAAAATATTGGTATTTGGAATTGAGGGGAAATTTTTTTTTATTATACTTTAAGTTTTAGGGTACATGTGCACAACGTGCAGGTTAGTTACGTATGTATACATGTACCGTGTTGGTGTGCTGCACCCATTAACTCGTCATTTAGCATTAGGTATATCTCCTAATGCTATCCCTCCCCCCTCCTCCCACTCCACAACAGGCCCTGGTGTGTGATGTTCCCCTTCCTGTGTCCATGTGTTGTCATTGTTCAATTCCCACCTATGAGTGAGAACATGTGGTGTTTGATTTTTTGTCCCTGCAATAGTTTGCTGAGAATGATGGTTTCCAGCTTCATCCATGTCCCTACAAAGGACATGAACTCAATATTTTTTATGGCTGCATAGTATTCCATGGTGTATATGTGCCACATTTTCTTAATCCAGTCTATCATTGTTGGACATTTGGGTTGGTTCCAAGTCTTTGCTATTGTGAATAGTGCCACAATAATCATACGTGTGCGTGTGTCTTTATAGCAGCATGATTTATAATCCTTTGGGTATATACCCAGTAATGGGATGGCTGGGTCAAATGGTATTTCTAGTTCTAGATCCTTGAGGAATCGCCACACTGGTTGAACTAGTTTACAGTCCCACCAACAGTGTAAAAGTGTTCCTATTTCTCCACATCCTCTCCAGCACCTGTTGTTTCCTCACTTTTTAATGATCGCCATTCTAACTGGTATGAGATGGTATCTCATTGTGGTTTTGATTTGCTTTCTCTGATGGCCAGTGATGATGAGCATTTTTTCATGTGTCTTTTGGCTGCATAAATGTCTTCTTTTGAGAAGTGTCTGTTCATATCCTTTGCCCACTTTTTTATGGGGTTGTTTTTTTCTTGTAAATTTGTTTGGTTCATTGTAGATTCTGGATATTAGCCCTTTGTCAGATGAGTAGATTGCAAAAATTTTCTCCCATTCTGTAGGTTGCCTGTTCACTCTGATGGTAGTTTCTTTTGCTGTGCAGAAGCTCTTTAGTTTAATTAGATCCCATTTATCAATTTTGGCTTTTGTTGCCATTGCTTTTGGTGTTTTAGACATGAAGTCCTTGCCCATGCCTATGTCCTGAATGGTATTGCCTAGGTTTTCTTCTAGGGTTTTTATGGTTTTAAGTCTAACATTTAAGTCTTTAATTCATCTGGAATTAATTTTTGTATAAGGTATAAGGAAGAGATCCAGTTTCAGCTTTCTACATATGGCTAGCCAGTTTTCCCAGCACCGTTTATTAAATAGGGAATCCTTTCCCCATTTCTTGTTTTTGTCAGGTTTGTCAAAGATCAGAAGGTTGTAGATATGCGGCATTATTTCTGAGGGCTCTGTTCTGTTCCATTGGTCTATATCTCTGTTTTGGTACCAGTACCATGCTGTTTTGGTTACTGTAGCCTTGTAGTATAGTTTGAAGTGAGGTAGCGTGAAGCCTCCAGCTTTGTTCTTTTGGCTTAGGATTGTCTTGGCAATGTGGGCTCTTTTTTGGTTCCATATGAACTTTAAAGTAGTTTTTTCCAATTCTGTGAAGAAACTCATTGGTAGCTTGATGGGGATGGCATTGAATCTATAAATTACCTTGGGCAGTATGGGCATTTTCACAATATTGATTCTTCCTACCCATGAGCATGGAATTCTCTTCCATTTGTTTGTATCCTCTTTTATTTCATTGAACAGTGGTTTGTAGTTCTCCTTGAAGAGGTCCTTCACGTCCCTTGTAAGTTGGATTCCTAGGTATTTTATTCTCTTTGAAGCAATTGTGAATGGGAGTTCACTCATGATTTGGCTCTCTGTTTGTGTGTTATTGGTGTATAAGAATGCTTGTGATTTTTCCACATTGATTTTGTATCCTGAGACTTTGCTGAAGTTGCTTATCAGCTTAAGGAGATTTTGGGCTGAGACAGTGGGGTTTTCTAGATATACAATCATGTCATCTGCAAACAGGGACAATTTGACTTCCTCTTTTCCTAATTGAATACCCTTTATTTCCTTCTCCTGCCTGATTGCCCTGGCCAGAACTTCCAACACTATGTTGAATAGGAGTGGTGAGAGAGGGCATCCCTGTCTTGTGCCAGTTTTCAAAGGGAATGCTTCCAGTTTTTGCCCATTCAGTATGATATTGGCTGTGGGTTTGTCATAGATAGCTCTTATTATTTTGAGATACATCCCGTCAATACCTAATTTATTGAGAGTTTTTAGCATGAAGTGTTGTTGAATTTTGTCAAAGGCCTTTTCTGCATCTATTGAGATAATCATGTGGTTTTTGTCATTGGTTCTGTTTATATGCTGGATTACGTTTCTTGATTTGCGTATGTTGAACCAGCCTTGCATCCCAGGGATGAAGCCCACTTGATCCTGGTGGATAAGCTTTTTGATGTGCTGCTGGATTCGGTTTGCCAGTATTTTATTGAGGATTTTTGCATCGATGTTCATCAGAGATATTGGTCTAAAATTCTCTTTTTTTGTTGTGTCTCTGGCAAGCTTTGGTATCAGGATGATGCTGGCCTCATAAAATGAGTTAGGGAGGATTCCCTCTTTTTCTATTGATTGGAATAGTTTCAGAAGGAAAGGTACCAGCTCCTCCTTGCACCTCTGGTAGATTTGGCTGTGAATCCATCTGGTCCTGGACTTTTTTTGGTTGGTAAGCTATTAATTATTGCCTCAATTTCAGAGCCTGTTATTGGTCTATTCAGAGATTCAACTTCTTCCTGGTTTAGTCTTTGGGAGTGTGTATGTGTCGAGGAATTTATCCATTTCTTCTAGATTTTCTAGTTTATTTGCATAGAGGTGTTTATAGTATTCTCTGATGGTAGTTTGTATTTCTGTGGGATCAGTGGTGATATCCCCTTTATCATTTTTATTGCATCTATTTGATTCTTCTCTCATTTCTTCTTTATTAGTCTTGCTAGCGGTCTATCAATTTTGTTGATCTTTTCAAAAAACCAGCTCCTGAATTCACTGATTTTTTGAAGGGTTTTTTGTGTCTCTATCTCCTTCAGTTCTGCTCTGATCTTAGTTATTTCTTGCCTTCTGCTAGCTTTTGAATGTGTTTGCTCTTGCTTCTCTAGTTCTTTTAATTGTGATGTTAGGGTGTCAGTTTTAGATCTTTCCTGCTTTCTCCTGTGGGCATTTAGTGCTATAAATTTCCCTCTACACACTGCTTTGAATGTGTCCCAGAGATTCTGGTATGTTGTGTCTTTGTTCTCGTTGGTTTCAAAGAACATCTTTATTTGAGCCTTCATTTTGTTATGTACCCAGTAGTCATTCAGGAGCAGGTTGTTCAGTTTCCATGTAGTTGAGTGGTTTTGAGTGAGTTTCTTAATCCTGAGTTCTAGTTTGATTGCATTGTGGTCTGAGAGACAGTTTGTTATCATTTCTGTTCTTTTACATTTGCTGAGGAGTTTTTTACTTCCAACAATGTGGTCAATTTTGGAATAGGTGTGGTGTGGTGCTGAAAAGAATGTATATTCTGTTGATTTGGGGTGGAGAGTTCTGTAGATGTCTATTAGGTCTGCTTGGTGCAAAGCTGAATTCAATTCCTGAATATCCTTATTAACTTTCTGTCTTGTTGATCTGTCTAATGTTGACAGTGGGGTGTTAAAGTCTCCCATTATTATTGTGTGGGAGTCTAAGTCTCTTTGTAGGACTTGTTTTATGAATATGGGTGCTCCTGTATTGGGTGCATATATATTTAGGATAGTTAGCTCTTCTTGTTGAATTGATCCCTTTACCATTATGTAATGGCCTTCTTTGTCTTTTTAGATCTTTGTTGGTTTAAAGTCTGTTTTATCAGAGACTAGGATCACAACCCCTGCCTTTTTTTGTTTTCCATTTGCTTGGTAGATCTTCCTCCATCCCTTTATTTTGAGCCTATGTGTGTCTCTGCACGTGAGATGGATTTCCTAAATACAGCACACTGATGGGTCTTGACTCTTTATCCAATTTGCCAGTCTGTGTCTTTTAATTGGAGCATTTAGCCCATTTACATTTAAGGCTAATATTGTTATGTGTGAATTTGATCCTGTCATTATGATGTTAGCTGGTTATTTTGCTCATTAGTTGATGCAGTTTCTTCCTAGCCTCTCTGGTCTTTACAATTTGGCATGTTTTTGCAGTGGCTGGTACCAGTTGTTCCTTTCCATGTTTAGTGCTTCCTTCAGGAGCTCTTTTAGGGCAGGCCTGGTGGTGACAAAATCTCTCAGCATTTGCTTGTCTGTAAAGGATTTTATTTCTCCTTCACTTATGAAGCTTAATTTGGCTGGATATGAAATTCTGGGTTGAAAATTCTTTTCTTTAAGAATGTTGAATATCGGCCCCCACTCTCTTCTGGCTTGTAGAGTTTCTGCCGAGAGATCAGCTATTAGTCTGATGGGCTTCCCTTTGTGGGTACCCCGACCTTTCTCTCTGGCTGCCCTTAACATTTTTTCCTTCATTTTAACTTTGGTGAATCTGACAATTATGTGTCTTGGAGTTGCTCTCCTCAAGGAGTATCTTTGTGGCATTCTCTGTATTTCCTGAATTTGAATGTTGGCCTGCCTTGCTAGATTGGGGAAGTTCTCCTGGATAATATCCTGCAGAGTGTTTTCCAACTTGGTTCCATTCTCCCTGTCACTTTCAGGTACACCAATCAGATGTAGATTTGCTCTTTTCACATAGTCTCATATTTCTTGGAGGCTTTGTTCATTTATTTTTATTCTTTTTTCTCTAAACTTCTCTTCTCACTTCATTTCATTCATTTGATCTTCAATCACTGATACCCTTTCTTCCAGTTGATCGAATCGGCTACTGAGGCTTGTGCATTCGTCACGTAGTTCTTGTGCTGTGGTTTTCAGCTCCATCAAGTCCTTTAAGGACTTCTCTGCATTGGTTATTCTAGTTAGCCATTCATCTAATTTTTTTCAAGGTTTTTAACATCTTTGCCGTGGGTTCGAACTTCTTCCTTTAGCTCGGAGTAGTTTGATCGTCTGAAACCTTCTTCTCTCAACTCGTCAAAGTCATTCTCCGTCCAGCTTTGTTCCTTTGCCTAGGTTTTCTTCTAGGGTTTAATTTCAGAAAAATTGCTAGAAAAAAAAAATCAGGGATCTATTCCTTGGCTTTCCAGCCCTTCTTTCTGGGGCTGCCTGCTAAAGTCGTTATAGAGTTAAGATTTTCTGTGTGTTTCTGTGCTGGTTCAATGAGGTAGATATACATGCAGTGATAAACAAATAATAAAACAAAAAGTCTTCATACTTGAAAAGATGAAGAGTCATCAGAGAAAGTGATTGTATTACTTTGCAAGGGCCACCATAACAAAACACCACACACTGGGTGGCTTAAACAACAGAATTTTATTTTCTCACCATTTTGGAGGTTGGAAGTCCAAGATCAAAGTGTCAGCAGGTTTAGTTTCTTCTGAAGGCATGTCTCCTTGGCTTGCAGGTGGCCACCATCTCACTGTGTCCTCATGTGGCCTTTCCTCTATCAATGTCAAATAAAATATAGAGACAAATCTCTAAATTTAGAACGTTTTCTTTGGGAAGCCAGAATTGCAACTTGAGGCATACACACAGACTGGGTGGTCTTTAGTATGTCCAAAGAACAAAGAGAAGGTTGGAAGTTTTATAAAAAGGAGAAATGTTATATATTGTTTTAAAAGAAAGTTCATTGGCATTATGGTTGGGGGAGCTGGCAAGTTTTGATTGGTTGAGTGACTGTGGTGGGTAAAACTAGTCTTAATGTCACAGCAAGTTGTTTCAGGAATTATTAGATAGAACTGGTTTCAGGTTACAACAGGCAGTTTCAGCAGCCAGGAATAATCAGGCTTGAAGTTTTATAAAAAGGAGAAATGTTACATATTGTTTTAAAAGAAAGTTCATTGGCATTCTGGTTGGGGGAGCTGGCAAGTTTTGATTGGTTGAGTGACTGTGGTGGGTAAAACTAGTCTTAATGTCACAGCAAGTTGTTTCAGGAATTATTAGATAGAACTGGATTCAGGTTACAACAGGCAGTTTCAGCAGCCAGGAATAATCAGGCTTACAAAGAATTACATTCTTGGGGCAATGTTATATGCCCTGAGTGCTTTTTTACTCCCAGGTCTTTCAACTCTGTTTTAATTGGGTATAACAAGAATGACCCAGTCTATATGATCAACTTTCACACCTCTGTGTGTGTGGGTCCAAGGCATCTTTCTATGTGTCCAAATATCCTCCTCCTGTAAGGACACAGTCAGATAGGATTAGAACCCACCCTACTGGTCTTATTTTAACTTAATCACCTCTTTAAGGTACTGTCTCCAAATACAGGCACATTCCAAGGTGCTGGGGGTTAGATCTTCAGCATATGAATTGGGAGATGGGGTGTGTGGCAAAATTGAGCCCATAACAGTGATTTACTATTGTTTTCATTGTTAACTTTTATGGTCGTTCTGACCTCACCGTGGGGAACTTTTACACAAGCAGGTTTCAGACAGTAAAGCCTGAACCAAGGAGATTGCTGGTGGGCCTTCTAACACAGAAGCTCTCTCTCCTAGGCCACGGTCTCTGTGGTCTTTTTTTTTTTTCTTTAATATGAAGACATTCTGATTTTAGAATGTGGGAGGAAATGCCAAGTGAAGTTCTAAATCATCTCCTATAATGAGGTTTGACACCAGTGTTTCCCTATGTAGAGTTGTACTGCCCATGACTGACAGTAATTGCCTTAGAAGGAAGAATTTTCCACTCAGTCACTTTCTAACGCAAGCACTTTTCAGGTTTGGTTTTTTTCTCCTTTCAGTGAAGGTATGCTCTTTCCAAGGATATGCCTCAAGATGCTCGCTGTTGTTTTTTCTTCCTTTTTTCTCAACTCACTGTGTTTTATTTTGTAATGTTTCATTGAGAGGTTTGTAAATAGGGACTTTCATTATTATTTGTGTGTGTAAAAGCAAATGAATAAATGCTCATTCTTTCAAGGAGTCTTTTTTGAGTGCCCACACTGTGCCAGGCAATGTGCTTTGATCTTGAAGCTATAGAGATGAGTCCCTGGGGGTTCAGGGTCTAGTGGAGGAGAAAAGAATGGTGCCAATGATTTCCAGGAAGCCTTGTAAGTTTTATGACACAGTTCATTCAATCTGGGATCCCATTTCTCTAAGGAATTGCTCCTTCTGATATGCAGGAACAGGACCTGGCAACAATGTGGGCCAGTGATCCTGCCATCCAGCCTTAGCAGATGAAATAAGAGGTGTACAGCTGTCACTAGCTGGGTGTATCATGGTCCCTCTCCTTTGAGTTTTGTAGAGATACTCATTAGTCTCTACTGATCACTTGAACCAAGGACATGTGAATTTGGGAGCAGCATCTTACGCTGCTGTTTAGAGAAACAGCCAGTCTGTAAACAGGAAAGACTAAAACTCGCTCTCAGAAAGATGAGAAAACAGGCTACTACATGGAGAGAGAAAGAGAGAGAGAGAGAATGAATGAGCAGATAAACTGATTCTTAGCATTCTAGGTCCTTTTCTGGTACCTCCTGATAAGCCCCTCTTTCTCCTTATGCTAGAAAGCGCAATTGATGTTTAGGGCTGGATAAGTCTTTGTTGTTGGGGACTGTCCTGTGTACGGTAGGATGTCTAGCAGCATCCCTGACCTCTACCCACCAGATGCCAGAAGCACCCTCCAGTTATAATAATCAGAAATGTCTCCAGACAATGACAGATGTCCCTGGAAGGGTGAGAAGTGGAGCAAAATCACCCTTCCCTGGAGAGCCATTGTGCTCACTCTAGTGTGAGTGAGGTCCTGTTACCTGCAACCAAAGGATCCCTGGCTGAGATCCTCCCTGGGGGAGGCTGCGCTGGCCCCAAGCATTGCCAGATGCATCTACAGCAGAAGGGGTGTCCCAGAGAGAGGACAGGCTGGACGTGGGTGCTAGACCCTTGGAGAAGACAAAAATTTGAGGGAAACATGGTGGCTGCTGTTAGAGGTTCCTAGAGGGTGGATAATATAATTTTAGAAAGAACAGCTCCTTAACCTTTGAGACATAAAACGTGGTCATATCTCTTTTATTTTTCTAAATTAAATTTAAACGAGCTGGAATACTCATCTGCCACATTAGAAGGAATACCCACCCTTTTGGTTCCCTTTTCCACCTTGACTATCTGAAATAAAAAAAACAATTCTAGGGCTTAAGCATCCCAAAAAATAGAGTCAATTCTACTTTTAACCCAAAAGGAATGAACACTAGTTCTAAGGCAGAGATTTTCAAACTTTATTGAGCATGGACTCATATCAGTAAAATCTTTTTGAGATTGTCTCTCCAATATATGTACTTATGTATACTTTTTTTTTTTTTGAGACTCCTCTCGCTCTGTTGCCCAGGCTGGAGTGCAGTGGTGCGATCTCAGCTCACTGCAACCTCTGCCTCCCAGGCTCAAGAGCTTCTCCTGCCTCAGCCTCCTGAGTAGCTGGGACTACAGGCACGTGCCACCATGCCCAGCTAATTTTTCTATTTTTATTAGAGACGGGGTTTCACCATGTTGGTCAGGGTGGTCTCGAACTCCTGACCTCATGATTCACCCGCCTTAGCCTCCCAAAGTGCTGGGATTACAGGAATGAGCCACCGCACCTGGCCTTATATTTATTTATTTATAAACCACAAATGAGATGACTTATAAAGAAAGACAGATGAATCCTTTTACAGAAATACATTAAATTATGTAACAATGTACTGTTATAAAACATGGAAAATATCAACATTTTAAAGTGATTAAAGTACATATAGTCCATCAATGAACAAATGGATAAAAAAAGTGGTATATTCAAACAACAGAATATTATTTGGCCATAGAAAGAAACAAAGTACTGATACATTCTACAACAAGGATGAATCTTAAAAACATTATGCCAACTGAAAGAAGCCAGCCACAAAAGACCTCGTGGTATATGATTCTATTCATATGAAAGTTCAAAACAGGGGAAACTATAGAGACAGAAAGTAGAATAGTGATTGCTTAGGTGGATGGGGATACTGGGTGATGAGGAGGGGGCAATAGCTACAGAGTAAAAGTTTTCTTTGTGAGATGAAGAAAATATTCTAAAATTGCCTTTGGTAATGGTTGCACATATTTGTGAATATACTAAAAACCATTGAATTGTACACATTAAATGGGTGAATTGTATGGTATGTGAATTATAGCTCGATAAAGCTGTTTTAAAAATACATATAAATAGATGTTCTATTTTCTCCTCTCACCCCTTATTTCATGCTGGGTCCTCTTGGGCAAGAACGTCTCACTTTGGAGATCACAAAAGCAATGTATCAGACCTATTCTTGCCATTGCCTTCCACTGCCAAATTGAGGCACTATTAAGACCTGGTCTGCCAGACATGGTGGCTCATGCCTGTAATCCCAGCACTTTGGGAGGCTGAGGTGGGTGAATCATTTGAAGTCAGGAGTTCAAGACAAGCCTGGCCAACATGGTGAAACCCCATCTCTACTAAAAATACAAAAATTAGCTGGGCGTGTTGGCAGGTGCCTGTAATCCCAGTTGCTCGGGAAGCCAAGGCAGGAGAATCACTTGAACTCAGGAGACAGAGGTTGCAGTGAGCTCGAGATCACACCACTGTACTCCATCCTGGGCGACAGAGTGAGAGACTCCCCCTCCAAAAAAAAAAAAACAAGAAACCAAAAAAAAGAGCTGGTCATCCTAGCATGCCTCAATATGATGGCTAGAATTAAGAAACCTTTCCACATCAAGCATTGCCAATGATGTAAAGGAATTAGGTGAAATGGATATACACTCATATACTCTTTGTGGAAGTGTAAATTGGCACAATCACTTTACTATTAAAACTAAATATGTGCACACTTTAAGTCCCAGTAATTTAATTTATTAGCATTTACCTGATGGAAATACAAACAAGTGGAAATCAAAAGATATGTACTAGAATGCTCATAAAGGATTATAAATCATGCTGCGAAAAAGACACATGCACATGTATGTTTATTGCAGCACTATTCACAATAGCAAAGACTTGGAACCAACCCAAATGTCCAACGATAGACTGGATTAAGAAAATGTGGCACACATACACCATGGAATACTATGCAGCCATAAAAAATGAGGAGTTCATGTCCTTTGTAGGGACATGGATGAAGCTGGAAACCATCATTCTCAGCAAACTATCGCAAGAACAAAAAACCAAACACCACGTGTTCTCACTCATAGGTGGGAATTGAACAATGAGAACACATGGACACAGGAAGGGGAACATCACACACCGGGGCCTGTTGTGGGGTGGGGGGAGGGGGAGGGATAGCATTAGGAGATATACCTAATGTAAATGATGAGTTAATGGGTGCAGCACACCAACGTGGCACATGTATACATATGTAACAAACCTGCACGTTGTGCACATGTATCCTAAAACTTAAAGTATAATAATAATAATAATAAAATAGAATACTCATAGCAGTATTATTCGTAACCGCCCAAAACCAGAAACAACCCAAATGTCCATCAACAGTAGAATGGGCAGATAAATTGTGACCTATGGATACAATGAAATTATATTCAGCAATGAGAATGAGTGAAATAATCTTACATGTAGTAAATGAATAAATCTCATGAAAATTACTTGAGCAAAAAAAAAAAGCCAGACACAAAAGTGTACATACTTTATGATTCTATTTAGATGAAGAAAGGCAAAACTAATCTAAGTTTTTAGAAGTCAGGCTAGCAGTTACTGCTTAGGATATGGGTGGGGACTCATGACTAGGAATGAGCAAAGAGTTCTGGGTTGTTGTAATATTTTATTTCTTGACCTAGGTGGTGGCTACATGGGTGGATTCACGTTGTAAAAATTCATTGAATGTTACATTTTGACTTTTGCATTTTTCTTCATGAGTGCTATACTTTAGTAATGTTTATTAAAATAAAGTGAAAAATATAAATAAATAAAATTGGGGGAGGAGGGTCTGCTTGAGTCCTTCAGCCCACTCCAGAGTGCTGCTGTGATAGGTTTGTCTGATGCACACACAGCAGGTCAGTATACTTAGGCAACAGGGATTGCAGCAGAGAAAGAGTTTAATAATTGTAAGGCAACCAAATGAGGAGATGGGAGGAAACCTCAAATCCACCTCCCTGAGGAGTTTGGGTCTAGAGAGTTTAAGGGGTTTGGAGTGGGCTGAGGTGTGGAGATAATTGATTAGTCATAGAGTGCAGGGTGAAGTCATGGGACAGGGAGATGAAGAAACTGCATCCTCATGCTGATTCGATTCCTCTGTGGGGATCTTTAAACTGGTTGGCATCAGCCATTCTGCTGGAATTCAGGATCTGAAGAACATCTCAAACAATTCCTAAACAAAAAGGCTTATGACCCTAATGTCAGAAATCCTATCGATAGAAACAATGGGGATGCAAATGGTCAGTACCTATGCTATGACTTTCAGATACAAGAAAGGCGCCCAAGTGCCCACTGATTATAGTTTAATTATAACTGTATTTCTGCCCAGAACCAGCATGTAATTCCTACTAGCCCTGTGAGGACGGTTTCATGCCTCCATGGCCCAGCTTAGCTCTCAGGACAGAAGGCTGCCAGGGTCCTCTGTGGGATGCTGGCTCAACTTCCTTCTCCTCCCCTCAGCTAAGCTGGACCACGGATGCCTCAGCCTCCCAGGGGTCTCAGCTCCTTCTGACTCTTGCACTGCCCTTTCCTACTCCCTCTACCCACCCTGCACCTGCCGCCGGAGGGTTTTATCAGAATCATTCAAGCACTGTCCTTTCATATCCAGAACCACTTGCTCCTTTCTGGGAAATACAGAAGGATCAGACCGGTTCCTTTTAAATCTTTTTTTTTTTTTTTTTTTTTTTTTGAGATGGAGTCTCACTCTGTCACCCAGGAAGTAGTATAGTGGCACGATCTCGGCTCACTGCAACCTCCGCCTCCCGAGTTCAAGCGATTCTCCTGCCTCTGCCTCCCAAGTAGCTGGGACTACAGGCACGAGCCACAATGCCCGGCTAATTTTTGTATTTTTAGTAGTGATGGGGTTTCACCATATTGGCCAAGGTGGTCTCGAACTCCTGACCTCAAGTGATCCACCCGCCTCGGTCTCCCAAAGTGCTGGGATTACAGGCGTGAGGCACTGCGCCCAGCCTTAAATCTTAAACAGAGTACATTTCCCAATTCACACCCTTTCTAGTGAATTGCACTATAGCTGTCTGCTCCACCTTCCTGTGAGAAACACCCCTCAGGATGCTGGTGGTTGTGAATTTATGTTTCTGAGGGAGGTTCTCCCCATTGGCCATAATAGCTGCCTTTTAGGGGGGTTTACTCTTCACCACATCCTGTGTTAGGTGCTTTGAATGCATCATCTCATTTAATCTTCACAACAAGCTTTTGAGGTAGATACTATTATCATCTTCACTTTCCGGACAAGGAAGTAAGAGCCAGCAAAAAAAAAAAAAAAAAAAAAAAAACAGTGTCAAGGCAATTTGTTCCTATAAGAGAACTTCCCAAGGGATTCCATCCTTCCAGCAGTTCCTTAGTGAATTCCTGCAACTTGTCCCAGAAGAGTAGAGGGTGAAGAAAAGTTGTTCTAACTAAACATCTACTTCAATGATAAACATATAAATAATGATTGTAGGAGGGAAGTATGTTAAATGCCCAAGAGAGACATAAACAAAGGAGGGACAAAGAGGTGAGATAACCTCACAGCGAGGAAAGGAAGAGAGGAAAGGAGGAGACACCAGTTGGAGGAGGTGGTATTGAGTGGCCCTCAATGAGCAGCCAGGAATTGGACAGGAAAAGATGAAGCAGGGACCCATCTAGACCAAAGCAGGGAGGTGGGAGAAGCCAGGCATGATTAGAAAGCACTAGGGGTGGCCAGGTGCGGTGGCCCACGCCTGTAATCCCAGCACTTTGGGAGGCCAAGGCTGGTGGATCATGAGGTCAGGAGATCGAGACCATCCTGGCTAACATGGTGAAACCCTGTCTCTACTAAAAATACAAAAAAATTAGCTGGACGTGGTAGCGCCCCCTGTAGTCCCAGCTACTCAGGAGGCTGAGACAGGAGAATCGCTTGCACCCAGGAGGTGGAGGTTACAGAGCGACAGAGCGAGACTCTGTCTCAAAAAACAAAAACAAAAAGAAAGAAAGAAGTAGGGGTCCAGTGTGGCTGGTGTGTAGAGTGTGTAGAGAGGCAATTGAGAGGTAGGGCTGGAAAAAGAGGCTGAGTGTCCCTCAGTGGCAGTGTGATGATCAATTTTATGTGTCAAATTTACTGGGCCATGGAGCGCCCAGATATTTGGCCAAACATTATTCTGGGTGTTTCTGTGAGGGTCTTTTTGGATGAGATTAATATGTAAATCAGTGTACTGAGTAAAGGAGCTTGCTCTCCCTAATGTGGATGGGCCTAATCCAATCACTTGACAGACTGAATAGAACAAAAAGGCTGACCCCCTCCCGAGTAGGAAAGAATTCCTATTGCCTGATTGCCTTTGAACTGGGACATTAGCTTTTTCCTGCCTTTGGACTTGAATCGAAATGTCCTCTCTTCCTGGGTCTCAAGTGAACCAGTCTTCTAGAGAGCACCATCAGTTCTCCTGGTTCTCTGGCCTTTGAGCTCAGACTGGAACTGCACAATCAGTTTTCCTGGGTCTCCAGCTTGCCGACTCATCCTGCAGATCTTTGGACTTGTCAGCCTCTATAATCCTGTGAGTTTATTCCCTATAATATCTATTTATCTATATGGAGAACCCTGACTAATACAGGCAGGAAAAGGAGTTGACACTTTTTGGTGAACAGTGTGGAACGAGTGAAAGGGTTTGGCAAGTGGACTTTGGAAAGATGAATTCAGCAATGGAGTGAGGCGTTTCCTCCCTGGGAGAAATACTCAGTTCAAGGGCACCTCTTCAACCACCTTTTAATAGTTGGGAAGGTCTTTGATTGAAGGATTGGTCGGAAAGTGCTGTGGTCTTCTGGTTCTAAAGTAATTCTAGAATCACATTCAGGTCATAGATGCCTCACACAAGCAAAGGGCTCTGTCATATTATTTTAAATTTTAAAGGTACAAGAATATCCAGTGAAAAGTGCCATTCCCACTTACATCCTTCATCTATCCAATTTCCTTCCCCAGAGGATTCCAGTGTTAGCAGTTCCCAGAAATATTTTGTTCATACACATTCATATTTTTTTCACTTTGCTACAAACAGCACAATAGACACGCTATTTTTGAACCTCACCTTATTCAGTTGACAATATATCTTGGGGATCATTCCTTACCAGTGCATAAAGTTCCTCTCATCCTTTTTATGGCTATATAATATTCCATGGCTGGGATGTGCCATCGTTTTATTTAACTAGCCCTCTAGGGGTGGGTATTTAAGTTGTTTTCATTCTTTTGCTATTACAAACAATGCTGCAATTTAAAAGCAAACAAAAACTCTTGTACATATGTCACTTCACACATATGCAAGTATTTAGGTGACAGAAGTCAGACATCATCATTCTCCTGCTCAAGACCCTTCACCGCCCTCCTGTCATACTCAGAACAACATCAAAATCCTTCCCACAGCCTTCAAAGCCTCACATGATCTGGCCTCTGGCTCCTCTCCAGTTCCTCTTTCCCCTGGCTCACTCTCCACACTGTCCTCCTTTCTCTTTCACAAACACGAGCTCCTTCTCACCGCAGGGCCTTTGCATTCACAATTCTCTATACCTAACAGAGCTGCACAGCCCTCTCTCTCCCTCCACCAGCTCTCTGCTCAAAAGTCTTCCCAGAGATGCCTTTCCTGACCACCCAGCTAAAGTAGTCCCGTCTATCACTTTTTTTAGAGACAGAGTCTTGCTCTTCACCCAAGCAGGAGTGCAGTGGCGTGATCGCAGCTCACTGCAAACTCTGCCTCCCAGGTTCAAGTGATCCTCCCTCCTCAGCCTCACTAGTAGCTGAGACTACAGGTGTGCATTACCATGCCTCCTAATTTTTTTTTATTTTTTGTAGAGACAGGGTTTCTCCATGTTGCCCAGGCTGGTCTCAAACTCCTGGCCTCAAGCAATCCACTCACTTTGGTCTCCCAAAGTGCTGGGATTACAGGTGTGAGCCATAACCCCTGGCCTTACTCTGTCACTCTTAATCCACTTTCCCCATTCTATTTTCTTCATAGCACTTACTGCTACCTGAAACTATGTTTGCTTAATTTTATTTGTTTCTTTATTTTCCATCTCCCCAGTCAAACATAATAGAACATAATCTCCAGGAGAGCAGGGACTTTGTTTTGTTCACTGCTATATCCACAGCTTCAGCAACAGTAACTGGCATATATAGTCAGCTCTCCATATCCATAGGTTCCACATCCATGGATTCAACCAATTGCAGACCAAAAATATTTGGAAAAAAAATGCATCTGTACCAAACATGTACTGATTTTTTTTCATATCATTATTCTCTAAACAATACGTTATAACAACTATTTACGTAGCATTTACATTGTATTAGGTATTATAAGTAATCTAGAGATGATTTAAAGTATATGGGAGGAAGCATGTATGTCATATGCAAATACTACATTATTTTATATTAGAGACTTGAGCTGTATGGATTTTGGTATCCGTGGGTGGTCCTGAGATCAATCCCCCCACAGATAACCAGGGATGATGGTAGTAGATGCTCAATAAATATTTGTTGAAGGAAGAAATTTAGTGTCTCCCCTGTCTTAGCAATGTGCCTGGCCCGTGGGCGATGTTCAGGAAATATACATTACATGGGTAATTGTCTGTGATCTAGTTATTTCTATACTTGTTTCTCTTTCCCTCTAGATTACAAACTCTCTGAGGCCAGGTATCCCCTATTTATACCCCACATCACCTATGTATCACAGAGCTTTATACATTATAGGCCATGCATTTATTGACATCTTTGCCTCTAAAGTGGGTGGTAACTGCTGTGCACCTATGATGCACTCCATCAATATTTTAAAATTGCTACTGAACATTTCTACTTAAACATTCCATTACTGGGTTCATTATGAAGAAAGAACACAGACATTAAACAAGCGAATGACCACATGGGGAAGATCTGACCCTCATTTTGATTCATTGGATGATTTTATGTCTACAGCATTAGCAACCTGCTATTTAACTATGCCACAATAATTTTGTTGAATACAGAATCGGATCCACTCATAATGTGATTGGGTTCTTTTTAAAGTGCCACTTTTGCTGTTTTTAAGGGATGCATCTTTGAACTAGCATTTTCAGGACATCTTGTTTCAGAAAGTTGCGTCTTCAGTGAAATTCAATAGCCTTGATGAGAAGCACTTTTTGGAATAAACAAGTGAAAGAGAGAAAAGACTTTTCTTTTTGATCCAAAGGTCACAGGAGAATGAAATTGTCAAACACTTTTGCCCCCGTGAGAGAGCTAAAGGGCTGAGTTAAAGCTGCTTCATTATAGAAGCAAGTGAAGAGTGGAAAGGAGAGAAGGGAAAGAATGTTGGCGTTATTTAGTTAATTTCCTACGGAAAACTCCAAGCATGCGACACCCGTGTGCTTGCACAGCAGCGTCCATCTGGAGTTTGACTTCTTCCAGTGGAATCAGGGGCTGTGCCCAGGCGCTGAGGTGATGTGGGTTCTTATTTCACCAGGCATCCACTTGGTATACACAAAGCTTGGGAGGATTTGTATTCTCTCTGATTCTGGAGGAATCAAATTTAGAAAAAGGACAGAAAGGGAATTTTCTAGAATCTAATGACTGCCATTATAAGCCAAAGGCAAAATGTCAGCTCAGGGCAGCGTGATAATGAAGTTGGTCATTAGCAGCTAGGAAATACTATTCCTGCAAATCCTGCTCTGGTGAACCACGTGAAATTGGTTGGAAGATTACAGATTGCCAGTTTATCCTGCTCTCAGTGGCCTGTCACATAGTGAGAGCTGGGTGTCGTCACGAGTTTTCCCGTTTGTACGAAAACAATAGAAGCTGAATAAAACTGAAAAAAATCTGTAAAAAATCTGGAAAGAATATGGAATGGTGAATATCTTAAAAAGTGATCAGATTCTAAGGGATGGAGCAGGATTTCTCAACCATAACACACATACGCACTCATTTTAAAGGAAAAAAAATTATCCTCCTCCCCAACCAAAGAATTTATTTGCCATAAGAAACAAAAGCCATTTTGCTAAATGGCTGTGAATGGCAAATAATCATGCACAAAGAGAAGTTTTATCTTTCTCTTTATAACTGATGAAGTATTTTAAGATTACCGCGAAAAATACATACTATATTTTAAAATCCTGGTAGAACATACAGACCCTAGTTTAAGAAATACTGTGTTGAAGAAGATCTGGCTTCTGTCAACTTCAGCTTCTATCATATGGTCACTGGCTTACAACCGACATTTTTCACATAAACCTAAAACTATGCTAACTATTAGTTAGAGGTAAAAGAGGAAAATGCATACAAAATTGCTGCATTTCTTCTTCTTCTTCTTCTTTTTTTTTTTTCTAGACAGAGTTTTGCTCTTGTTGCCCAGACTGGAGTGCAATGGCCCAATCTTGCTTGGCTCATCACCTCTGCCTCCTGAGTTCAAGCGATTCTCCTGCCTCAACCTCCCCAATAGCTGGAATTACTGGCATGCGCCATCACGCCTGGCTAATTTTGTATTTTTAGTAGAGACAGGGTTTCTCCATGTTGGTCAGGTTGGTCTCAAACTCCAGACCTCAGGTGATCCACCCGCCTCAGCCTCCCGAAGTGCTGGGATTACAGGCGTGAGCCACTGCACCCGGCCCAGTGCATTTATTTAATATGACTTTGCTTCTATTTTTGTGAGTCATGAAACGTCAGGTTTTATAGGCATGTCTTCCCCCCAGAAATGGTTGAGTTAGTGTTACAGGTTAAAATCCTCAATTAGCCATAATATTCAAGGATGCATGTGGTCCTGACTAGAACATTGGTAGTTGGATGCCAAAGACCAAGAGCAAAGGTCCGTACAACTCAAAGCCATCAAAGCAATGATGTGCTGGAATTACTATTGCTGGCTAATGAAAGCTGACTGTTAAATAATCAGGAATTTTGTAAGGTAGTTGATAAAGTGATGGTAGCTTGAGATCTGGTGTGCTGAGAATACTTACACCATAGAAATTGGCACACACTATATAGTTTGGGTTTTTGTTTTGTTTTGTGTTAAGAGACAGAGCCTCACTCTGTTCCCCATGGTGGAGTGCAGTGGTGCAATCATAGCTCACTGCAGGCTCCAACTCCTAGGCTCAAGTGATCCTCCTGGCTCAGCCACCCAAGTAGCTAGGACTATAGGTGTGTACCACCACCTACTAGTTAATTTTTAAATTTTTTGTAGAGACAGGGTCTCATGATATCTCCCAGGCTGGTCCTGGCCTCAAGCAATCTTCCCACCTTGGCCTCCTCAAATGCTGGGATTACAGGTCTGAACCACTGTACCCAGCCTTTTTTTTTTTTTTTTTTTTTTTTTTTTTTTTTTTTGAGAGTAATTTTCCCAGCACACCTGTCTACATAGAAGAGTTTTTAGAGACATGCAAAACTGGTCTTTCAGGAGCTGCCAGGGCAAGCTCAGGAGTACAGGCTAACTGGGAGTCATGTAATAGTCAAGAACATTGGCCTTGAAGTTAGGCAGACAAGGTTTCTAATCCCAGATTGGCTCTTATACTTGTATGACCCTGATCCAGTCACTTACCTGAGCTTTCTCATTTATAAAATGGAATGATGGCTGGGTGCAGTGGCTCATGCCTATAATCCCAGCACTTTGGGAGGCTGAGGTAGGCAGATCACTTGAGGTCAGGAGATCAACACCAGCCTGGCCAAGATGGTGAAACCCCGTATCTACTAAAAATACAAAAAATTAGCCAGGCATGGTGGCACACACCTGTAGTCCCAGCTACTCGGGAGGCTGAGGCACAAGAATCGCTTGAACCCAGGAGGCAGAGGTTGCGTGAGCTGAGATCATGCCACTACACTCCAGCCTGGGCAACAGAGTGAGACTCCATCTCAAAAAAAGAAAAAAAAAGGAATGATGCCAGCCACTTCATGTGTTTGTGATGATTGGGTAAAACAATGTGTATATAATCATGACTTACCTAAATATAGTCCTTGGCACACAGTAGCCACATAGTGGGCATATATGTGTTGAATGGCAAATGAGCCCATTCCAAGCACACACTGTTGGCTTAATTGCCTCACAGACCTCTGAATCTAAACCACTTCTTATCCAATTCTGATCCCTCCTGAGTTATATATATATATATATATGTATATACATATAGAGAGAGAGACAGGATCTCACTCTGTCACCCAGGCTGGAGTGCAGTGGCATGATCACGGCTTGCTGCATCCTCAGCCTTCCCAAGGTCAGGTGATCCTCCCACCTCAGCCTCCCAAGTAGCTGGTACTACAAGCATGTGCCATCATACCTGATAATTTTTTTTTTTTTTTTTTTTTTTTTGTAGAGACAAGGTTTCACCGTGTTGCCCATGGCTGGTCTTGAATTCCTGGGCTCAAGTGATCCACCCACCTCTGCCTCCCAAAGGGCTAGGATTATAGGCGTGAGCCACCATGCCTGGCCAGGTCATCTTTGATGACTGTCCTAGTCTTTAAGCTCCTATTCGTGCTCTTACTCAAGCTTGGGCTCGCTTTCTCTCTCTCTCTTTCTCCCTTTCTATTTCTCTCTCTCTCTCTCTCTGTCTCCTGTCTCTCCTCAAGTCCTCTGGTCCTGAACTCTAAGGTTACAGAAGGAGTGGATGGGGGATGGCAGCTGAGTTCATCTATAATCAATATGTTGAACAAGCACAACTTGTGACATAATCAAAACACAATTTTATATTTATCTCCCACTATCTCTTTAAAAGTAATTCAGTGAACAGTCTGGCAGTTCCTCAAAAGGTTAAACATGGCAGTTTTTCAAAGGTTATCATGTGACCCAGCAACTCCACTCCTAGATATACATCAAAGAGAAATGAAAATACATGTCCAAACAAAAACTTGTGTACTAATGTTCAGAGCAGCATTATTCATAGTAGCCAAAATGTAGAAACAGCCTAAATGTCCATTAACTGATGAATGGATTTTTTAAAATGTAGATATCTAAACGTGGGTCTCCAACATCCATCTCATAAATGCTGGCATATTATTTGGCTGGAAAAAGGAAATAAAGTACTGATTCATGATATAACATGGGTGAACCTTGAAAACATTACGCTAAGTGGAAAATCCAGTCACAAAATACTGCAAAGTACACAATTCCATTTATATGAAATGCCCAGAATAAGCACATCTATAGAGATAGAAAGTAGATTAGTGGCTCCCTAGCACTGGTGAGTTTGGAGGGAAATGGGGAGTGACTTCTAATGGGCACAGGACTACTTTTGGGATGATGAAAATGTAAAATTGATTGTGGGAATGATTGCACTAGACTTGGGCGAAGGAAGTAGAACCCTTTTTCTCTCCCCTCCTGGGAGGATAGAGGGAAATTGCACAGGACCCCCCAAAAGAACTCTTTCCACAAATCTTCTTCCACCCTCACCCTTTGTTAGATCTTTGATCTGGTTGAGGGATCCAAGGGTCACAGAATTGTTCTTAGAGATTTGCTTTGTAAATTCTGCAATTGTAATGTGACCCCTTAATTTGAAGCACTTGAATGTCTGAGCATGGGAAGTATAAATACTATACTTACTTGTCACCTGGTCAGGTTCCTGGACCATCTCTGCTCTCAAGGAACAGTTCTACTGAGCAATTCCTCTTTAGACCATAGTGAGGTCCAGGAGACTCTGCTACCTTCTTGAAAAGTTAGCCACAGAGGTACCGGGGCTGGCCTGAGCTTTCTACTTGGAGCAATGGTGGGGATGTGAGCAAGGAGTGAAGAAAACTTACTCCTTTATTCAGTAGTTGATAGTTAAGAACAGAAGTAAAGTGCACAAAGAATTTAGTCCTCAAATCTAGGGTGCGAGACATGTCACACTTCATTTCTTGAAATCAAACGTAATCTGCTCCAACGCACCCCCCACCACATTCCCCTCACTGGTGGGGAATATTGTGGGGATTCAGTAATTGCAAGGTGGAAGAAAGGACTCTCTCCCCACTTCCACTGGATAATTCAAGAATTCTGGGCTAGGTGTGGTGGTTCACACCTGTGATCTCAGCACTTTGGGAGGCTCAGGTGGGAGGATCACCTGAGTCCAGGAGTTCAAGACCAGCCTGGGCAACACAGGGAGACCTCATCTCTACAAAAATTAAAAAATTAGCTGGTCATTGTGGCACACACCTGTGGTCCCAGGTACTTGTGGGACCAAGGTGAGAGGATTGCTAGGGCCCAGGAGGTCGAGGCTGCAGTAAGGTGTGATTGTGCTACTGCATTCCAACCTGGGTGACAGAGCGAGATCCTGTCTCAAAAAACAAGAATTCTGAAATTACAGACAAGTCCCTTCAGCAGACACAGCATGAAGGGACAGTGGTAAAGCTGGCGCCCACTGTGATGCAATGAGTTGCCTCCTACCCCAGGTTTCTAGTCTCAGAATGGGTCTTCTCAATGGGTCTTTAGACATCTAGTGTTGGCCTTGTTACCTGGTGGGAGGTGGAAGGAAGCAGATGCTAACTTAGCTAGTCTTTCCTGTGTGTGTGAGAGTGTGTGTGTGTGTGTGTGTGTGTGTGTGTCTGTGTGTCTGTGTGTGTGTGTTTCCTTAAAAATTTACCCTCTTACAGAATCTCAGCAAACCATGAGTCTCAGCACACATATTCATGACCTGTTCAACAGAATAACTCTGGATATGTGCACTCCTGAGTGACCCAACCACAGATAACAAGGGCAAGCTGGTACAGGAGACACAGCAGGGAGAACTCGACTTCCGGCACTCTCCAGCCAAATTCCCTGTGTGCCTGGAGGGCCTGCACAGCTGGAAAGCTGGCATTGGTTCTTGTGAACACCTTCACTGTCCCCCGCCCCCAGCTGGCCCAGGGCACATCCATAAGTTACACACGTGCTTCAGGACAATGCAGATATCTTGGTGCTCAAGCCACACCGACGCAGTCTTCAGTACCTAGCTAGCCCTTCACTGAAGTCAATTTCAGATTTAGAATTTTGAGTAGAAAGAACAAAATGATTATGGATTTGTACTCACTGAGAAAGTAGACAAGCCTTTGCTCCACTTATATTTTATTAAAAACACTCTGCTCCATGAAAGCAGCCTGTATACTGACCTCTGAAAGCCGATCTCATTCTCTCCTGGAAATCGCATCCTCTTCCTTCCTGCCCCGCAACGTCTGTTAAGGACCAGCTCCTCTCCCACCACCTCTGGGAAGTCTCTGATCATGTCAGTCTGAGGAGCACTTGCTCCCTTCTGAATCCTGATATTGTCACTCTCTGCCTGTCCCTGCAGCTTAGTTCAGGTTGTCCTTTAAGGTTTTAATGTTTTATAAGTTTTACCTCTTTGAGGCCAGGGACTGTGTCCTCTGTCTTAGCTCTATTCAGAGGGGGCCTTTTTGTTTTAATGTTTTATATGTTTTACCTCCTTGAGGTCAGGTACTGTGTCCTCTGCTTTAAGCCTCCCATCTCTTCCCTGACCCCATATCCTAGCACATTGTTTTGGTCATTATCATTATTGCAACTATTTTTACTGTAACCACTTATCAATGGCATGCCGTGTATCAAGTAGCAAGCTGTTTACATGTACCCCTTCAACAATCCCCACAGCAACCCTGTAATGTGGGGACAGTTATTACTCCCATTTCACAGAGGAGGAAACAGGGACTTCCAGAGCCTGAGTCTCTCTCCAGCCAGATGTAACAAAACTAAGTCTTCACTTGGGTCCATTTGACTCCCACGCCTACACTCGTAGTTTCCAAAATTACTCTGGGGTCAGATTACAGAGCAGAAAATGGAAGGCAGGGGTTACTTCTTAAATATTTATTTTATAGATGAGCAATAATCCCAGGAAAGACTCTGAAATTCAGAAAGGGACCTACCCTAAGCCAACAATTTGTCCAGGACAGAGAGGGGTGTAAATGCAGAATTCTTGATCCCCCAAGCCAGCACTCTTCCTTCCGCACCCTGGTGCTCTGCTATAGGACAAAAATACTCCTTTTGGAAACTTAGTCTTTTTGTACTTCTCTACTGTAGAACAAATCACCCTTTAGCAAAAACCAAAATAGTAATTTTCTGTGGAGTGGATAATCATTCACTCCAGTAAACTAAAACAACATACTGTGGTTAGAGCAGGAGAAATGTGAAAAATCTTATGCTCTGTTTCTCTCTGTTTATACAAAGTAGACATGTATGTCTGTGTGTACACGCGATGTATACATACTTTCCAGTTCACCTCCCTTGTGAATAAGAGCTGCTCCTAGTCTGGCCACTAACCCACTGCTGCCCTGAACTCTTCAGAGACTAGAGCAGAGCAAAATAGAATCTGTTTCTGTAACCATTATTTATAATCTTTAGTTTAAAAATTTCACATCCTGAAAAACTTTTGAACAGCGTGGCATTGAAAAGGTATGAGGGAGGGTGACTGAGAGAAAGGGGAGGGGGAGAAATGGGTGAGGCTGCACTTTGCCTAGAATACCCCTCCCAGCACCGATCCCATTTTAATAGAGGTCAATTCAACAGAATTTAACTGACTGTAATACCTGCCAGAGTCTCTGCTGGTTGGTGAAGATGTAAAAATGAGTAAGATGATCTCCAGCTTCAAAGGCTCACAGTGATGGGGTAAACAGACATGTCAGAATGAACACCCTCAGGGAAGATTAAAAGAACATAAAACAGCCTCCAAGTACCAAAGGAATCATCTTCAGGAAGAGCTTTCTAGGGGTGGGATAGCATGCTTAGCAGTCAGATGATCACATCCCAGCTCCATTACTGACCTGACCACTCTGTGCCTTTGTTTCTGCATCTGGAAAAATAGAAATAACATCCATATTTATATCCTGGAGTTGTCAGGATTAGAGAAGACAATGCACATCAGAGACTTACTGCAGTGCTTACTGCAGCGCTTGGCTGGTAGAAAGTGCTCACTTAAACTGTAGTAAAATAAAGCAGGACACGGTCTAAAGAGAGATGGGATGGACAGCTTATTCTGAGAAGGGTAGCTGGAAAGATGTCCTGAAGGGCTAAAACTCAAATGAGGTGATGGAGAGAAATATAAGGAAAGTGTACCCCAGGCAGAGGGACAGGAAGTACAAAGGCATGATTGAGGAAGGACAGACAGACAAATGTGGCTGCAGTGGACAGAAGAAGGGAGTGAGCGGTAAGAAGTCAATGAAGAGGTAGCCAAGGGATAGATCATATAGGAAAAGGCTTTGGTTTTTGTTTCAAGTGTGATGGGAAGCCATCTGTAGGTTTTAAGTAAGGGAGTGCTATAATGTAATATCCACATATGTTGCTGGGTGCAGAATAGGCATGAGGGTACCAGGAGTGGACACAGGGCAACCAGTTGGGAGGCCGGTTCAGTAACCAAGGCCAGAAATGATGTTGATTTATATGATGGTAGCAGGAAAGGCAGTGGGCATGGTCAGATCTGAGCTATATTTTGAAGATATAGCTCACAGGACTTGATGGGGTCATGGTATTCATTTCCTCATTTGTTTATTGTCTATTACTGATAGTACTTTCGAAATGATCACCAAGAGGACAGAGACTTTGAATTTTTGTTTTCTCAGTTTCTAAAAGATGGCCTGGTGAATATCTGGCACTTACATTTGTTATGTATTTGTTTAATGAATAATACATTGAATATGGGTGTGAGGGAGAGTGTCAAAATAACTCCATCACACAGGTGACTTTGCCAACATGCTCATAGTTTGATTCATAATCATGGGTCAGTTTTACTCCTATGCTCTATGTTCAAGACAAATGGAGAAAGAGAGAGAGAGAAAGAGAGAGAGAGAATGAGAGAAAGAGAGAGAGGAAGAGATATAGATATATGGAAATACAGATATAAGATAGATAGATGATAGATAGATAGATAGAGATAGAGATATAATTTTTTTTCAGTCAAGAATCATGGGACATGACCTTGGGAGATCATCTATCTGCATGCCCTCAAATGAGTACGAATAGTCATGCTCATTTTGACTTATGAGGCAAACTAAGGACCAGAAAGCTGAAGTGACTTACCTAATATAATTGAACATAATGATGATAATAGATACATTTATTTTGCATTTACTATGTGTCAGGTCTATTGCAAAGTGCTTTATAATTCTCACAGTTACTCACAGAAGTAGAGACTGTTATTATCCCCATTTTACGAATGAAGAAAATGTGATGTCACAAGACCACATAGCCAGGAAATAATGGAACCAGGACTCAAATCCAGGTTCTGTTTAATGTTAAAGGAACAACCCAATAGGGTCTCCAAGAGTTACATAACATATTGTGTTGTAACAACCAATCCTCTCTCATCCTCCTGGGTTAGGTAGGGAAGAGCAATACAAGAGTTTATGAATGATTAGCTTCTCTGGGTTCCCCCACTGACTCAGTTGTCCTTGTGACCTTTTGGACTTAGAGCCTATTAAACTGAGGAGGTGAGGTGAGTCAATCTATTATTTTTCTCTGTTCTCGGTCTCTGTCTTTCCCACAAATAGATCACCTTTAATGAAATGTGTAGCAGTTAACTTGAACATGTGATATTGTGTGTTGTTACAACAAATTGTAAAGACCCATGGAACTGATTTCTTATTGTCTATTCAAAAGATTCAAAAGGTATTGTAGTTTATCTTTCTTTTATATCCAAATCAGTTATCAAAGCCCTAGAAGTTAGATAACTTTTCCACATACTATATAGGTCACTGGTTATCTTTGGTACCTTTTCAATGTTTTCATGCATTTTAATGAGATATTGATTGAGACTGTTATTCAATTTCCAGTACTTACTTAAGAAATGTTTTATATGTAGCCAATAGCTAAAACTGAGCCACTAACTCAGAAAAGGTACAGCATCTGTTGACAAGAAGTAAAACTTTGAAGCACCTCATGGTATGCTAAATTTTCAAAGGCTAACAATTCATGTTTCCTCTTCTTTTGTATGAAAGTGGCTTTTATTTAAATAAGTATATGACTTTTAGGCTGGGTGCAGTGGCTCACGTCTATAATCCAGCCTGGAAAACATAGCAAGACCTCATTTCTACAAAAAAAATTTAAAATTAGCCAGATGTGGCGGCATATTCTTGTAGTCCCAGCTACTTGAAAGGCTGAGGCAGGAGGATCATTTGATCCCTGGGGGTTGAGGCTGCAGTAAGCTATGATCGTGCCACTGAACTCCATCCTGGGCAACAGAGTGAGACCCTGTCTGAAAAATTAATAAATGTTATGAGGCTTTTAGAAATGACTTAACACTTTTGGGTACTGAAACGTGAAATGGTCACAAAACCAAACATTTCATATCAAATATGCAACATATAGTATAAAATCAGAAAAGGCAAGCATAGAATTTTAATACACAATTGATTAGGGACCTACTGTTTATACTAAGCACTAGACAGAGAGAAGATATGGCAAGAATAAATTGCATGTAGGAAACCAAGACAATTTTCCATTTTCTAACATAGAAATCTCAAAAGGTCCCATATCACTTGGCCTATATTAAGTCATGAGGCTGATTTAATGCCATGCTGTTTCATTTGAAAAAAAAAAAAAAGATGTAATAAGGCAAGAGAAACGAAACTACCACATGAACCACTAACAGTCTGAAGTGTTTAACTGTGCCAGGTACTGTTCTAAGCATTTTCAATGAATTAACTCAATTCTCATAACAACTTTGTGAGGCAAATATTATTATTATTGTCATTTTGCAGACAGAAACAATGTGTAATAGGAGATTGAGTGACTTATACAAATAATGTGACAAGTACATGGCTGAGCAGGGATTTGAATACAGGCATTCTGAGGTTCTTAGTCTAGGTTCTTAACTACCATATTCTGGCATCCCTCAACAATAACAATATAATAATTTAAATAACATCATTTTTAAGTTCTAGCATGTGCTAGGCCTTATTGTTGAAACATCTTATCTCTTATCTCATTGAATCCTTCCAACAACCCAATGAAGTAGAGTTTGCTATCCCAGTTTTACATGTGAGGGACTTAGAACTTTCAAAGGCTTAGATTTATCTTGTTTTCACTTTCCTCTCCCCATTAAGTTGTTAGTATTAAGAGGCAGAAATAGAGCAAATGCATAAGAACACAGACTCTCATGACTAGAAGGGAATTAAAAGCAACTAAGCCCAACCCTGAGATGAGACTTAACCCCCTTCTCCACAATCTGTGACTGGGCTTGAACTTCCACTAATGAGGTTGTTACTTCTAGACCTTCCCCTCCAGATGGAAAAATAGACTTCTGCTTCAGATTTAAAAAGGGAAACATTTCTTCATTTCAAAGAAGCTGAAATAAAACAAGATGAGGCCATTTATTAAAAGGAACCGGTGGGAAAGTGTTAAAAAGCTATGAGAGTCCAAGACTATCCTCAAAGCTATTAATTTGCTAAACCATATGAAGCTGAAGGCGAAAAAAGGTGGAGATACTGTCTGACAATCCAAACTACAGGAAAAATGCCTAGTAGAGATGATCCTGCTCCTTTTCCAGAGCATAAAGAGTTTTAGAGCCAGACTTGGAAATGACATACATTACCTCTGCCCACATCCGGTCCAACTTAGTTTCAAAGGAGGCTGGGAAATGTAGTCTTCCTATGTGACTAGGAAGAGGAAAATAAAATAAGCTTTGAGAAATACATGTTATCTCTATCCACAATTACAATGATTTCTACAGTTCTACCCCTGGATTTCGATTTAATATTTGAAGGCGCAATTATGAAAATGAACCAAATGAACTGTATCCCTAGCATGTAATACTATTCTTAACATATTGTAGGAGAGCAGTAAGTATTTGTTGGATGAATGTATGAGCTAACTTCACAAATTTGGACATAATAAGTCTATCACCCTGTAAGTCTGAGTCTGGGACATGGAAACAGGAAAAGAAATTCCCCTTGACTTGGCTCTCTACTGACTTCCATTTCTTCCCCAGAACTTTTATGGTTAAAGGTTACTTTAAAAATTATTGAATGGAGGAATTAATTCTGGGACATAAGATGAAGGACTCAGTCTTGGCTTTGACACATTCTATGTATGTGTTCCTTAGGAAGCCTTTAACCTCAATGGACCTCAGATTTCTCCCCTATAAATGGTGGTGGCAGTAGGTATGTGGAGACTAGGCAGGTGTGCTTATCCAACAGTCCTTTCATCTTCCTTCTGGATAATAGAACCACAGTTGTTTGTATGTGGGAATGTGCCCACCCCCAGGGGAATTAATTATGATTGGTTTAAGCCAAGGATGGGAATTATTTTCTTTTTGACACTAATTGGTCTAAAGGTAGGCTTGTGATTAGGTTATGACCCATGAGATTAAGAGAAGGTCTGATGAAAACATTCAGGAAAAGTTTGTCCTCCCTGATAAAAGAAAAAGATTCATGAGAAGGACTTTTGACCCTATCTACTGCCTTCTTGGGATGCTGAAAAATGAGACTATAATACTTGGAGCTGCTATGGCTTGCCTAGACCTTGAGAGGAGACATTGCAAACACACTGAAGTTCCAGCATGGAAAAATGGGAAGAGCCGGGTCGTCATTGACATTGTTGAGCCTTTGAAACAACCTGGGACAACCTATTTTCAGACTTAGTGTTATATGAAAAATGTGCACTCCTATTGTTTAAACCACTTTATTTGCATACCCTGTTACTTGCAACCAAGAACATTCCAAACTCATCATCTATAAAATAGATGACTTTTAGAGGTCTTTCTAGCTCCAAAATTGTCAGTCTTAAGTGACATTTCAAAGACAAAAACAAAAGAGGCAAATATCCTGGGATATAAGAAGGGATGGGAAAAATTAAATGGAAGAAGAAACAATTGAAGGTAGCTAAACCTAGATATATCAACCAGGTGACAAGAATGGCATAAAGAACTTAAATGCAAATTGGAAAGCCCACTGAAACAGAAAATTGGGTCAGGTCCCTGTGGAGGAGGGAAAAGAGCTGGTACAAATGTGTAGGTACAGAGTTAGAGCAAATAAAACCTGAACAAATATGCAACTTTATCAAGAACGAATGACCATTAAAAAAGCCTTTTGAAATTATATTTATTCAAAGCAAATGCTGTCTTTTGATAAGCAAAAGAGTACTAAAAACAGGTGATTTTGAAATAATCCCTTCCATCCAAATTTTATGTGTCTATGATTGCCTTTTTGAAACTTTCAAAAACCTGTTCCAGAAAATGCTGCCTATGGTCAGATGATTAGAACAAATTGAAAGTCAAATTAGAGTAGGGAATAAAAAAGTTGACGACCGTCTTATACAAACAAAGTTGTCCACTGCCTGTGTCTGAGCCTGTAATTAGCATTAACCTTTCTTGTAGAAGATCTATTGAGCATTGTCGACACAATATCTGGTATTTATAAGGTACTCCATAAATATTGGTTCAGTTTGATTTTTTATGCATATTTTAAGTGACTCTGCTCTATTTAGAGCAATAACCAGAACAAATGGAAGGGCATCAGTCAGCAATAAACAAGTAAGAACACTTCTGGGGTCCTCCAGAAGGGAAAAAAGACCTCAGGTTCCACTTTGAACAACAGATCAAATCTAGAACCCAGGCATTTAGGTCACATACAGTGGGTTATAATAAAAATGATCAGTACTTGTTGAGTGCTCTCTATTTGCCATACATGGCATATTCATTTTCCCATGTAACACTCATAGTAGTCCTTTGAGCTAGGAACCTTTCTTATCTCCATTTTACAAATGAAGAAACTGAGATTAGGTCCAGAAATCTCACCAAGGTCACTCAGTCTAGAAAGTGGCAGAAGTCAAGCCCAATTCTATCTGACTCAAAAATTCCACTGTAGAAGATGAAAAGGAAGAGCAGGTTCTGTACCAGCTGAGGCTAGAAGAAAGTTGTTTCTCAGAGAAGCAGGATCAAAAAAGTGTAGGCTAAGAGGAGAAACTGGAAATCAAACAAAATTTTCCTTGGAGAGTTGAGAGAATAGAGAAGGGAGATGACTCAGCATAGAGCTGTGATAAAACCAGGTAAAACTTTAAAAAAAAAATACAGACTTCAAAAATAATCAGGGAAGAAAATGAATTGGACAAACAACAGTTGAGTTTAGATATCCAGCATATCTGGATTTCTCTGGCAACACAGGAAATCTCAAAACAAGCTTTTACCTCCTCTACTGGATTCTTCCTAATTCAGCTTTTTTGATATCTGATGGAACTCTCATTCTGCAAAAAGCAAAACATTTGATGAATCCTTCACTTGCCTTGTTAGCAATTTCTTCTTTTAGAAGATTCAGGGAGCAATGATGAAGGACATGTGACTGGGTGGGGACTGTGCTGATGAGCTCAAATTTTCAAAGGGCATGTACAGGAAGAGGGAATGAGGGACACATAATCAAGACTGAATACACAAAATCTGGCGAAGCCCTGTAAGAATCATGTCCAGGGGGTAAAGCCCCAAATCTCTGAGGCTGATTTAAAAAATGCTAAGAACAACAAAAAAAGGATTCTTCCAGTTTATACAGAGAAAGTACCTCCTGCTTGGGGCTGAGGGCATAATGCTAACAGATTTTTTTAAATATGTTAGCCAAACATGGAAACAAGTGGCAAAATCAAATTATATTTTTTTGCAAAGAAACTAAGAACAAAAGTGTGAATGAGATCTGGGGGACCCCTGAAGATGGCACAGAAACCCTGGGCTGGGAATAGCAGAACTATTATCACTCCTAGGCTTGAAGGGATCCCAGGACAGAGATGTTACCACAACCTGGAAGAAGAGAGGGTCTTGCAAAGCACAGAAGCTTGAAGGAGCAGTGACCATCCATAGAAGGACATGGCAAACCTCAGGCTACCTTGCAGGAATGAAGCCAAGGGCACAGACCCCTGACCTCCTCTCCTCCCTTTCTCTAGTCTTCTACCAGGGCTTCTTATGGGCTGCATGGGTTCCCCAATTGGGATACAGAGGGCTGGGCAGCCCTTCAATGTAGAACAGACAGGGAAGGCTCCTAGGGTAGAGGGCAGAGTGGAAAATGGTAAAGTGAATCTAGGGGATCCACAGAAGATAGCTGACACACTGCCTCAATGACTTTGTGCTTCTAAACCTGCCACATAAAGTGGGCACTAAATACTAACCAGAACACATCTTTAAAACACAGAATCATCCCAGTAACATTTCTCTGGCTTTAACTACTTCTGTTTCCCTTAGCTATTACTTACACCTGAGCCAATGCTGATGGTGCAACTCTCCTCCAATTCTACAAATATTCCTGGTACAAAATGCCTTCTTTCTAGATTGCTGCAATTGAACATGTTTTGTAGGCCTCTCCAGGTTTTAGTGGGGTGAGAACCAATGATCCAATGACTTTGAGTTCTACAGCAGAGGCAGCTGATGCCAGAGATTCATGTTTCCCTTCTATCATGTATCTTGGATACTGGAAAGCAGCTGCCCATTCAGGGACTACATTTCCCAACCTAACTTTCTTCTACATGGCAGTCAGGTGACTATTTCTAGCCAACAATGAATGAGAGCAAAAGTGATGTGTGTGTCTTTATAGAGCTAAGTCAGTTGGTTAAGTATATGGTGTGCCCTCATGTTTGCTCACCCTTTCACAGAGAGCCATGTGTGAAGACGGTGGTGTCACGAGGTGGAAAGACTGTAATCCCTAAATTACCCCTTACATGAAAGCCAGCCTGACAAGGAATACCCACATTTTGAAAGTGAGAAATAAACTTTTATTGTGTTAAGAGTGGCTGGTTCTTTGTTATAGCAGTTAGCCTATCTAGACTAATGTAAAGCCCTCTACTCTGTAGTTACTTCCTGTGATCCCACTTTCAAATTTTCCACCCTTGGCTTCAAATTATAATAACTGGAATAAAAGACTCGCGTAGAAAATTGCCTACTAGCTGCCTCACCAAGAGTTTGCTGTTTAACTATTTTGTGTAGGAAACATTTGTGCTGATGTTCTTGTTGTTAAAAGATGTGCAAACCATTTTCTTTTTGTTAAATTGCAGTTTGAGGCAGTTCTGCAATCATGAAAAGAATATAGTATTTGGAGTGTTTGAGTCCAAGTTCTACCACTTACTTATGTTGTCTGACCTTGAAGAGATCCTATCAGCTTTCCTCTCTGTCAAAGAAGGATATTAATAATGCTTCCCCGTCAAGTTGTTGTGAAGATCAAATAAGATAAGGGATATGAAAACATTTTGTTCACTAGAAAGCTTTAGACAAAATTAGTTTTCATCTCCACTAAAAGGGAGTCAAGTTGCATTTGCCTTTTGAGATCATTCTCTTGGGTCATGTTGTTGTCAAATTAAATCCCCCCTCCTTTTCTCTCAGATGGTCAGGTTCAGTTCCTTCCACTCTCTCTCACCTCTATTAACAGGCAAGCAGTTCTCTTTCTTGTTCGGAATTTTTGCAATCTGAGTTTTTCCCAAGGAAGAATGATTTTTAAAAAAATGGATCCAAAAACAAATTAATAAAAATATCTTCTGAACACTTTAGGGCCGTGGTTTACAGGAAAGCTCACTCTTTGCCCTGGGCTGTAGTTTCCACGTTGAAGTTGTTGAATTTCTCATATGCACACACACAAACCCGTATCCAATGCCCTGTTTATTATTCCAAATATAATACGGCTTTTTGCTCCTTTAACTTTCTCTATATTTATAAGTAAGATATTTTTTCATCAGTGGCTTTTTTAATTTTAACCCAAGATATAAACAGTGAATCTAGTTCAATCTTCTTGTTTTATAAATGAGGAACCAGAAGCCCAGAGATATTTCATGACCCACTTTAAAAATCACCTCTTCCAATAAGCTTTCTCAGCTTTGTTACTCCCTCACAGACTAAGCCAGGTATCCATCCTTTATCATAGAACTTGTTGGTAATAGACAGAACCAGATTCTGAAGTCTGTATAGGAAAAAAGCAAGTCTTCTCTGCATCCCAGGGACCTCTGATCTCCATGTGAATCCCCAGCTATCTTCTGCTTCTGTCTCATCGGCCAAAACTGTGTCACATGGCCACCTCTAGCTGCAACGGAGACTGGGAAAGGAAGTAGTTAGCTGAGCAAATTGCCTCCCCAAACAAAATCAGCGTTCTATGGGCAAAGAAGTGGATGTGGATATTGAGTTGGCTACTCACAGTGTCTGTTGCAGCCTGTGATATAGTAGGAGCTCAATAAATATTTGCAGACTGAATGTCAGTGTAAGGCATTCAAGGTTGAATAAGTAAACTGTCTAAGTTTGCTATAGTGGTAGAACAGTGGCTAGGATTTAGATATGCTGAGTTCCAGCCTGTATTAATCCATGTTCACACTGCTATAAAGAACTTCGCTGAGACTGGGTAATTTATAAAGGAAAGAGTTTTAATTGGCTCACAGTTCCACATGGCTGGAGAGGCCTCAGGAAACTTATAACCATGGTGGAAGGGGAAGCAAGTACCTTCTTTACAAGGCAGCAGGAGAGAGAAGAGAAAGTGTAGGGGGAAGAGACTCTTATAAAACCATTAGATCTTGTGAGAACTCACTCACGATCATGAGAACGGCATAGTGGAAACCGCCCCCATGATCCAATCATCTCCCTCCCTCAACACGTGGGGATTACAATTCAAGATGAGATTTTGGTGGGGACACAGAGACAAACCATGTTACAGCCTGAAGCTCTTTCTACTACCTAGTACTACCTCAGTATCATAAATTCAGTAATATGAGTATCTGGTTCTGCATTCTTTCCAAGAATCACTCTTCTCTCTCTGCAGTATCTTAATTCCTCTAAAAGACATGTAACCAATCCTATTGGAGGTTTTCTCTCCAATTCTTCTGTAGTATTTACCTAGATACCTTAGTAATAGGAACGTGACATTAATGGGAATCTAATAAATGTTAAGATATTGGGGGTTTTCCCAGTTTTTTACTTTATTTACTTCCAGACTCAAATTTGTTATGACAGGTAACTTTATCTCACCCAGCATTACAGTTATTAATAACTTATCCTGCTGAATAAATCAGAGACCTGGAAAAATGTGGAGTAAGCATTTGTTATGCACATATGGGATTTACCAAGTTTCCGCATTTGAAGGTCTAATATTAGGATTCACATGTTGTGCAAGGCTTTGCAGA